>NC_000002.12:235368405-235671436 GCF_000001405.40 Homo sapiens | reverse complement strand
CGACCGGCGAGCCTCGGCTCCCTGGGGCGGCCCCACAGGTGTCGCGGGCAGCCAGCTCAGGGCCCGCTCCCGCAGAAGACCCAGCGAGCACGCGAAGGAGGTCGGCGCCGGCTGGCAAGGCGACCTCTCCCGGGTCAAGCTCTCCTTGATGAAGGTGGTGGACTCCGAGGGGCACCAGCACGCACAGCCAGGCGCAGGGGCAGCCAGAAAACCCAGGACCGCTGCGCCCTGCTGGGGAAAACCGCAGTACCCGAGTTCGCATCCCTCGAGGCCACGTGCAGGCTCCCGACCCGGGAGGGCGGGTCCCATAGCCGCTGCGGAACCGGCAAGTCCCCACCACGCCCCTTCCCGTCCCGGGACCCCCGGCCACGCTGCCCACCTCTGCGCGGGGAGCCGTCGATGCTCTCGGCGCTGGACGAGTGCGCTTCGGCCGGGGCCCGCCGCAGGCTGAAGTAGCCGCGTGGCCGCGAGGCTCCGCTCCGTGGCGAGGGCCCGCCGCCCGGGCCCCCGTCCCTGCGCGCGAAGATGCCGCTGAAGAAGCGCAGCAGCCGGTGCTCCGAGGCCGCGCCGGCCCCGGCCGCCGCCCGCGCGCGCTCCAGCCGCTGCAGGTCGCTGTTGTCCAGCGTGCGGTTCTTGCTCTTACTGCGTTCCCAACGCTCCAGGTCCGAGAGCGCGTCGTTCTTGCTGAGCACCTCGCCCACGTCCAGGGTGTTGCGCTTCTCCGAGGCGGGCTGCGTGGCGGTCGCGGGCTCCAGGGTGGTCCCGGCCGCGGCCTCGTCGCACGGCGCCCAGGCCAGGCTCCCGGAGCTGCTGTGGCGCCTTCCGCCGCCCAGTGTCCGGCCTTGCGGCGCCTCAGGCCCGCTCCAGTGCCTGAAGCTCAGGCTCCGCCGCAGGGGCGCGGCCCGGGCCCCCTCCACGTCGGGGCTGCCGGACGCGGGCGAGCCGCGTCCCTCCTCCTCGGCCGGGGCGCTGCCGGCCAGGTCCGCGGGTTCCAGGCCGCGTGCGCACGGCCGGAGCCGCCCCAGTTCCAGCTGCCCGGTGCTGCGGGTGCGGAAGGTGCGGAAATCCCAAGCGCGCGGCCGGGGACCCTCCGGTTCCTCGGCGCCCTCCGCCTCCTCGGCCTCCTCCTCAAGCCTCCCGGGCGCGTCCGGGGAGCGCGCGGGCCGGGGCCGCCGAACCGGGCGTGGGTCCGGGCCGCCGGAGCCCGGCGCGGCCAGCTGCTCCTTCCTGACCATGGTCACGGAGATGCGGTAGACAGTCTTTCTGGGGGGCGTCCCGCGCGGCATCGCGTCCGCGGGTGGCGACGCGGGCTCGCCACTGCCGTCCAACAAGTACATGTCGCCCGCGCGCTGGGGCCCCGCCGCATCCAGCGAGCCCGCGGGCCGGGAGGGCGCCGGGCCAAGCGGGGAGGGCAGGCGGGCCGGGAGTGTGGCCCACGCCCCCCGCTGACCGCGAGGGCCGCACTCAGGCTGCGGGGACGGCGCCCCTGGCACCCGCCGGCCCGTGCGCCGCGCCGCCCGAGTGCCGGGGTCCGGGCCCGGGGCGCCGAGCCATGGGCCGGCGGGGCCAAGCGAGGCGGCCGGTCAGGCGCTAGAGCGCTCTCGCCGGCAGGTGCGGCCGCGGTGCGCAGGGCCCAGGGCAGGCGGCGGCGCCCGCGGCTTCATTGTCTACGACGCGGGGCCCGTGCGCATCCTCCCGCTCCGGCTGCACAGCTCGGCGGTTCCGCAGCCTCCGCCACTCCCTGGGCTCCGGGACGCGCGGACAGCTGCACCGGCTGCGGCCGAAGGGTGGCGGGTGGCGGGCGGCGGGCGGCGGTTTAAAATGGAAACGCGCGCCGGGGCGGGGCGGGCGACGGGGGCCGACGTGCAAGGGACCGCGGGCCGCGCGCCCAGCCGGGCTGGCCGAGTCCCGGGAGCGCGGCGGCGGCGGCGGCGGCGAGCGCGGCGGCGTGCAGGCCCAAGCGCCGGGATGGATCGACGCAGCGCGGACCGGAGCCTCCGAGGGGCCCAGCCCAGCACCAGCCTGCACCCTAAAACCACGCCCACTCTGGGGCTTGGCCTGCAAGAACAAAACGAGGGGCATGTCTCACCTGCTGCGCGTTTAAATGAGGCATCTTTCCTAACCATGCAGCCTCGAAGATGCAACTCATGTGACTTGTTTAAAAAACAGTCTTTGGTACCTGTTACCGCCAACCTCACCTAGGAACAAGTGGGCTTCCAGGAAGACAAGAACAAAGAGATGTGACTGTGAGGGTGCTGTGTACACCAATGCCATCCCAATGAAGGGCCACAGTCTGTCTCCTAACATAATTCTGTCTTTATTGTTTTCATTTTCAATTATCAATAACCTCACCCCAGATAAACCTCCATGGCTACGATACTGCCTCTGTGCAAAACTTCTAAAATAATCTTGTAGGGTTATTTTACCAATGTGTGGGGAAGGATTCCTTACAGGTAAGCACTTGCTCCCCATGACAACAGACAGGAGAATACTGCGGTTAAGAGCAAGCAGACAGACGTGCCTGCCCGCAAGCCAGGCTTATTCACTGACAAACCACTTGCTTTTCCACCTGTAAAACAGGGGTGCCAATAAAAGCTCCTAAACTTTGAGCATTCCTGTGAAGATTAAATTGGTTAAAATCCTATGTGCCAGGCATTCTGTGTACATGCTAAATATTCACCATTAATAATGAAAACTGAACTTCTCTTCCATCAAATCCTCGATTTCCTACCTGGTGGGCTGATAGATACTGGTCTAGGATGTTATCGGAGGCCACAATATTTAGACATAGATGATCAACTTATCAGTTCCTCAAGCTGTCTTAAACACAGATGTATTGTTTCAGAGTTTCCTTGATGAAAAGTTTCAGAAGGAAAAATACAATGTCCCCTAATCACACCACATGCTTACACGACCTTCTCCAGGCCTAGAAATGCCACAGCTTGCTACAGGCTGTTTCTGGGCAAGGTGCTGGCGGCCAGGCCAGGTGGAAGCATTACTTTGGGATTTGCTATTTGCAGGCAGGGATTGTCAGGTGCCAGCTTTCCCTACTTTAATCTTATTGTGGGGGTACCTATTGTGTTCACGACACTGGAAGTGGCATAAAACTGAATTGGGCAAGCTCTCTTTTGAAGGAAGTTATAGAAGTTATAGCCTAGGAAATCTAGATTTTATGACAGCATTAAATTTAATATTCAGATTTAATGAAATAAGTCAGAGTGACTGCTAGGTGATTCACTTTATTTATCTTGAAAGGATACTTTAAAATACACCTGAGCACCCTCTGTGGCCTCGACCTTAACATGATTTTCACCATCACAGGGTCATACCTCAGCCTACCTGCTACTCAAACTCTAAGGGCTCTGGATGTGGTACCTCTGATTACATCCTCATTGTAAGGAGGGGTCTCCAAGACAGAATCATTTTACCTTTTGAGTTTCAATAAAGAAGACTTTTTTTTTTTTTTTTTTTTTTTTTGAGACAGAGGCTCACTCGCTCTTGCCCAGTCGGGAGCTCAATGGCACGATCTCGGCTCCTGCAACCTCCACCTCCTGGGTTCAAGTGATTCTCCTGTCTCAGCCTCCTGAGTAGCTGGGATTACAGGTGCGCGCCACCAGTCCCGGCTAATTTTTGTATTTTTAGTAGAGATGGGGTTTCACCATGTTGGTCATGCTGGTCTCGAACTCCTGACCTCATGATCTGCCCACCTCAGCCTCCCAGAGTGCTGGGATTACAGGCGTGAGCCACCACGCCAGGCTAAAGAAGCCCTCTTTGATAAGAACCAAGAACCCCCAACTTCTAGAGTAGCAGCCAGGCGGGATTCATCTGTCAGAATGGTTCAGAATGACAGCCTAGCGCCCATCTGGTTAGGGAGATGCAGAGGCTCGGAGACAGAGGGCACCTCCCCAGGGCTACACAGCTCCTCAGTAAGGGTGAAATCTGGGGTTTGGGGGTCACACTGCCTGTGCTCATTTTTTTTTTGTCTTAGTAAGCATCAGCATTCTGCTTTGTTGATAACAAAGACCAAAGTAAACATGTGAATATTACTGAACTCCACACAAATCAAATGTAAATGTTACCTTGACATTTCCAGGTAGCATTTTTAGCAAACTTTCACAGACTTACTCGGTTTTCTATTGGTTCATTTATTCATCGAATATATATTGAGTACCTACTGCAATGCTACACAGTGACAACGCAGGGGTTCTGTCCTCAAAGAATTGACCCAACTCCCGAAAAATGCTAAGGCTACGTGATTTTACCACAGAAAGACAGCGAGGGAGAGAAAAGCTTCGCGATAATCCCAGAGACAGCTACAGGGCCATCCCGCCTCTTTAATGATGAACACCACTAAAATATGGCAAAAGTCTAAAATTTTATCACTGCAGCTGTACAGACTTAAAGGTCACCCAGGTCTGTAAGCTGAGAAACAAACAGCAACGTGGAAAGATAGAGATCTCTGCTACTGTCAAGGGTGGGACCAGAACCCTGGGCTCCTAACTTAGCCAGGTGTGGGAGGGGGAGGTCAATTCTCACTGTTTGAGACCAGGGCAATGTTCACATACTGAGATGAACTTTAATATGAAAGTAGCTTGTCCATAATTAAGGTATGTAAATCTATCTGGCTTGTTATCTGAAGCATTCATAGAGCCCAAAGTAAAAAATAAGGTAGTATTCCTTCAGGGCTAAAACACTGGACTGTTTGTGTCTCCCAATTACTGTACCTTTGTTGAGAATCCATCCCAGGTTTTGCACTTTGCCATATGAGATGCGGGCTGCGGAGTAGAAGAATCCATTCCATCCACCTTAGATGACACTGACTCTTCCAGGGAACCTCTTCCAGCCATAGCCAGTGTGTTTGTGATCTTTCAGCATTTCCACCTCAGAAGGAAGCACTTATTTTCCACACCAGTCATAATGATGCCATGTCAAGTGCAACTGTGGGTGCTGAAAAACCTGGTCACAGAGAATTGCCTTTCCCCACTGCCTTAGAGAGATGGGCTCTCCCGATGCAAAGAAGACACATGCTCCCGACATGTCACTCCAAAATCTAAATCCCCTTCTACAAAGCCAGACCAGCCTTTTTTGAAGAGGAAAAAAAAATCACAATACTATATATGTTCAGGTGGCATTATGCTTTATTTTCCTGTGGCTTTTTAAACACTAGACTGCCATTTCTTGAATTTTTTCATGCCATGGAGCATATCACCATTTTTTTTTTTTTAAAGCATGTAGTTGATTTCACTGCTACCTCAAAACCAAACAGCAGCCGGGTAATGCCTCCGTGCTGCAGGGACTAATGCTGCGCGAGAGAGGAAGACTGCAGAGGAGAGTTCAGGAAAGGTGCCAGCCCTAGCTAACCCCCATTCATCACCCTCAGCAGCTGGCTTCGCTCCCTTAGTTCCAAGTTTATGAGATGCTTTGGCCACCGTCTCACGACTCCTCTGTCCCGGGTCATTTCTAGCTACCTATAAATCAAACATTCTCCTGGAGAATAGTATTTCCAAGTGTTGCTAGAGCTGATAAGCCTTATTTAAAGGAAACTTCTGGTAGCCAGTCAGCAGAGCCATCTGCTACACAGGCTGGCTTTCCAAATAACAGAACCTGACAGCCAGTAATCACGTTTGCAGTATCTTAGCAGAACCGCGTCTGCTGATGGTAGAAACTGGCCAACCACTGGTACTGCCCAGGCCTGAGCATGCCCACCCCGGGAGCCCACCAAGAGCCCCTCCGTGGGTACATCAAAGGCTATTTTCTGGTAGCCAGTTGACTGACAGATACATGTAAGAAGAAGCAATTACCAAGACAGTAACGTCTTATTAATACTTTTATATTTTTAGCATAAGACTCAAATTCTCATCTGAGAATGTCATGGTAGAATGGTTTCTAAGCTAAGATTTGCCATGATGCTCAGCTTCTAGGAACTGAAAATTCTGCACGCATCCCTTTGCCTGGGACACTCCAGCTGAACTCACTGGGGACCCTATTTCTCTCGTTTTAAAAGCTGAAGGTTAAACGTGGAACTGTAAAAGAGATGAGGACTTGACCCTTATCTGCTAGTGGAGGAAGGACAAGTATGGTCTGTCTGTAGGGCAGGAACATTGATCTGGCAGGAAAAAAGACCCCAGAAGGTCCTCTGAGCACCTGCATCCTTCCTGTGTTTTTCCTTAAGGACCAACGATAGCAATTCCTGCCAACAGAACACTGGCGATGTCTATTGTGTATGAACACACCACCACACAGACAGGCTAGAGTGCAGTGGCAAGATCATAGCTCACTACAGCCTTGAACTCCTGGGCTCAAGTGATCCTCCTGCCTCCTGAATAGCTGGGACCACAGGCACATGTCACCACCCCTGGCTAATTTTTAAATTTTTTTGTAGAGAGGAGGGTCTTGCCATGTTGCCCAGGCTGGTCTCGAACGCCTCACCTCAGATGATTCTCCCATCTTGGCCTCCTAAAGTGCTGGGATTACAGGCGTGAGCCACCATGCTTGGCTAACGTTTTTTTCATTTATGGTAAAGATGGGGGTCTCACTATATTGCACAGGTGGGTCTCCCTTGTTACGCCTGCACCTGGCTAAGGGTTGAGGTGGCATCACTCACACGTACTTTATCCTCTGAGAATGGGAACTGCCACATTACAGAAGAAGAGGCTTTAGTTCTACCCATGCATGAGGAACACGGGAGATTCAGGCCCAGACTCCTTTCCTCCATGCAGCCATAGGAAGCATCGGACCCCACACTGAGACTTCATTTCCACTTAAACAGGCCAGTGAGAAGCAAGCTTGGTTTTAAAACAAGCCAGCAAGTGTCCATTGTGAGTAGATTCTTATTCCCAAACAAAAGGAAAATATTAGATATTTCTTGGTAGTTTTTCTTGCTAAGTGTCAGGCAAAGGTGACTTAAGATATTAAATCAGGCCAAGTGTGGTGGCTCATGCTTGTAATCCCAGCACTTTGGGAGGCCAAGGCAGGTGGATCACCTGAGATCAGGAGTTTGAGACCAGCCTGGCCAACATGGTGAAATCTTTTTTATATTTATAAAAATACAAAAAAAATTAGCTGGGCGTGGTGGTGTGCACCTGTAATCCCAGCTACCTGGGGGGCTGAGGTAGGGAAATCGCTTGAACCCAGGAGGCAGAGGTTGCAGGGAGCTGAGATCATGCCACTGCACTCTAGCCTGGGCAACAATAGTGAAACTCCGTCTCGAAAAAAAAAACAAAAAAACAAACTATATATTAAAATCCAATCTATTAAGCATCGTTTTACAGAGCCAACACAAACAACACTGAACAGCCACGTCACACACAGCAGCTCCCAGTTCTGGCCACTCGCTAGCTGCCAGGCACTGGCCACAGCTACGGAGTCACCAAAGGAGCTCCCATCGACCATTCAGCCTTCGAGCTCAGGGACAGGAGGGATGCGGTCAAGGGTAACACACAACACTGCAGCTGTCTATCAGACAGCCTCAAAGCAGCCCTGGAGCTTTTGTGCAGAAAAACCAAGAAATCCCTACACATTATCTAATCTTCCTAGTATTGGGTGCACAGGGGAACAGGCCTATTTGGTAACATTTTCCTCTACAGGATTCACGGGAGGGAACTCTTCTAATATCGCCATCTGTACGATGGTCTTCATGCAGACATTCCTTCTCAAAGCACAGGGAAGTCGGATTTGGATTCTCCTAAGAGCTTCCTGGAGTAGGAACGAATATCACGAACTGTCAGAGAACAATGACCTAAATATGTTTGACAACATCTGGATGTTTACCAAGCTTTTCTTTAGATCCACTAACCTCAAAGATTTAGAAAATCCATGACTTACATGAAAATCACATTGAGGCCACAAACGATGCCCTGGGAATTTTTGCCAGCCCCATTACAAAGCCCAGCTTCTGGAAGAGCGTGATTTTACACAGTTCTCCCTTCTGCATCCCATTTGGGATTTGGCTGCAGAGATATCTGAAAACTCTTTTATCTGTGCCCAGGGGACTTGAATATTTGATGTATATTTTTCCTCTAAATGTAGAAAACAAAATGCCTACGATGCCAGTTCAAAGCCCAACCCCACGCTGCTGCTCCCATCTCAGCAGAGGGATGCACGTGATCGCTCCCCTTCTTTTTTTTTGAGACAGAGTTTCCTTCTTGTTGCCCAGGCTGGAGTGCAATGGTGCAATCTTGGCTCACTGCAACCTCTGTCTCCCAGGTTCAAGCAATTCTCCTGCCTCAGCCTCCCAAGTAGATGGGATCACAGGCGCCCACCACCATGCCCAGCTAATTTTTATTTTTAGTAGAGACAGGGTTTCACCTTGTTGGTCAGGCTGACCTCAGATGATCCACCCGCCTCGGCCTCCCAAAGTGCTGGGATTACAGGTGTGAGCCACCATACCCAGCTCTCCTTCCTCTATTAGCCAGCGTGTCCCTAGCTCGGTGTTCCCCAGGCTTGAAGGAAAACACATCAGGGGCTGCTGGGAGCGGCAGCTACCTGCCCTCCTAGTTAGAACATGCATCAGAGCTCTTAAGAAAGAACTGCGTCCCCGGAATCACATCTGACACAGTAAGATGGAATAAAACCTCTGCTCGCCATGCACCAGTCAGCAGTGGCCAGGAGCACTGAGCAGGGTGAGGGGTTCTTGCAGCGGAGCAAGGGGATGAGGGACACAGGCTGGGTGTGAGCCCAGAAAACCCCAACTCCTGCAGCTGCTGAGCACCTTTGCTGAGTTATGACACTGTGCTATCTTTCCTCTGTTCAAAATCACCAACTTCGGCCAGGTGTGGTGGCACACACCTGTAATCCCAGCTACTTGGGAGGCTGAGGCAGAAAAATCGCTTGAACCCAGGAGGCAGAGGTTGCAGTGAGCTGAGATGCCACCACTGCAATCCAGCCTGGGCAACAGAGCCAAAAAAAAAAAAAAAAAAATCACCAACTTCCATGAAGGCAGACAGACCAAGTAGGGGAATGATAAACTAAATTGGGATGGCCACACAATCTACATTACTTCAAAACTGCTGTGAGTCCTCCCCTCCATGGACGCACTCTGTCCCTAGGAGTGTGGCTGAAGGTGAGACCTGGTTGGTTACATACCAAGACTTTCCTCATCAGCTCAGCTCTGCACACTGACTGAGGGATCAGAGGCAGCCTGCACAGACACTCTCTAAAGCCGCGCCACAAGTTAAGATGTGACTACCTGGCATGCAACTGAGTGGATACACAAAGCTGGGATTCATGTGCCACCACCCTGGGTCCCTTTTTTCCTGGTCACGGCCTTACAGCCACTCCACCCTAAAGGAGCTGAGTAGGGTGGTCAGCTTGGAGGTGGAGGGCCAGGCCGTGCCGCCTCCTCAGCGCCATGGTCTTTTCCTTCCCTGAATTCCTGGAGCCCCCTCCTATGGCCATACCCCAACTCACCCAGGATAACACTGCCCTACAATCTTGGCCTCCAAAAGCCCTTTCCCTGCCCACAAGTCCCAGGTTGGCCATCCTTTCTTTCTGGAACTTCCCCTCCAGCTGTAGGGAAGCTGACTGTCATGCATCCTTTCCATCCCAACTCAGAGCTGCCTCCTGGCGCCTCCTTCTCTGTCCAGCAGAGGCCAAGGGACATCACTGTATCACTGTCTACTCCAGACATGGCCCCACCTGTCCCTGGCTCCTGTAAGACCCCCCTGGGCATGCCCCAAAGGCGGATCTGTACGAACTCCAGTGCACTGGACCAGTGTTCTCCAAGCACGGTCTACAGATCAGCAGCAGGGGCTTCACCTGGGAACCTGACCCCACCCTGAGATGCTCCATGTCTCCCGGAGATTCAGGCTAGCACGAGCATCGGAAGCCCCAAGTCCACATCACCAAGTCCCGCTGCAGATGCACATGTGCTGGGGCTGCTTCCAGCATCCTACAGCCCCCCCACCCCCACAGCCCTGGCCAGCCCCCTTTCCCATTCCTAGGATTCCTTGAAACTATCACTGCCCCATCCCCTCAGTAGGATGGCCTCCAGCCATGACTTCAGAGCTCCCTCAATGTCCTGCCTCCCGCCCACACCCAACTCTCCCGCTCAGAGTTGGCAAATGGACCCTGTACCCTCAATCACAATCACCGCCTTTCCTTCAGGCGGCAGAGGAAAACACTCGATTACGTCCCACTTAACAGAAAACAGAAACAGCCTGCCTCTCCTCCCTCCCTCCAGCCCTCAACAAAAGCCTCTCCTCCGCCTGCCAATCTCTCCCCACCTGCGTATCTGTCTGAACTACCCGAAGAGTCCACTCTCCCTCTACTGTTCACAGCCTCTTCATCTGTCTCAGGATTCCCACAGCACACACGTCCTTGCTGACCCACCCCCAGACGTAGCCTACTCTCAGTAAACCATCCTTACTCCTGCAATCAGAGTCTGAGGGTACAATTCTGTTCGGAGCCCTCAGTGAGTCCCTGTCACCTGCAGAATAAAGCGTCCGTTTCCTTAACCAGTATTCAACGCCCCGACACCCTCCAGTCTCCACAGTTGCACTGAGTGGCTAAGAGGCTGGGCTCCAAGGCCAGAATGATGCAAACCACATGTGACCTTGGGAAAGTGACCTTGAGGCTCTGCATCAGGTTTTCATTTCTGCAAAAACGGGACAAGAACAATACGGTAGCTGCGACAATAAGATGTGATGATGTATGGGGAGCATCTGCTCCAATGCTGAAAACCAACAGAGGTTGTTTCTATTGCATCCCAAGATTCCCCATCTAAACACACCAGTGTCCTTTCTAGTTCCCAACCACACCATACCCAGTCTCGCCACTATCTCCTGCTGGGATCAGCAGGATGGAGCTCAACTCTACACATCACTGGGAGCTGGACTCAGGAGTCCCCAAGCTCTTTCCCTGCTGGCCCTGACCCCTTCTTCTCCCCTCATACCTGGGCACACCTGTGCACACCTGGGCACTCTTCCTTGGCATCTGTCACCCTGCTCTGACACTTCCATTTATAGAACCCCCTCCTTCAGTTAAGGACAACTTCTCTCACCCTCAAGCCCTTATCAATGTTCTACTTAATAAATGCTGCTTGATGGTTGACTTAATCAGTGCAGGTAATGCCTCAGTCATGTTACCAACAAGAAGGTTGGTCAACTTGTACTAAACCCCCAGGAAGCCCATTTACCCTTCCACACAGTGCCTCCCTCACCGTGACCCCGCAAGTTTATCTATGAAGTCTCCAGTGGTTAGGGAAAGACACAGAGAAGAGGGTGATTCACTTCTTCCCCTAGCCACAAAAATCCTCAGCCGCAGCTGATCTTGGGTGGCCGCCCCCCTGAGAAAGCCTGTCCCTCCCTCCCTTGGTGGAAAACATGAAAACACAGTCACTGTGTGTGCTGAGGGGTGGGGGCATCCCAGAGTGTGACTGCCTGGGAAAAGCCAGCCTGGTGGCAGCTGCTTCACTTCAGGGAATGGGATGCTGGTCAGACAGAGGGGTCTACAGCCTTGAGGGGCCCATGGAGGGGTGCCTATGGGCCTGTTCCTTCCCTGCCCACCCCACCAGCCTGGGCCCATGCCAGGCCCATTGTGCACAAAGAGCCAGATGTTGATTCACGAGTCCCTGACCCTCCCAGGACCAGAGGTGGCTGGCTGGTTCCCCAGATTTCGCATCCGAGGGCTTATCTGCAGAGGCCAGGGCCCCAACTGAGAGACAAAGAAATATACACTATTGATCCAGGGCTTAGAAGATCCATTAAGAAATAGAATACTTGGAATAACTGAGAACTGTTTACAGAGAGGATAATAATTGAACCCATCCCCAGAGTTGATGCAGGGATCTGACAGCCCTCGGCACCTGGACCTGCACAGGTTCTCAAAGTAATGGTTGCTATGCTTCAAATGGCACGTTCAGGGGAGCTGCAAAGGGACCCCGAGCAGGGCACTGACGCCTGGCAAGTGACCCACAAAACATGTGTTCATATAGCACCCTGACTGCCAAAGGATTTCCCAAGAAGCCACAGTTGTTGGAAATTTTGAAAAAGGTGACAGGCTCAGCCTGCCCAGCTGACGCCCCTTCCCAGTGCACCAAAGCCAATGCTTAAGGAGGACGCTACTCACTCAGATACAACACTGTGGCACTTCAGACGTTAATTCAGTTCATCCATTCTACCCCCAAAGTGCCACAGAGAGGTAGGTACTATTATTATCCCGATTTTACAGACATAGAAAGACATAAAAAGTCAGTCACAGGTTAAAAAGGTCCCTGGATCTCACTGTAAAGGGTGGGGCTGGATTGAAGTCCACAACCCACTCATCAGATTCACAGAAACGCACAAACTCGGCAGGGTGTGGGAATCCAGCTCCAGGGCCTTCCCCAGGGCAAGCCCAGAACGGCAGGTGGACTTGCAAAAGGAGGCTGGCGTGGAAGTTGGCAGGGCGGGAACAATGGAGGGCCTCTCAAAGGAAAGCAAGTGCTGTACATGCTGCTGGGCTGCTTCAGAGTGAGAGCAGAAGGGAGGAAAGAGGAGGAGGGAGGGCAGAGAGAAAAGCAACGTGCTAAAAGAGCTTTCGGAGAAAGTACTCAGAAATGGTAGTAAAACACCAACAACAAAAACAGAAGGTCCCTCACGGGTATTCCGAGGGGGAGGGTGCCGAAAACTCAAGGCTGATTGGGGTAAAACAGGCTCCCATTTCATTTGAATGTCAAAGGACAAAGAACAGCCCAGTGATTAGGATTATCTCCCAAATCCCACCCTCACCAGGGAAGTCCCCGTTTCCTTCCAGAGTTCCTGGAAAGGCTGGGTAGCTGTTCCTTGAGCTGGCTCTGCCCCGCCAACAGCTCCAGGGAAGCCCAGCCCTGTCCACTGCCCAGGTCTCTCTTTTGAGCCTGTCCACCCCTCCACCCCTGCTGGGCACGTGCCCCCAGCACCCTCTCACCCGGACACTCTGCTCCACACCTCCTCCCAGACTCTTGACCTCGACCCCCGGGAGGCTGCAGGAAAGTCTTTCAAGTGTAGATGTCTCTTTGCTAATACGGAAATACTCACTTATAAAGCCATAAATTCTTCCCGTCCGAAGCATTCTGGATAGAATTAGAGCAGTACAAAGGCCTGGGCCTTGGAAAAATCGCTTATTTCTCTGAACACATCCAGACCTTTCGCAGGTCTGTCAACCCAGACCCCTCCAAGGAAAATAGCAGCACCGTTATTTCTAAAGCTGGTAATAGAAGACATTTTGCTAATAGAAGAAGGTATGCACAAACTAGAAAAAACGCTTTGCAAAAGTGTAAAGGAAAAAAAATCCATAAATATTTAATTGGCCACCAAGGTTTTAATGACCTTCCCTAGCAATAGAAAGATTTTAATGTTCATAACATTTGAAGCCATCACTGTACGAGTTTACCAGCCTTGACCTAACAAAGTACCACGGGCTGTGTGGTTTAAACAACAGACACCTAGTTATCCTAGTTCTGGAGCCTAGAAGGCCGAGATCAGCACAGTGTGGACAGGGCTGGTCTCTTTTGAGGTCTCTCGGCTTGGACATGCCGTCTTCCCCCTGTGTCCTCACATGGTCTTTCCTCTGTGTGTCTGCGTCTTAATCTCCTCTTCTTATAAGGACACAGTCTTACTGGATTAGGGCCCACTCTACTGACCTCATTTTGACTCAATCACCTCTTTAAAGAACCTGTCTCCAAATAGAATCGCATTATGAGGCACTGGGGGTTAGGACTTAAAACACACACATTCTGGGAGGCACAGTTTAGCCCACAGGAATCACCACCATGGTTATGGAATAATCACACCACTGGGCTGGGCGCGGTGGCTCACGCCTGTAATCCCAGCACTTTGGGAGGCCGAGGCGGATGGATCACCTGAGGTCAGGAGTTCGAGACCAGCCTGGCCAACATGGTGAAACCCCCATCTCTACTAAAAAATATAAAAAATTAGCTGGATGTGGTGGCGGGCGCCTGTAATCCCAGCTACCCCAGAGGCTGAGGCAGAAGAATTGCCTGAACCCGAGAGGCAGAGGTTGCAGTGAGCCGAGGTGGCGCCATTACACTCCAGCCAGGAGACAACAGGGAAACTCCACCTCAAATAATAATAACAACAACAACAACATCACTTATTCTTAAAGTAATGGGAAGATTCAGTGTGTAATAGTCACATTTGGATTCACAGAAGGCCTTTTTCTCAGTAAAAACTCAAATAGCGACATAAACAAGGTCATGCATTGAACAACTCAACTCCAGGGCTACCCAGTGCCCTACAACTGAAGTAACAGCTATAAAGTGGAGACTAACTCAGGATTGAGAGAGACAAGATCTCCCGTCTCTGAGGAGGAAGTCCAGAGGCTTCCAACTGTAAGAAGCAGAGAGTCCCTCATGGCTCAATTTCACTGTGATACTCCTGGGGAAAGTAGGAAAGTTAACAGCACATGCATGAGAGCTGGGTCAGCTTATCTAGACTCTGGTTTCCACTTTTCAATGGAATATTAATTGGATTCATTTAAAATCATGCATGTCTTGCTGAAATATTAAATCATAATCCATGTGATTGTGGTCAGCAATTTCAGTGGGGACCCCTAGTGCAAAACCGAATAGGATGCCTCTCCTTTTCCTTTCTGTTATGTTAAAGGACTGCAACATTATGTTATATATAAAGTTTCAGTGCCACAAAAGAAATAGCACTCAAATATAAAATTTTCTTTTTAATTCTCAGCAAGGCAAGTTACTTCTACAGAAGGGTGCGCCCTTACAGATGGAGCAATGGTGAGCGCACACTTGGACAAGGGAGGGAAGGGGTTCTTATCCCTGACTCACGTGGCCCCTGCTGCTGTGTCGTTCCCCTGTTGGCTAGGGTTAGACCGCACAGGCTAAACTAATTCCAATTGGCTAATTTAAAGAGAGTGACCCGGTGAGTGGTTCGGTGGGAAAAATGGTTATGCAGGGTGGAGAATGAGTCAGGGCAGAGCAGGTAGCAGGTAATCGGAATGAGTCAGGGTGGAGCAGGTGATTGAAATGAGTCAGGGTGGAGCAGGTAATCGAAAAATGTTGCTTTATGAGAAAGTTAAGTTTAGAAGTAGAAGGCAAAGAACTGAACATACTGACATACTGATTCTTTGAAAAGAAATTTAGAACTCATATCTAACAATTAGCTTCATGTAAACCCAAGTGTTAGGCTTGAAACTGTTGTTTGTTCTCGTGCTTCTGAACGTAGCCTTAAAACAAGCAAACAATGCCTGCCCTGCAAAAAAAGTTGTCTTCTTGAAACCCGAATATCTGTCTCCATCAAGGTACAAAGCACCAAGATAAATGAAAGCAATATTCTCTACTGCTTGTCCTCATTAGCCATCATCAGCAGGAGCGGCCCCCTGAGGCCAATCAGAATGGGGGCTGCAGTCTTCCTGGTGAAGGAGAACTCCAGTGCCCTTGCAGGGAAGGAAGAAACGTGCGATGGACTGCTTCCCTGGACTCTGCATTTCTTTGTCTTTCCTGGTAGAGTGTGTACAGCCCTGCTAGTTACTTATTGGAAGTATCGGAGCTCCAACAACTGCCTTGCCACATCCTGCACTGCCCCCTCCCTTTTCCATACAAAACCCAGGGTCATATTCCAACAAAGATTCTTCCCCAGCATCCAGGATGGTGCCTCACTTAAAAAAATACCTTGGAAATTTCTACTGAATAAACTTAATCCTGAATAAATCATGCTTTTGGAAATGTGTTAAAAATACACACGTGGCACTAAAGATCCTTTCTTCACAAAATAAGGAATCCTGCTCCATGTGGACTTGCAGAGCAACACACGGGGCACCTGCTTCGCTGGAACGCAGTTAACTGCTTGGCCTGGGATCCCACTCACAGGCAGCCTTGCTAGAGAAACGTTTTCACAGCTACTAACTCATCAGATACAGGTACTCAACACAGGTTAGATATTCCCAACTAGGAGTGGGGAGTATTATACTGGTGAAATACAGGAAAAGGGATCAAAAGTAAGACTAGAGAGCCCATGAGGCAATGAAGGACTGGGCACCTGGGTTGTCCAGGTGTGATTCTGCAACACTTAAGGAGATCCCTGGGCATGACCAACATTGAAATTACCTAGAAAGGAATTCAGGCCACATCACTTTCCAGCTTTCCATCTATTGTCTTTTTCACCTACTCAATTTATTAATACACACCACAAGGAATGCATATACCAGGCTACGAAATTGTGATATCCCAATGGAATAAAGTGCTTTAAAGAACAAAAATGGAGACAACGACCTGTCTACCTTCCAGCTTCTGTACATTTAATTAATTCCATGTTCAATTCCAGCATGAATAAATTTTCAAAGCTTATGTCTCCTGTTAAATCTATGCTGACCTTGTGTCAAATGCACAAAGGTTTCTGTTAACACACAACTCAAAAAAAAAAAAAAGAGGATCATTCTGGATATAGTAATTAATATTCTTTATTCATGAAAGAGCTTTGTTTAAAATGATATGATTCAATCAGAAAGTCATTTTCTTTCCGAGTTTGCTGGCCTTCTGATATGAATGCAAATCATGGTGACAAAGACAACACAGGGATTGAAAACATACTGCCTACTCCTTATAATTGTTTAATCTTGCTCCAGATATAGCTGGGAGAAATTATTTTGAATATTTTTATTCCAATTTTCTTGAGACCACTTGCCTACGTGAAAATAAAGCAGAGACTAGTGATGGAGACCTTTCTGATGAAATTATCATCAAGCACTGTCATTTGATAAGAGAAAAAAAAAGGATCTTAGAAATCCTGTGGGTATGATTAGAAGCATGTCATCTTTAGAAGTGGCCGGGGGGACCACTGACTACTAATAAACTAGTTCACGTCACTTTAAATGTGTCACCGTCTTGAGATCACTTTATCTCCACTAACAGACACATAGGGACATCTGAGGATGACCTCTGACTTGGTGAACCATTCTTTACTTTTTACTACACTGCGACAGCAATGCACCCATTAAAATATTTCTTGTCATCATTCAATCAGTGGCGTAGAATATTGTGCCCCTTCTGAAGCCATCATTTATTAAAATATCCAATTGGAAAATCTGTTTCCCTTATCTTGCTATTGTAGTTACACAGTTAAGCATCCCCAGCTGTGCAGGAAATACCATGGCAGTGAAGACATTATTGAGCACAGAGGAATCAATTGGTGTTCCTGTCAAAGATGTCACATGCCACAAAGAGGCCAGGCGATAAAACACAAACACCCACGCTACACTAAGCACACAGTTATATATAAAATCCCTTCATGGGCCTTTGTCATCCTGTCCCAATCCAGATTGAAATAAGCAACGAATGAACCTAAAGGACACTGATTAAAATCTCCTCTAGATAACTGTCAGATTCTTCTTCTGCTTCTGTATTTGTACTTTCTAAAATTAACATGGATTGTTTTTGTTTTGTTGAGACGGACTCTCACTCTGTCACCCAGGCTGGAGCACAGTGGTGCAATCTCAGCTCACTGCAATCTCCGCCTCCCGGGTTTAAGTGATTCTCCTGCCTCAGCCTCCCAAGTAGCTGGGATTACAGGCGCCTGCCACCACTCCCGGCTAATTTTGTATTTTTAGTAGAGACGGGGTTTCACCATGTTGGCCAGGATGGTCTTGAACTCCCGACCTCAAATAATCCGCCTGCCTCGGCCATCCAAAGTGTTGTGATTATAGGCGTGAGCCACTGTGCCCAGCCTGGATTGTTTTTAATACATAAGGCCATTTTTAATTTTTAAACTTGCATGTAGGCTGGCTCTTCAACAATTTTGTTTATGCTCTGAGTGAAACATACATTGTTTTTTAAACCTATCTCTTGGTTTACTCAAACTGACCATTTTAAAATCTGTCTTGGATAGCTCCCCCTTTACTACTTAATCCACTCAGGTAGAAGAGATGAGGCTGATGGCCAGGGAGTGTGCACTTTTTTATTTATTATTTTATTTTATGTTATGTTATGTTATGTTATGTTATATTTTATTTTATTTTATTTTATTTTATTTATTTTTGAGATGGAGGCTTCGCTCTTTCGCCCAGGCTGGAATGCAGTGGCGCTATCTCGGCTCACTGCAAGCTCTGCCTCCCGGTTTCATGCCATTCTCCTGCCTCAGCCTCCCGAGTAGCTGGGACCACAGGTGCCCGCCACCACACCAGGCTAATTTTTTTATTTTTAGGAGAGACAGTGTTTCACCGTGATAGCCAGGATGGTCTCGATCTCCTGACCTCGTGATCCGCCCGCCTTGGCCTCCCAAAGTGCTGGGATTACAGGCATGAGCCACTGCGCCCGGCCGGAATGTGCCCTTAAGTAGCAAGGTAAGAGGGTTAGCTGCTGTAGGGTATGATTTCCTCTTTACAATGCAGCAAATGGGCTTTGAGAGGTCAAGTGTCTTGCCCAAGGCCAGACAGCAAAGCCTACCCTCTTATCCTTCCCGGTGCAGTGCTGCCTCCCCACACCTGTTGATGGGTCAAAGAACACCTACTGGTATCGTTCTTGTTTTTCGAGACAGAGTCTGGCTCTGTCCCCCAGGCTAGAGTGTGCAGTGGCACAAACTTGGCTCACTGCAACCTCTACACCCTGCCCCATTCAAGTGATTCTCCTGCCTCAGCCTCCTGAGTAGCTGACTCATTGCAACCTCTGCCCACCCTGCTCCCTGCCCCTGATCAAACGATTCTCCTGCCTCAGCCTCCTGAGTAGCTGGGATTACAGGCACCCGCCACCACAACTGGCTAATTTTTGTGTTTTTAAGGGAGATGGGGTTTCACCATGTTGGCTGGGCTGGTCTTGAACTCCCGACCTCACGTGATCCACCCGCCTGGGCCTCCCAAAGTTCTGGGATTACGGGTGTGAGCCACCGCACCCGGCCTAGGATCACTTATGTTTCTGTTCAACTCTACCCTTGAGTTCTCTTCCCTGATGTTCAGTGATGGCTCTGAAATGATGATGTGGTGTCTCCTGAATCACATGGGCTCTCCACCCCCAGACAGATAGAGGCTGCTCTCTTAACATGGACTCAATGCTGTCACCCACAGACAGGTGACTTGCTTAGGGTGGCTCTTGGAGGCTGATGGGCCTCTAAGGAGTAGGAAGCATGCAGAGGACAGGGGTCTCCAGGGACACAGTGGCCTGGGGGGTAGGGGGGGTCTGAGGGCTGCGTGGCTGAAGGCTGGAAAGTGGTCAGATAACTAAGATGGCCATCTCCTGACAAGCAGGGCCCTGTTGCAGGGCCACAGAGTGACAGGTGGGCTGCTCCCAGAGGGACACAGGACATTCAATCAAGCTTCCAGTTGACCAGTCAGGGAAGTCACTATAAAAGCTGCCTCTGCCACCTGGAAAGCTGATCAGCATGTCTCCTGCCCACTCCAGGTGTCTTTCAAATGAAATTAAGTTTGCCCCCTTCGATATGGTCTAGGGTTTGCAATATCCTGTATTTCTCAATTATAACCATCAAAAAAGTCGAGCGTTCAAAAAACAAAAGGGGTGCCCCAAACCCTAAGAATTTCATACCAAAAGACACTTGCTGTAAAACAGGGCTCCTTCTCCTTCTCATCAAGACAAGCTGTCTTCTGGGTGCCCTGCTGCCTTTATATGCCTGTCCCTCCCCGTGGACCGCTTTATCCTTTCTGGAACAAGATACGAGTATAAATATAAATCAACCTGTCAATTACTATGAAAATCTCTTTAGCTTAGATTCCTAGAAGCACAATTCCTGAGTCAAAGGAAGCCAGCATTTCATACATTCACATTTCCAAACAAGTTTATAAAAAGGTTTCCCTTCCCACCATCATTATTTCGGGGGGCTCAACGTTGCTCACTCCCAGCCCACCCACCAGCACACAGGCTTAATCTGCCAACAGCCACAACATGACTAGAGGGCTGAATCTGTCTACGTCGTCGACATCACTGTTTTTAGTCTTTGCTGATTTGTTCAATAAGAGCGTTTCAGATTAATTGGTTTTTGTCTATTTGCCTATGGGAATCTTCATGTTTTTCCAATCTATTTGTATGGGCTGTTTAAACATCAGGAATAACCATTTGTCTGCAACATTCACTGCAAATATGTTTCCCTTAAGCTTGTCAAAATGAGGACTGGAGTATGTCAAAAACAAAACATGTTAAGAACATTGCTGATGGAGATATCTGGCAGATCGTTTTCTCAGTGGTACTAGAACTTCCTGTTTATCATCATCCATTGAGTCGTTCCCCACCTTGTCCACCAGGTTCCTCGGCCTGTGACCACTGCCTGCAAGGGTGTCTCTTTTTTTTTTTTTTTTTTTTTTTTTTTTTTTTTGAGATGGAGTTTCACTCTGTCACTCTGGCTGGAGCGCACTGGCTGGCACGATCTTGACTCACTGCAACCTCTGCCTCTCGGGTTCAACTGATTGTCCCACCTCAGCCTCCTGAGTAGCTGGGACTACAGGAGCATGCCACCATGCCTGGCTAATTTTTTATATTTTTAAGAGAGACCGGGTTTCACCATGTTGTCCAGGCTAGTCTTGAACTCCTGACCTCAAGTGATCTGTCTGCCTCAGCTTCCCAAAGTGCTGGGATTATAGGCGTGAGCCACCACGCCTGGCCAGGGTCTCTATCTTGGCTGTCTCCTAATGGTGCCACACATGTCAGAGGCTGCTCTGCCAGACCCAGGTCTTCAGAGCACATACTAGCTCTTTTTATAGGACATTTCTTTAATAAGTCTTTCTAGAGTTTTACTTGAAGCTAAGCTCACAGATTTGCAATCTGCAAAAAACACACTTTTTCCTACTCTGAAAATTGGTACGTTTTTGACATTGAGTTTTCTGTGCCCTATTTGCCAAGGTTTTCTTCAGCAGAGCAGGGTAAAGAGCAAGCTAATTTCCAGGAACACTCAGGACCTCAGAAGGCACCACTTGCCACAGCATGAGACTGCAGAGTTTTATGTTTTCTATGTTTACTTCTTTGCCATATCCCCAGTGCCCAGAACTGAAACAGAGCATGCTCAACTAACATATAATGGATGGATGGGTGAGTGGGCAGAGGGAGAAGAGGAGGAAGACATGGATGTCTAGGTGGGTGGAAGGATGGAAGGACGTAAGGACAGATGGATAGATGAATAAACAAATGAATGAACAAACCCAACTCCCAGAACTCACTCTGTGACCCAGGCTGGAGTGCAGTGGCACAATCTCGGCTCATTGCAACCTCCACCTCCCGAGTTCAAGTGATTTTTCCTGTCTCAGCCTCTGGAGTAGCTGGGATTACAAGCGTGCACCACCATGCCCAGCTAATTTTTGTATTTTTAGTAGAGACGGGGTTCTTCATGTTGGGCAGGCTGGTCTCGAACTCCTGACCTCCGGTGATCCACCCACCTTGGCCTCCCAAACTGCTGGGATTTCAGGCGTGAGCCACCATCCCTAGCTGGTTTAATCAATTCTTATTTTAATATTTTCCATCCAAAGATCACCATCTAATCATAAAGATATTTTTCTGATGGCAGAGGATGTTCATCCAGTTTGATTTACTGAATTGTGTTGCCTTGGAATCTCATCAATTAACCTGAGTCAGACATTAGAAAGCCACTACTCTGGTATAAAAGGCACTCCACAGTAAAATAAGGGAAGCCAGCCCATGCTTGCATGGAGGAGCTGAAGTACTTCAATTGGTTTCATTTTCATCAGCCTAGATCTTTAAATTAGTGACATCTGATGCACTGTACATTACAGTATCGTTACCGTGATAGAACCTACAGCGTAGTGCTCCTCAGGGCAAGGTCCCAGACAAGCAGCATCAGCACAGCCACCTGGGAGGCGCTAGAAAAGCACAATCTCGGCCAGCCACTGTGGCTCACATCTGTATTCCTAGCACTCTGGGAGGCTGAGGCAGGAAGGTTGCTTGAGTCCACGAGTCTGAGGCCAGCCTGGGCAACATAGCAAGACCCCATCTCTACAAAATAAGAAAATGTGCTGAGTGTAGAGATGCGCACCTGTAGTCTCAGTTATTCGGAAGGCTGGGGTGGGAGGATCGCTTATGCCCAGGGGGTTGAGGTTGCAGTGAGCTACAGTCATACCACTACACCCCAGCCTGAGCAGTAGAGTGAGAATCTGTCTTTAAATAAAAGTAAAACAATAAATTAAAACTGCATAGTCTCAAGGCCTGCTTGGCCCCACGGAATTGAAATCTCTTGGGCAGGGCCCAGGAATCTGTGTTAATAAGCTTCCAGATGCTTCCTGTGCATAAACATGGCCTCTAGACTCACTCCTGAGCCTAGGAAAGACTGATGTTCCCACTGCCCCACAAAATCCTCCCCCGAGGAGCGTCCCACTCAGTGACTTCACTTACCTCTTCCAAGAGCCCACTGCCCGTCCCAGAGAGCAATGCAACTCAATTCCAATGCAAGAATGTTCTGGGGTTTTAAATAAGCCTTCCAGAAAAGTGTAACTACTCTCATCTGGGGTTCTCACAAGTCACATTCTCAGGCTAAACCCTGTTCCGAGTCCCCCAAGATCCAATTAGGAGGAGCTACCATGGTGGCTTTGGCGGGGGTACAGGGGAGGGGTCCCTGCTTCCGAAGTCCTGCGAACTGAGGTCACAATTACATGACTTTTTTTTTTTTTTGAGACAGTCTCGCTTTGTCACTTAGACTGGAGTGCAGTGGTGCGATCTCGGCGCACTGCAACCTCCGCCTCCCAGGTTCAAGTGATTCTACTGCCTCAGCCTCCCGAGTAGCTGGGGCTACAGGCGCATGCCACCATGCCCAGCTAATGTTTTTTTTTTTTTTTTTTTTTTTTTTTGTAGAGATGGGGTTTCACCATGTTAGCCAGGATGGTCTCAATCTCCTGACCTAGTGATCTGCCTGCCTCGGCTTCCCAAAGTGCTGGGATGACAGGCATGAGCCACCGCGCCCGGCCACATGACTGTCTTAACTGGAAGAGGAAGATGAGGTTTCCAGCTGTGGCTGAATGTACAGTGTGAATAGAAAACCCTCTTTCCACGGGAAGAACAACAGAGAGGGAAAGGTAACCTCACCTTAGTCTCGTGAAACTCTGAATCAAGGTGCTTGAATGTTAGTGAGTGCAGAGCTGTCATGTGCAGACTCTTCATGGTTCCAAGAGTGCATTTCTCCACTGATGAAGGGAGAATGCAACACTGGAGCTAGCCCACCGCAGAGCCTGTTGCAGGGACAGAGTGCACTGCTGCACTTTCACAATCCTAAACAACAGCAGACAAAAGAAAAAGGAAAGAAACCCAAACTGCCCACCCTGAGGGCACAGGAGGTGGAGGGGCAGGTAGCTGGGGATAACCAGAAGGTCTCAGAAGAGAGGGAGAAAGAGATGGAGGCAGCATGGCACACACGGGATGGACACCCCCCAGTCAGTCTCTCCCACAATGTAATTAGCTAAAGCTAAAAACTTTTCAACGCCAGCCTACAGCTGCCTGGCTTGTGTGCAGCTTTCTAAGAATAACTTGGGGGTTGGAAGGTCCTCAAGAAGCCACATGTGCTCATCTCAGTCACCCCAGTACTCCTGAGCTCTCTTTCTGATTGGTTCAAATTTCTCTGAAATGGTGACAATCTGCTCTCACCTGGCCAGAGGGGGGAAATTAGTGGCGGTGTGATGGTCTACAGTAAGGACAAGGAAGAGACCTGGAGGGGATCCCTAGGCTGCCACCAGGGTCTCCACACACTGGTCAGCCAAGAGCCTGGACAGTAAAATCAGGATGAAATTAGACTAGAATGGAAGTTCATTCCAGACCTAAAAACCTATATTGTCAACACTAGGATTTCTTTGTGAGGCTATTAAAATGTGATTCCTCAGCCAGGCATGGTGGCTCATGCCCATAATCTCAGCATTTTGGGAGGGCAAGGGAGGAGGATCATTTGAGTTCAGGAGTTCAAGACCAACCCAGGCAACACTGCAAGAGTCCATCTCTACAAAAAGTATAAAAATTAGCTGGCTGTGGTGGTGTGCGCCTGTAGTCCCAGCTACTCGGGAGGCTGAGGTGAGAGGATCGCTTGAGCCTGGGAGTCTGAGGCTGCAGTGAGCTATGACTGCACCACTGCACTCCGGCCCGGGTGACAGAGCAAGACATTGTCTCAGAAAAGAAAAAAGAAATGTGATTGCTCAACTCTAAAAACCTCTATAAAGCAAGTTCGAAGGCTTCAATCTGATCTGAGACAGTCATGCTACATGGGTACCCTCAAGTAAATACTTTAATGGCAGGGCAGACTGTGATCACATTGTTAAGATGATAATTACAAAACTCAGTTGCATGCAGTTGTGACCAGACTGGAACCTTTAAAAAGCAAACAAAAAGCTGACCTTGTATTACTGTCAACATTCATTGTGAAGACTCTTGACTTTTCTTTTTTTTTTTTTTTTTGAGACGGAGTCTCGGGTGGTGCAGTGGCGCAATCTCGGTTCACTGCAAGCTCCACCTCCCAGGTTCACGCCATTCTCCTGCCTCAGCCTCCCGAGTAGCTGGGACTACAGGCGCCTGCCACCACGCCCAGCTAATTTTTTGTATTTTTTAGTGGAGACGGGGTTTCACCATGTTAGCCAGGATGGTCTCCATCTCCTGACCTCGTGATCCACCCGCCTCGGCCTCTCAAAGTACTGAGATTACAGGCGTGAGCCACCGCACGCGGCAAGACTCTTGACTTTCTGTGATATGGACAAGCTTGCTTGGAGCCCGGCCCCTCCACACTGGCCAGGAGGTTGTACAGAAGGCCTCAGCCTGTGCCTCTCAAGGCCTAAGGGTGGCCCAAGCACCCAAAGGTCAGTTCCAGCAGTGACCTTGAACTTATCTCTAGTTGTTGTTCAGGGGTTAGAAAGATGGAGAAGTCAGAGATCAGGTGGAAAAGTTAGGGGCGGGGGCCCAAGGGAGAGAAGCGACACACCAACACAGGAAAAGCAAGCATGTCATGTTAAAATTCAGCAAGCCTAACCCAGCTAACCAAAATGCCCCCCGTTCCTACATGGAGAGGAGGCTTCACAAGGCTGCAAGCTGACGTCTGGTTTTGGTCAATAAAATTATTCCTGAGGCACATCTTAGAATGTTGCATTTCAAGTCTTGCTAATATGGTTGGTACAGGCAAGAATTTCTAGTTCTTTCAAAAGATTCATTTTGGACCTTGAGAGATTCTATTCATAACTGTTAAATAAAGATGCATTATCTTAAGATGGCTCCTTTTCTGTTTACCAAACAAAACAACCTTTTTTTTTTTTTTTTTGGAGACAGAGTCTAGATCTGTTGCCCAGGCTGGAGTGCAATGGCGCAATCTCACTGCAACCTCCGCCTCCCAGGTTCAAGCGATTCTCCTGCCTCAGCTTCCCGAGGAGCTCAGATTACAGGCACCCACCACCACGCCCAGCTAATTTTTGTATTTTCAGTACAGACTAGATTTCACTGTGTTGGCCAGGCTGGTCTCGAACTTCTGACCTCATGATCTGCCCATCTGGGACTCCTAAAGTGCTGGGATTACAAGTGTGAACCACTGCGCCCGCCCAGAACAACCTTCTTGATGTCAACCAAGAAGCTTGATAGACTTGGTTTCACCACTTCTGGGTTGGGGAAATTGTAGCAATGGAGCAAAGAATTGTTAGATTCTGAAGTCCTTATCTCAAGCTATAATTCTCAGACAAGACCCTCGCTCAAAAATTAGAAAAGCTCTCTAAACTGTTTAAAAAATCACCTTCCTATAAATTCTGATTTAACACAAGAAACAGGTAGCAGAGACTGGCTAGTTGTTTCTGTGCCGGTTTTCTCCTTCCCCTGGACACTCAGGCCGACCTTGTCTCCCCACCTCCCTCTGCAGGAAGGGGTGGTCATCTGACTGCGTGCTGACCCATGGAAGGGGGATGTGCAATGCTGTGTGCCCCTGCCAGGCCTGGGGCGTAAACCCCTGCAATGACCCATTCTCTGAACTCTTCTTCTTTCACGGTGGCCCTGGATGGCTGAGCCCAGTCACTAAAGGAGCGTTACTAAGCAGAAGCATCTCTTTCCAACCTAATGTGAAAGGGCAATAAACATCCCTTTGGTTAGTCATTGAGAATTTGGGATCTATCTGTTGCCATCTAATAATAGTGCCCTAATAAATACAAAGCCGGAGACCTCACTTCTCATGAATTCTATCCCTTAGCTTCCTTTAAATGGGCTAAATCCATCTTCCAGAGCAACTTTGAGATAGGTATGTGAGCCCACCTCTTCATTTTTGTTTTATGTAGAGTTAATTAGTTTTCAACTGTAATTCTACTTTGTTTGTCATATGGCAGAATGAAGGCCTAAGATTAGAACTCTTACACCTTGGCCGGGTGCAGTGGCTCACGCCTATAATCCCAGCACTTTGGGAGGCTGAGGTGGGCAGATCACCTGAGGTCAGGAATTCTAGACCAGCCTGGCCAACATGGTAAAACCCTGTCTCTACTAAAAATACAAAAATTAGCCGGGCATGGTGGCAGGCACCTGTAATCCCAGCTACTCAGCAGGCTGAGGCAGGAGAATCCCTTGAACCTGGGAGGCGGAGGTTGCAGTGAGCCCAGATCGCGCCATTGCACTCCAGTCTGGGTGACAAGAGTAAAACTCTTGTCTCCAAAAAAAAAAAAAAGTCTTACACCTTGATTGCTGTTGCTCCACTATACTTAAATGCAATCTACGCAAGTCATCCTTGAAAGACAGCGAAGCTGACACACCATAATATTGCTATAGCGTCAACACATCAGTAACAGGGGTTCCCAATCCATGGATCATAGTGGACCAATGGACGCAACACTACTGGTCAGAACTCTGGCACCAAGGTGCACTGTGCTGCATATCAGTTCTAACTCTCAAATCCCACGGCCTCTCTTGCCAAGATCCCCTGGTGGCCAAGCGCCTGACTTGGCTTTTCCTCATGCTAGCCCAACAGGGATGTTTGAATGGTTCCCTCCAAGTGCAGAGAAAATGGTTGGTCTCCAGTTCTGGGGATTAAGATTCTGCAGTGAGCTATTTACACCCAAGCAGAGAATGATGATGAGCTACTCTCAGATAAACGGGGGCGATCCTCTGTGGTTTTGGTACAGACTCCATGGAAACGTATGTGTAAGCACCAGCAGGTCCAAGGGCTAAACATCAACAAGAGCTCTCAGGAGTCCCTGCAGACACACACACATCCGTGAAGAGGCCACATGACAGTGAACGGGACAGAGATCGCGCTGGCAACAGGCTCCGCTCCGTTCTTCCCACTCTCACTCAGTATTATCTAATCAGGAAGAAATCTAACTGTTCTTCCAGACTTTCTTCTCCCATCCTCTCATCTCGCCTCCAAGGATTCCATCCAGTACTTCCCAACCACCTGCAGCGGAAGCAGCTCAAATAATCCTATGACATCTACAAGTCTGCAAGGCTGACCTTCCCGGGCTCCCACTGCTCCCTGCTTCCAGAACGTGAAGGCTGCTTTGCAATAGACTGACCCCCCTTTGTGGCCAGGGGAGCCATCTTTCTGCTCATTCCAGGCCTCCCTTACTACAGAGGCACAGAGCAAAGGCAGCACACATCACGGGGGCTCTGTCATCTGCTTCCTTTGAGTAGATAATCAGTTTTCACTCAGAGGAAGATCACAGGACACAGAAGAACCAAATGTGTATGCTGGCTCAGATACCAGGGGCCCTATTAAGAGATAGCATAATGGGAAAGATAAGTAGGTTGTTTTCCCCCCACAAAGTATCTATTTCTAAGCTATGTTTCAACAGTGCGCTGCAGCAGTTTCTGGCTTCCTATTCAAGGGAAGAGAAACAGGGTTTTGCTCAGATGGATATACTAGATACGGTTATCTCACTTGGCCCCTGCAGATGGAGATGGTAAATTCCTAATGACTTTTCCAGGGGAGATGTTTGGGGGCTCACTTGGCAACACTAAACAGTTAGATCTATCCCTTTCTGTCAAACCAAGAGAGTTTTCCAGTTTTTTCCATTTCCCCAGTGCCATTATGATGATCATTGCTCCTTGACAACACATTAAAAGATAATGTGTGGAAAATTTTTAACATCCTTTAAACTTTCTTTCTTTTTTTTTTTTTTTTTTTTTTTTTTTTTGAGACCCAGTCTCTCTCTTGTTGCCCAGGCTGGAGTGCAATGGCACAATCTCGGCTCACTGCAACCTCCGCCTCCCAGGTTCAAGCAATTCTCCTGCCTCAGTCTCCCGAGGAGCTGGGACTACAGGTGCCCGCCACCACACCCAGCTAATTTTTGTATTTTTAGTAGAGACAGAGTTTCACCATGTTGGCCAGGCTGGTCTGGAACTCCTGACCTCGTGATCCACCCGCCTCGGCCTCCCAAAGTGCTGGTATTACACGTGCGAGCCACTGCACCTGGCCATCCTTTAAAATTTCAAAGAATCCATGTATGCACAGCCAGTCCCCCTCTCTGAGCCTCAGTTTCCCCCTCTGCAATAGAAAAAAGGGGGAAGGAGCTGGTCCCTGGAGTCTGTCCCAACTGTGTATTTTCTCCTCCCAAGAAAACCTGCTGCAAAGCCGGGGCTAATCCTACAGTCACCTCCACCGTTCGGTACCTTGCCAGGTCCCCACCACCACCGTGCCTTGTCATGGCAGCACATTACAGACAGGCGGCCCCAAACACCACAGTCTAGGCCACGAGAAATCTGCCAAGACTCAGCAACCTGGGATTTGCCTAATCTTTGCAAAGCAAAATAATTTTATTCCAAGACAATGAGATAACTACTTCTCTATTTTCCCCCCTCCTTCTAAAAGCAAGAATTATGTCTGCACATCTCACATAAGCAGAGTCCTCTATGGCTGCTGTAACTTCCTGAAGCAAAGTAGCCTTGGGAAAGTAGTGGTCAGAGCACCCGCTGATTCATCCCCAAGCTGGTGTGGAGAGCGGAGGCTGGCCTGCCTTCCAGGGTGGGTCTGCCTCTGGACAGCTGGCCCCTGGTGGATGATGGTCCCGACAGCTGTTAGGACAAGTGGAAGGTGGAGAAGACAAGTCCAGGCATGACTGTCCACTGGGAGTGCTGGCAAAACCAAGACCCAAATCCCCATCCAGAGGGCTGCTGCTGTGGTGGGCTCTCATAGACCTACTGGGGACAGTCCCTGCAGATAAATCCCTAAGCCAGGTTTTCCTCAGTCACAAGCTCTCTTCTAATCAATGCCAGTGGGTGCAGCCCCAGGTCCCAGGAGGTTGAGTGCAGAGGGCCCCTCACCTCAAGTTTCTTTGTAAATCCTCCCCCACTGAATGCCCCCAAATGTGAGGAAAGAAATGCGCACTCAGGAAAGAGATCCCATTGCACATGCCACGAGCTAGCAAGACTTGGGAGAGGAATCCCCAGTGCCAGAAGGCCAAGTCGAGCAGGCGCCGCACTCCGTGGATGGGCACCCTCTGGAGGGCCCCTGGGGAAGTAAGGTAAAAACACAGGCATGTGCACCCCTGGGACCTGAGAATCTACTACGAGGCTTTATGCTGAGTAAAGAAGCAAGATGATGTAAGAAGATACCTGAAGAAATGGACAATCAACAGTAAACGGCTTAAATGCTCACAAAATGGGAATGAAGACAGAGGAGCAGTTTCAGAGAATCTTGTGCCACTGTTCAAATGATAACTGTGAAGGCCAAGGAGCAATGCAGAAAATGCTAATAATTCTTAAAAAGCACTGGAATCAGGTCATACCTGTGCACAGAGAAAAGCAAGGCTGGAGAGGACACAGAATACTGAATCAGGTAATGTGTTGAAATTAGATTATGGGAAATCATTCTTCAACCATTATATCCTATAGTGTGGTAACATTATGCCAGTAACATTGTTTGTGAAATAAATAAAATATGTATTTTTAAAAATGTAACAAATAATGCCACTGAACGTATGTGGGGGGGAAAGTAAAGCCTTGGGACAAACACAAGAGAGGCAGGGTTCTGAGTGAGAGGCACAGCCGCGTGGGCGGGAGAGGAGCCCACAGGCACAGACGGGCCACGCAACCCACTCAGCCTCTCCAACTTTTTGACATTTACCAAAGTGCTGCTTGAAGTGCTGCCTTGGAATGCAAAGGGAGGCATCCTACCAAAAAAGAAAAAAAAAAATCGGGTCGGGGAGAGGAGAGGCATTTCTTTTTAAATCACAAATTACCCTAACACAACCAGGACACTTAAAAAAAAAAAAAAAGGAAGGAAGGAAGAGAGGGAGGGAGGGAGGAGAAAGAGAAAGAGAGAGAGAAAGAAAGAATCGCAGTACTGAGGACTTACACATACATCTGCAGTTTTATTTGCCTGAATCATATTTGTAACATTAGAGGGTAATTTTTTTAGTTCAAAACTCCCATTATGCATTGTTTCAGATAAAGTGTAGGTCTGACCAACTCCATTTCTGTAATTGGCTGGTGGGCAGGACATGTGCTTTGCGTGATTTATGGGAAATACTCTCTAATCACAACCTGAGTTAAACTCCCAGAGGAAAAAAGAACTATTGTAGGCAAAGGTATTAGGCCGGTCATTACAAAAAGGCAGAGTTATGAGACATTATAAAAGACATTGTTATCAGACAACTATAAAAGACACTGTTATTAGGCAGGAAAACAGGTGGAGCAGCCAGCACTGCTTGCCAGCCCACCTAAATGAGTGAAAGCAGTCAGGACTCCTGGACTTTTCTCTCCCATCTTTTCCAATCCACCAAATTTCTGACACTTCTTCAAGTGGAAAGAAAAAGAATTTGCCTCTCAGACTCACTCTCAGGCAGGTTTGCAAAGTGAAGTTCAAAGGGTTTGCCTGCCTAGACTATTCTTTAGAATTTGCCCCCACGACATTTTTAATAGAAGACAGGGGAATAAAAATGGTGGTAGGTAACAGACAGCAGACACAGGGGCTAGAGAGGGAGGCCAGCCCCATTCATGGTTTTTCCTGCAGTCATTGCCAATTAGACAGCTTAATTACAGGCTGAAGCTGTTTACCGAAGAGAACAGTCAGTAAACAACCAGGAAATGCAACTCCTAGCTGGTCTCTAATTAAGCTGGGCCTGTCAGTGGGGAAAAATGGTCCTTTGGAGTTTTAGGATTTTCTTGTTCCTAAGTTCTGAGATGGGTAATGCATGCTTCCTTCTTTTTCTGAGATTATCCTTCTGACCTGGGTTGGGCCAGCCTCCCTGGACCCTTGAATTTCTGCTGGAAGGAACAGCACCTTTTCTCCTGGCCTGAGGCCATATAGCCAGTAGAGATCATTTTCTCTTTTAACTGCAGGGTAAAACAAGCCAGAGCTAGGGAGATGGGAGTTCAAATCAAAAAGGGCAAGAAATGTTACAGGGTCTTAAGCTTGCCTGAAACAACTGTCCTTCTCTATCTGGGAATCTAGTGGAAAACAGCAAAGTGAGTTTCTGACTAAGAGCAACTGTCCACCTCACCCTAGAACTGCCAGTATTAGTGATAGACAGTGCTGGTGTGCGCCTGAGAGGGATGAAGTTAAGTGCTTGTAAACAAAGAAATGCAATTAGGTTGCCCTAAAGACTGCTAACCGCTTCCTGAGAGATAACCCAAATCCAGCTATCAAGAAAAACAAAAACTGCTTTTGAGCAACTGTGGGTCTCTAACCCCATCATGGGCAAATTACAACTATAAAGGTGCTGAAGGGGAAACTGTCCATCCCTGCTGACTCTATCAATCCGTGGACCCCTCAAGACGTTGCAAATAATCCAAAAAGAAGTCCGAGAACAGTTTAACCTGCTCTTAAAAGTGTTTTTCAGAGCCTGAGAAGCAAAACTGGATGGTCTAGAATGTGGGATGGCATGTGCTGATTTTGAGAACACGAGATGCAGCGAGGCAAGCGCTGCCACTATCTAAGAGTGAAGGAGAGTCCCTGCGATTCTTCCCCAAACAACAGTGTGCCCAGAACATTTGGGCACCAGAAACACAGCAGGCAGCTTGACCAATAAAGGCCAGAGAGTGCTGAGTGCATGACGGCGACAAGTCCCACCCACCATGAGATCATCCCACGATGTTTCCACATCTGTTCATGAGCCTCATCCTCACCAGCCAACAGTCGCTGAGCAACAGCTCTGGCCAGAGAAACAAATTCCCTTCCCAGCCTCCTCTTCCTCTGCCCACCCTGGAAACACTGGGATTCCCCGGGTTCTATCGCAGGCCGACTTCTCAGGCCACACCGTGGTCCTGGGTGAGCTCACCCACCCACCTCCAGGGCGTGCTTTCCATCTTCCCATAACCTTCAAATGGATGCCCCCAGCTCAGCTCTGAGCTTGAGAACCACTCACCCAACAGCCTACTCAGCTGCTCCCTGGGAACCACAGACTCACAACAGCATGGCCAAAGCTGAACCCATCCCCTCTCTCAACCTGTGGGCCACTATCATCCGTCCAATTCCCCATGCCCCACATCCACCCTCATTCCTGCCTTGACCAAATTCCATCCATCAAGTCCTCTAGAAGCTCCCTCTCAAATGGCTCTAAGACTCTTTTGTCCCCTTCTCTCCACCCCTACTGACACTATTTTAACCAGTGGGTCTCAGCAGGTGATTCTGCCCCCCAGTGGACATTTGATCTGGATTGCCTGAAGACATTTTTGGTCACCGCAACTGGAAGAGATGTTACTGGCATCTAGTAGGTAGAGGCCAGAGATGCTCCTGAACATCCTGACATGCACAGGACAAATAATTATCCGGCACAAAATGTCAATAGTGCTGAGGCTGAAGACCCCTGAGGCCCACGCCAGCCCTCCGCCTGGGTTGTAACCAGCTTCCTGGCTGCTCCCTCCTCCTCCGGCCTCAGCCTGTTCTCCACTGGCAAGCCAGAGCAGCCATGTGACTCCAGGACACCACGCTATTATTCTCTGGAAAGCAAAGACAATGATGGCTCCTAGTTCTCCTACTAATTGGGAACCACCATTCATACTGTGGTATCTTTCTTTCCTGTCTTTTTTCTGGGCATATATACAGTTTTGAGGGTTTTTAAATACAAAACTGAGCTTATATGTGACCTACTATTTTATAACTTGTTTTTAACTTAATAAAGTGAAATAACATTTTCCATCGCCATTGTGATGTTTATTTTAACTAGTCTCTATTCACAATTTGTTCTTGGAGCACACTGCAGTTTTCCCCACGACTTCAGTCAAGGTTTACAGAGCAGCCACCCTGTGCAGTGCACCTCCCAAGACATAGGCCTGGAGTCTCCAGGCTCCCGTTCGAAGAGCTGCAACTGTGAGGGGGCCACACTCACCTCTCACAGCACATCTCAGGGTAATCTGATCGAACCTCCTACCTTATAGCCCAGGATACAGCAGCCCAGGCAGATGGGAGGAGTATACCCAGGCCACGCAGCTCTGCTGTGTGACAGAACCAACTAGAGTCTTGCTCTCCTGACTGTCTACCCACACCTGTTATGGTTAATGTTACGTGTCAGTTTGACTGGGCATTTCACTGGGCCAAGGAACGCCCCAACAGCCGGTAAGATATTATTTGTGGGTGTGTCTATGAGGGTGTTCCTGGAAGAGATAACAGCTCGATCAGTAGAACGAGTAAAGATAATCTGCCTCACCCATGCAGAGGGCATCACCCAATCCACTGAGGACCCAAAGAGGGCAAAAAGGTGGAGGAAGGGCAAACTCACTCTCTCTGTTGGAGCTGGAACATCTGTCTCTTCCTGCACTCGGACATCAGAGCTCCTGGTTCTCGGGCTGAAGGATGCCACCAGTCTTCCCAGTTCTCCAGTGTGCAGACAGATCATGAGGCTTCTGGACCTCCATAATCTCACGAACCAATTCCCCTAACAGACCTCCTCTTCCATATGGTTCTGCTTCTCTGAGAACCCTGAATAATGCAACACTCACTTTCTTCCATACACAATACTTCCTCTTCCTATGTGTAAAGTTCTGAAACATACAGCCCACTGGTCCGAACTTTCCACCTTCACTTTTGTCCTAAAAATAATAATGAAGGCCGAGCACGGTGGCTCATACCTGTAATCCCAGCTACTCAGGAGGCTGAGGCAGGAGGATAGCTTGAGTCCAGGAGTTCAAGACCAACCTGGCAACATAGTGAGACCCTGTCTCTACAAAAAAAAAAAAATAATAATACAATTAGCTAGGCATGGTGGCATGCACCTGTGGTCCTAGTCACTTGCGGGGCTGAGGTGGAAGGATCACTTGAACCCAGGAGGTCGAGGCTGCAGTGAGCTATGACCGCGCCACTGTACTCCAGCCCAGCCTGGGTGACAGAGTAAGGCTCTGTCTTTTAAAAAAAGTCACATTTTGAGGTCCTAGGAGGTGCTGGGCAAACTGTCACTACCACTGTATAAAGCAGGTCTTAGCCTCATTTTACAGACAAAGAAACTGAGACCAGTGGCACCTGCCTCGTACAAGATGCTGAATCCCACAGTGAGTCAGGTGACGTTTTAGTTTCCTGGGGCTGCTCTAACAAAGTGCCACAATCTGAGTGGCTTCAGAAACAGACATACATTGTCTCACAGTTCTGGAGGCCAGAAGTCCAAGATCAAAGCGTCAGCAGGGCGGGTTCCTTTAGGGGCGGTGAGGGAGGGTCTGCTGCGAGCCTCTGTCCTGGCTTCTGGCGGCTGTCTGGTTATCCTTGGCATTCTTTTTGGCTTGTAGAAGCATTACCGCAGCCTTGACATGATGTTCTCCCTCTGTGCATCTGCGTCCAAATTTCCCTTCTCAGAAGGACATCCATCATATTAGATGAGGGGCCCACCCCACTCTGGCATGACCTCATCCTAAATAATTACATCTGCGACGACCTTATTTCCATTCTGAGAGACGATCACATTCATAGGCACCGGGCGTTAGGACTTCAACCCCCAACAAGTGATGACACGACGACTTGGTCAGGCCGACTCACCTCTGGGCCAGCGGAGTCCTGGAACAGTGAGTCTAGCCCAATGTCATGGGATGCTGATGTGGAGGGTCCAGAAGTGAGGGATGCCTAGGGGAGTGGACGCTGGGGGGCCTCTGGAAGGGGAGGCTTCACATCAACACTTGGTTTCTGGATGAGTTCTCTGCCGTCCCTGACAGTGACTGAGGGTTCGAGACCAGATAGCCAACTTCCCTTTCCACAGGCATGAACACATCCACAGCGAAGGGCTTTCTCCTGGGTGTAAATTATTTGACTTCAGTGATCCCACAAACGCTCCCTGAGTGGGTGTGTTCATTTTTTAGTGGTCATCCCAAAAATTGGGGGCAGGGGACACTTTCCTGTCTGTCTGCACACAGCCAGATAAAGTCCCAGAAAGGTGCCCCAAGGATAAAGGCCCTGCACTCGCTGAAGAAAGGAGAAGAAACCAGAACCAAGCTGGATGAAATTCAGGACCAGCCTTTCTCTTTAGAATCTTTTGCTCCATAAGATGAGACTTTATTTATTTATTTATTTATTTATTTATTTATTTATTTACTGAGACAGAGTCTCGCTCTTGTTGCCCAGGCTGGAGTTCACTGGCACGATCTCGGCTCACTGCAACCTCCACCTTCCGGGTTCAAGCTATTCTCCTGCCTCAGCCTCCCAAGTAGCTGGGATTACAGGCATGCACCCCCATGCCCAGCTCATTTTTGTAGTTTTAGTAGAGACGGGGTTTCACCATGTTGGCCAGGCTGGTGTTGAACTCCTGACCTCAAGATCCACCTGCCTCAGCCTCCCAAAGTGCTGGGATTACAGGCATGAGTCACTGTGCCCGGTCTAAGATGAGACTTTTAAAGCACGGAAAGGAAAACATTTGTCCTACTCAGAACGACCTATCAGTAAACCTCCAAAGCCAACAAGTTTTAACCTTCCCGCCTCACGCATCAGACTTCCGGGCAACGTGGCTCCTCATAGCACAGCATCAGTGCAGGAGCGAGGCAGCTTTGGAGAAGGTGCCATGGCTAACTCTGATGCCTCCCTAGAAAACTCATTGATCTAGTAGGTTGCTCTAGGTTTCCAAAAGAAAACCAAAGTGCGTTCTTTCTTCTGTCTTCTTGTTCCTCAGAGACTTACCCCATGGTTTCCAAATCATGTTGAATCATCTCAAACAATGGAACTTTTTGGATGATGAATAAAAGAACGAATTCACCACACCAAAATGACAAATTTTCAGAGTAATTTGTTTTCCTAGGAGGGCTTATTACCAGGCAAGATGAAAGTCAATCCTACGGGCAGAGAAAAGGAGAAACGGAGAAATGTCCTGCTTGTACAAGGAGACTGTGCGCAGCTCACTCACGGGAGTGCTTCATCCTCTGCTAAGTCACCTCGGATAGGCATCCTCATTCCCATTTTCAGATGAGGACACGGAGGCTTGGAAAGGTTTGACCGACCCACTGCTGCCACACACAGGGTCAGGGTAAGGCTGGCATCAACACTCAGGACGCCTGTCTCTAAGTCCAGCTGCTCTTTCTACTTATACCACAGTACCTCTAGACCACCAGGTCCTGAGGCAGGAGATTCCCAACTGGAGAGGAAACATTCACGCTTCAGAGGGAAAACTGGTCCCAGAATTGAGAAAGCGCCACAGGAAATTCCATGCAGATCTGAGGACACACGGTTGGCCACTGTCTACAGCGGGGGGGAGGCTGAGGGTGAGGAGGTGGGGGTGGACCAGGCACTGTCTGCTCCATCCACTCGTACATGGAACAAACACATCCTAACACCAATAACCAGCCAAAGCGTGTGCCGGAACAAAACAGAGCCTCCTTCGTGGTACGTAAACTCAATTCTCTCTGAAAATTAAACATTTTGACATTTTGAAAAGATGGTTTTATTTTGATCAAAATAAAAAAAATTAGTGTTCTCAGTTTCAAACTAAAGCAAGAACACAGAGAAATCTGATGAGGAAAAAGCCACAAAAATGTGGAACACAAGCCTCTCTAAAATGGAATGTGGAGGAAGAACTTACGGCTGTCCCCAGATTCCCTACAAGGCTCAGCTTTCTCTGATGATTCGCAGTGTCTTGGTCACAATTAGTCTGCAATACAGGTGGCTGAACTGATTAGAGATGGGCTTGCTTCACAGCCTGAGAGACTCCATTTTGACACAAAAACTTGGTTTTTTGATGGACAGCTTCTAAGCTCCAGCTCCCACAGCTGCTTGTGACAGGACCGAGTCCCATCTCAGGGATGCCCTTGGGAACCTTCCGAAGTCTCAGCTCTTTGTTGCTTAAACAGTACCATATGCAGGGTGCGTAATTATCACCACAACAGTGCTGCTGCTGTGTTTAAGACTCCAAAGGATGTGTCGATGAAATACACAGGTACACAGAGATACACAGTGAACTGGGTGCTTTCCTCTAGCAATGCACCAATGCAAACTCAAACATGTATTCTGGAATATATGCCATAATTTATCATCAGGACTTGAAGAAATTCAGGAGACAGACAAGATTAATTGTGGGAAAATCAAGTGAGAAGCCCCACAACTTGCCGTAAAGCCTCAGCTACCGCTTCCCCCATGCCTGTGGGCCCCGCCCACCCAAGATCTTTAGAAAATCAGGGCACCAGGCTGCAACTCTGCGGCGGGGGGCTTGCTGGGGGCTGCAACTTTGCAGGGAGGGGCTTGCTGGGGCTCGGAAAACTGATACCCCAAAGTAAAGGCCACCCTCAGATGCAGCCAAGTTTCTCTCTGAGCTTCTCCTGCTCTCCTGATCTCTTGCCCCTCATTCTCCCCTGAGCCACAGGAACTAGAATTCTTCATCCCTAAGACAGGTCATAGAAACCAAAACCCCTTTTCCCCAAAGCTAGCCATAAGCCTAAAAATATTACTGTAACCTTCCCCCATCTTTTTAGGTAAAGCTGTCATAAGGTAATTAAGACCCTCATTCCAGAGGGGTCCCATCCCATACCCGAGAGGAAGAAATGTTACACAGAGGCCAAGAGGAATCTGAACAGACAGGCCTTGTAGGTCTCCCCACTCCATCTATGACAATTCACTCAAGCTCTTTTATTTTTAAGACAGAGTCTTGCTCTTGTCACCCAGGCTGGAGTGCAATGGTGCGATCTTGACTCACTGCAACCTCCTCCTCCTGGGTTCGAGGGATTCTCCTGCTTTAGCCCCCGAGTAGCTGGAATTACAGGAGCCCGCCACCATGCCTGGCTAATTTTTGTATTTTTAGTAGAGATGGGGTTTCACCATGTTGACCAGACTGGTCTTGAACTCCTGACCTCAGGTGATCCACCCACCTTGGCCTCCCAAAGTGCTAGGATTACAGGCATGAGCCACCACGCCCGGCCCGCTCATGCCCTATTTGTCCAATTCCACTTCTACTTGGCTGCCCCCAAGTCATGGAACCAAGGCACACAGACGACCTCCCCTGAATCTTCGGGTCTTCATTCCGTAGGCTCCCGCATGCCGTAAAACCAGGATCAAGTAAATGTATAATGCTTTTCTCTCGTTAACCTGTCTTTTGTTACAGGGATGTGGGCCATGACCCTTATGATGGAGAAGAAAGGGATCACCCCCTTTCTGCCGCTAGAAGTTCAAGCAAAAGCAGAACTCAAAAGCCCACCAAGAGTCGGGGGTTCAGAGGCTGCACCACGGGCTTCTGGTTTGGAAGGAAGCCGAGACCCCTTCCTGCAAGGCTAGGGCTAACCCCACTTTGCAAGAGGTCGTCTTCCTTTTTCTGCCAGCAAAGCACCTGAACCTTCTTCTAAAACAATTATGTAAATCTAAGCAGGGAAATCAAAGCGGCAGAGCATGTTTTATAAACCACACACCAGCACACCACCAGGTGCCACAAGAGGAAAACCGGGCTGATGAACGTGCAATGGCCGGCTATCAAGTCTCTTGATTAAATCAGCGGGCACTGTTTAGCATGGGAAACACGGCCACCTAAATAGCAGGAGAGGTGACAGAACCGTGGTCCCCAGAGGGAGGCCAGGTGGAGCTAGAAAAACTGAAGCAACTGAAGCAATCAAAGTTTCCCAATTGCTGCCAAGACCCCAGCCCGATTTCAGCAAAGAAAGGAAAAATAAACCCTATCAAACTTGGCCATCAGCAGATGGTCACAGATGACCCCAGGTGTGTTTCAGACTTGCCAGCTCACCAAAGCCCATCAGGCATGTAAAGCTCACCAGGCAGTTGCTGACTACTGCAAGCGTAATGGACGTGGCGAAACAGGGGCTCCATGGAGGAACACACAGGCAGAGGGGAGGCTGAGAGGTCCCAGTCCCCCAGAGCTGCCCTCACTACTCTGAGGCACCCCGAGGATAGCCAAAGGCTCTGAAGCTCAGAAACTGACTTCTTTAGCTCCTGGGGACAGCTGGCTGGGCAGTTCATGCGAACACTGCTCTGGTGGTGGGAGATGAAGTCAGAAAACCAGTTCATTAACTCCCCTTAAGTCACTGAACTGCCAGGGCGGCTAAGCTCTGGATCTTGCAGATAACACATTCTCACCTTGTATGCTAATTAGAATCACTTGGCCACATATGTCTGAAAACCCCAAATAACAGTGGCTTATACAAGACAGAAGAATATTTCTCTTACCCCTTAACAAAATCTCCAGGTGGGCTGTCCCTTGAGGCTGGTGACCCCATAAACCCAGACCCCTTCCAATGCCAACATGACCCTTGCTGTCCCAGTCTCAGATGGTGGCCAGCCATCATATATGCATGCAGGTAACAGATGGAAAAAGCAGAAAGGAAGGGTCAAAGGCAGGCCTTCCAGAAGCTGCCACAAAACACCTCCAGTTGCATCTCACGAGAGTGGCCACACCTGACAGCAGGAAGGGCCACCCAGCCGAGGAGACCGTCACAACAGCCGGAACTTAATTAGCACCGCCACCTGCCACAGGCAGCTCCAAGGCTCCGTGTGTCACCTCACAGAATTTTCTGACCATGTGAAGCAGATACTGCTATCCCCCGTGCCATCGAAGGTCACCTAAGCACAGAGAGGTTAACCAACTTGCCCAGAATCACACGGAAAGCAAGCCCAGGGAAGAAGCAAAAAGCAGAAGAGCACCAAGAGGAAATAGGTCCTCTAGGAAGGGTGCCCTCAGTGTCCATCTTCACAAGGAGGGGCCTTGGCAGACTGACCTTTGACCAGCAGGTATAACCAGGACCACGCAGTCCGGTCCTGGGACCCAGAAACCCTCTCTACCAGCAGTGATGGCCCACCCGGAGGCTGTCCTCCTTGGCTCTCCCGCCTCGTGGCCTCTCCTTGGCTAGCTCGCACAGCCTGGCCGGTCATGGTTGGCTAATCCATCGTCCTTCCTTGCGCCATGCTTGACTTTTCAGTTGAACTCTCCTAACTCAATCCTTCCAAGCCTTTAGGGGACACCACCCTTTTGTTACCCTGGGATCTGACAGCATTCCAGTTATCGAGTTTGCCATTTACCCACTGGAAGGAGGCTCTTCAACGTGTTTATTTGCAGAAGTAATGAACCCTGCTAACATCAGCCCTCGTCCTGTGGATTTTCCCTGAGTGTGTAACCCTGGTATCCAGGCATTACCAGTGCATTTGCATATGAAGGAGCTAGACTGTGGGCCCTGTCAAAATATTTTTGACAGGCCAAAGACGCGTTTTACGACACGATTCACAGTTACCAGAGAATGTGTTCACAATATGCTTCCGCAATCTGCCCCTCTCGTGCAGCGGCTCTTTGTTTTGATCGGGCTGCGGCTGGCTGTCACTCGTGTTCATACATTATGCAGACCCGCAACGGGCTGGGCCAGCACACAGACCTCAGTTCAAATCATTAGGAGGAGAAATGACAAACGGAGGCAGCGGGGCTGAGCGTTGCCATGGTGGCAGCCAAGGGAGGGTGGTCCTGTTCCGATGAAGGACAAATGTACCTGCACCTAAGCCAGTGGCGAGCCGAGGGGCACACCAGGGCAGAGAAGGAGCAGGACCAATTAACTTGAGAACTGAGGCACACATCAGCTGCTGCTCCCCAAACTAACCCCCTAATTCTTTCTCAAATACAGCTTACCAGTAACATGGATGTGCAATATTACAACACGACACGGAAAAATGCTAATGTGTTAATAAGGCTACAAACCCTATCTCAAACATCTTTAAAAAAACAATGTACAGGGGCCGGGCATGGTGGCTCACGCCTGTAATCCCAGCACTTTGGGAGGCCGAGGCAGGTGGATCACCTGAGGTCAGGAGTTCGAGACCAGCCTGATCAACATGGTGAAACCCTGTCTCTATTAAAAATACAAAAATTAGCTGGGCTTGGTGGTGCACACCTGTAATCCCAACTACTCGGGAGGTTGAGGCAGAATTGGATGAACCCGGGAAGCAGAGGTTGCAGTGAGCTGAGATAGTGCCATTGCACTCCAGCCTGGGCAACAGAGCAAGACTTTGTCTCAAAAAAAAAAGTACAGAAAGACGTTTAGGAGGAATTCCACTAAAATATTAACAATCGTGTGATAGCTCCCTGGGTTTTCAAAAAACAACTTATTTGTTTCAGTATATGTTTAATTTGGCACAAAATCTTTCTACAGTCCTATATTTTTAAAGTTTCATCTTAATGCATTTCCATCCTGCTGGAAAAAAAAATTAAATGTAATCAGACATTTTGTATACAGTGATGAAGTGGTTAACATCTGCTTTGAAGATGATACTTTAATTAATAAAGCATCATAAAAATCTCTGGAGTAATGTCTGTCATGAAGTCTATTCATGCCACATTATCAATGGTGATTTCTGTTCTTTCTTTTTTTTTTTTTTTTTTTTGAGACAGGGTCTCCCTCAGTCACCCAGGCTGGAGTGCAGTAGTATGATCATGGCTCACTGCAGTCTTGACCTCCTGGCTCAAGGGATCCTCCAGAGGGGCTGGGACTACAAGTACACGCCACCACGTCCAGCTATTTTTTTTTTTTTTTACATTTATTGTAGAGATAGGGTCTTACTATGTTGCCAGGGCTGGTCTTAAACTCTTGGGCTCAAGCAATCCCCCTGCCCTGGCCTTCCAAAGTGCTGGGATTACAGGTATGAGCCACTGCGCCCGGCCCCTCAATGACTTCTTACTCTTAAAATACCTCATGAAGTCCCCATGCTGGACACCTGGCCCCTGTGCTGGACACTCGATACTCACCTGCTGATTTTCATGTCTCTGTCCTGTTCTCCTTTTCTTGGTCTACGGTGTCTGACTAGGGCCAGAGCCTCCCACCACCCACTTTCCTCCTTGCTCCCCAACAAGTCTGATCCTGTTGCATCTCAAGAGATGGGCAGTGGCATCAATCAACAAGTGGATAAAGAAACTGTGGTGTATACACATACACACACACACACACACACACACACACACACACACACACACACACACACAATGACTACTACTCAGCCTTAAGAAGGAATGAATTAACGGCATTTGCAGTGACCTGGATGAGATTGGAGACGATTATTCTGAGTAACTCAGGAATGGAAAACCAAACATTGTTGTTCTCACGGATAGGTGGGAGCTAAGGTATGAGGACACAAAGGCATAAGAATGATACAATGGCTCACACCTATAATCCCAGCACTTTGGGAGGCCAAGGCGGCTGGATCATGAGGTCAGGAGTTTGAGACCAGCCTGGCCAATATGGTGAAACCCCGTCTCTACTAAAAATACAAAAATTAGCCGGATGTGGTGGCAGGCGCCTGTAATCCCAGCTACTCGGGAGGCTAAGGCAGGAGAATTGCTTGAACCCGAGAGGCAGAGGTTGCAGTGAGCCAAGATCACAGCACTGCACTCCAGCCTGGGTAACGGAGTCAAAAAACAAACAAACAAACAAAAAAAGAATGATACATGGACTTCGGGGACTTGGGGGGAAGGATGGGAGGGGAAGCAGGGGATAAAAGACTACAAATAGGGTGCAGTGTACACTGCTTGGGTGATGGGTGCACCAGAATCTCTACAAGTCATCACTAAAGAACTTATTCATGTAACCAAACACCACCTGTTCCCCAATAACCTATGGAAAAAAAAAAGAGGTGGGCAATGGCTCCCCCTTCTTTCCAGAGCATTCAAGGACCCACCAAATCTTGTCTCCATCTTCCCCCAAAGATACCCTGGGCTCTTCCAGAACCGGGCACTTCCACCTGCTTGTTCTTCTGCCTGGAGCTCACTCCCAGGCTTCCCTTCTGCCAAGTACATTCCCAGAAATCCATGCAAAGAACATCCCCTTTCCGGCCCTGCCTGGGTCCCTGGATCCCTGCTAGGTGCCCCTGGACAAGTCCAGTGCTCCTCCATGGGGACAGGAACAAGCACAGGGCAGTGGTCAGGCTCAGTATCCTCTGCCCCAGCAGCTCCTCCACCAAGTGGAGCAGCTCACAGGCAAGTGAGGGACTCTCGCTGAGTTGCCGAGTCTCTGAAAGGACTGTAGGCAGCAATGCACAGGTGCCCAGACAGTGCCTGACGTGTGCTGGGGGCTGGCCCTGCCTTCTCCCCATCCGCTCACCACTGAACTACCCCAGTGCAGTCAATGGTCTCACGGAGGGCTCTAGTGCTCCCCCTTCTCCTCCCACTGGAAGCAGGTCCACCTTGCTTCGGGGGGAAGCCTGCCCAGTAAGTGCATGGGGGGCTCAGACCCTCTCCCTGTGTCAGTCAAGGGCACTGTCCCAATTCAGCCTATGCCCCCCTTCTTTTCCACCAAACGCACCATTTCCTTTCCTAAGTTCATGCTCCTAAGGGAACCTCTTCCTCCCTCCCATTGAGAAGATTATAGGACATATTTTTCTAGTTCTGACCTTGTCCCATCTCTGTTTGGCCAGAACTCAAAAATAACATTCAAAGCACTGAGAAAAATCACCAAGAAAAACCATTTCTCTTTCTCAGCAATAGACATGAGCCCCAACTGTGAATAATCTCAAACAGGAGTATTGCAATGGGAGACTAAGGGCTGAGCCGGGGACGAGGCATTTTACTATTACTATCCTGGGCAATCTGGGGGACACAGACCCCAAAATCAACAGATGCTGCTGCTTCACCTCACACCACAAAATAAGCCCCACGGGCAGTGGACTTGGTACCAAGACGATCAGACGCTGAGGCTGGGGGATCAGCATGCCCAACATAAAGAACTCAAAATAGCCGGGCGCCGTGGCTCACGCCTGTAATCCCAGCACCTTGGGAGGCCAAGGTGGACGGATCACTTGAGATCAGGAGTTCGAGACCAGCAGGGCCAACATGACGAAATCCTGTCTCTACTAAGAATACAAAAATTAGCTGGGTGTGGTGGTGCACACCTGTGATCCCAGCTACTCAGGAGGCCGAGGCAGGAGAATTGCTTAAACTCGGGAGGTAGAGGTTGCAGAATTGCTTAAACCCGGGAGGTGGAGGTTGAAGTGAACCAAGATCGCGCCACTGCACTCCAGCCTGGGCAACAGAGACCCTATCAAAAAAAAAAAAAAAAAAAAAAAACCTCAAAACAGCCTGGGGCCAGCACAGGAAAAGCAGGGGACAATGCCACTCCCCTTTATAAGATAGACTGAATTGTTTTCTTAAAAGGATTCTGCAGTGTAAAATTAAAGAACAAAACAATATCCACGCTATGTCTTACTTTTCAACTTAAGACAGTTGGGTTTCAAACTTACGTTATGTGAACAGTGAAAATAAACCCAACATATCTATGCGCTGGAATGACCCACTATCAGTGGATTTCAAAAACAAAAGTCCTTAATGGGACATATTAGAACAGAGATCAGGCCATGGGCCACAGGCCAAATCCAGCCCACCATGTGTTTTTGTAAATAAAGTTTTATTGAAACACGCCATGCCAATTTGTGTCTGTACCTCTCCCTACAAGAGTTGAGGAGTTGCCAGAGACGGTACCATCCTCAAAACCTAAAATAGTCACCATCCAGCCCATTCTGGAAAGTGCACTAAAACTTTTTACTTCAACTATACTTTCGCCCCTCAGAAAATACATTTTTAGTATTACTCAGGTTACTTCTTCTTAAATAACTGTTCACATAATTAGCGTGTTCATTGAGGAAAAGAGAAATGCATATTTAAGAAAAAATGTAAAGGGAAAAAAATCACTTATAAAATCCACTGTCACTGCCACAAACATTCTGGCGTATGCCTTTCCAGACTGCTATAGACATATGTACTTTTAAAAAACGCCACCATTAACTGTCACACACACTTCCCATGTGCCATGCACTGCACCCAGACCTTACATGGGTCTCCCCATTAATGGAACAAGCAAGCTTATGAGGGAGAGAGTGTCAGCCATATTCAGTTCGTTTTTGGCTTGAGACAGTCTCACTCTGTCGCCCAGGCTGGAGTACAGTGGCGTGATCTTGGCTCACTGCAACCTCTGCCTCTCGGGTTCAAACTATTCTCCTGCCTCAGCCTCCTGCGTAGCTGGGATTACAGGTATGCACCACCATAACCGGCTAATTTTTTTTTTTTTTTGTATTTTTAGTAGAGATGGGGTTTCGTCATGTTGGCCAGGCTGGTCTAGACTGCTGACCTCAAGTGATCCACCTGCCTCGGCCTCCCAAAGTGCTGGGATTACAGGCATGAGCCACCGCACTGGCCTATATTCAGTGATTTCTGTACAGTATGGAGGCAGACACAGATATCACACTTCCCAATTTTTCGCTCATAGGATACAGCAGCAAATGCCTGTGCATTATTTTTACAAATAGCTCTGCTAATATTCTACTTCCCCGAAACACCTTTCTCTGTGTGGAATTTCAAGAATAAATGTGAGAACATTTTTAATACTTGGTCACATGTTGTCACAATGCTTTCCAGATGCAGTAGCAACATCTACACCTCCCAATAGTGTGGGGCAACATCCTAAATTATTTTAATTTTCTCTTAGAAACCTGAGCCATGATTACAATGAAAAGTACTAGCTGAAGCTACAAACAAACCATAATATATTTCAGACGACTATTTTCCCCCAGCTGAATATGTCACAACCAACTCTGTATTTAGAAAAGTTGCACAAAGATCCCTGAAACACACACCTGCCCTCATTTATGTTGTTCCCTATTAACCCCACCTTTTAAGCTGAAGTTTATAAACAACTAAAATCTGGTGACTTGTACTTGCAAAATCAGCAATCTCATTGGGTTGGTAAAAAGACACATGCAAAGCATGGTTTTCTCTTTCAAACCATTGAAACCCACCATCCCTCCAAAGGAAAGGCACCTTTCTCCCAGATTTACAGAACCTCCCCTGACCTCAGCGATGCAGGACTCCCATGAATTTCTTCCAGCTGCCTCAGCTAGGCTTTCAAACTGTCCACATGCGCAGGTCTTCACACCTCCTCCAGGTCACCTTATACTCAATGCTGCTAAAGGCATCACCCCAGAGTTGGAGGCCTGAGTGACCTGTAGGGTGCCCTGAAGCAGTTCAGGCATGTGCAGAGGGGACTGCTGGAGTCAGAGAGTTCAAGGTCATGAAGGAAAGAAGAGCAACACCAAGAGTCTAGAGCAGGCACCTGGAATGATTCCGAGAGCCTTCCTCATCCAATGATCACACCTGCTGTGTTAGTCCATTCTTGCATTACTCTAAAGGAATATCTGAGGCTGGGTAATTAATAAAAGAAGTTTAATTGGCACACGGTTCTGCAGAGTGTATAGAAAGCATGGCATCAGCATCTGTTTTGGTGAGGCCTCAGGAAGCTTCCAATCATGGCAGAAGGTGAAGGAGGAGCAGGACATCACATGGCAAGAGCATGAGTAGAGGGGTCGGGGAGTGGGGAAGGGGCATACTCCTTTAAATTGAATTTGCATGAACTAACTGAGCAAGAACTCGCTCATCACCAAGGGGATGGTGCTGAACCATTCATGAGGGATCTGCCCCCATGATCCAATCACCTCCCACCATGCCCCACTTCCAACACTGGGAATCACATTTCCACAAGAGATTTGAAGGGGACAAACTTCCAAACCCTATCACCTGCAATGATCTGAGGGGCTGTAGCTGAGACCCCTGGCAAAATCAGAATCTCCTCCATCCTCCCCACAAGCACAAACATTACAATGCCAGCACACACGCACATACACTTTACAGCACACAGAACAGAAAAAGCAATATTTAAGTAATGAAATATTTTAAGTTCTAAATGGAATATTCTAGAGCAGGTAAAATGAAAGAACCAGAGCAACATGTAGCAGAACAATTGTTTTTCCATTCCAACCACTGAAGGACATCTTCAGCAGGCGACCACTGTAGGTGCTTCCCCTCATGCACACAGAGCACCATCTACTGTCTAAGGACACAGAAGTAGCGGAGGAAAGAGATCCAGATGGGAAAGACAGACCATCTTCAACAGAACAGAGAAGGGGGCAAGGGGACTTCCACTGTATCTGTAGGTGTTTCTTCCATAAACACCAACACGCACAACATACAGAGAAAGCAAATATGGTAAAATGTCCCATCAGGGAGAAATGACATCCATCATGGTCTTTTCTCCAGTTTTTAGTATTTGAACCATCCTGTACATTCAACGGTTAAGATAAAATGTACATTTAATGGTGAGAAGTTTCCTTTCACAAAGTCTCACTTGCAACGGTGGCTGCAGAGCTGATATTTGGCCACTGGCTCTCCTGGATTCAGCCTGGGAGCAGGTTGGCCTTATTTTGGTGTTCTTCTGTTAGTAGTAAGCAGTGACAGATCCCCTAAGACTGCTTACAAGCACACTCAGAAACACAAATGGATCCAACTTCTCCAGGAGACAGCTCAAATTGGAATCATCTTGAAAATGGAAACAAAATATTCCTCTTGGGCACTACACCTTATTAATTCTGACCTTTTGTTGCATTACAAATACTAAGCATTCCATAAATATTGAAAAAAACTACAATACTCAAAAAAATCTGACATGTAAATTAATGGCTTAGGGAGGCTGAAAGCAGAGATGTATCATTCATTCTGAGAAAATGTCCAAAATGAGGGGAGGAGTGAAGATCCAAAAGTCAAAAAATATATGGCAACTGCATCACAGACCTGCAACACAGCACCCTAACCTACCATGCATCTCCAGGCTGGCTCAATGGCCCACAGCTTCAGCAACTAGCTTGGGAGCACCATGCTGTGAAGGCCCAGCAGCACAGGAACAGGAAGAGAGAAGTGCTCAGCAAGAGGGGCTGAAACAAACACACTCAACCCGATGGCTTGTGTCATCCTGAAACCTTGAAGCAGCAAATCCCAAAGCCACCACGTGCAGACCAAGTGAAGTCTAATAACCCACCATCTCCAAATTAACTAATTTTCCATCCCCAAAACATGGTTTGCCGATATTTACACAACGAGGCAAAGCAAATCTTGATTTGTAGGCTAACGCCCAGATTCATTTGACATGCCCAACATGCTGTAATACGATCAACAAGCAGAGGTCAGCCTGCAGAACACGCATAAATCTCCAAAACAGTCCATCCGTTCAGATGCATTGTTTCTGCAGCTGTATTGAAAGTTCGAAATGAAAGGAAAGGCCCATTGATTTTAAAATATCATAGCTGTAGCAGCCTGGAGAACATCAGGCAATCCACTGGAAAATGAGCTGCATGAGAGACATCTATTCCCCCAAAAAGAATGTCCAAGTTAGCTTCTAACCTCTTCCACTTTTCTCAATCCAGAATAAACTTAAGATTCAGCGACAGTCATTGCTGTTGACTTTGTTCCCCTCCTGCTTCCCTCCAGTGTGCAGGTGGGAATAGCTGGGGACGTGGTTCTCATGCCAATAGGACCGTGAAGCAGTGCTGACTCCAAGAAGAGACTATTAACATCACATCTTACTTTCTACAATGACTGTCCAGTGTGGGTGCAGGAAGCGACATGTGTGCCTGCCCTGAAGTCTCACTGCATAACCCGGCCTGGGAAAATGGCTTAGCGCTAAGAAGAGTCTGGCATACGTGAGCGCGCTACAAACATTAGCTACCGTGGTCCAAGTGATCCACAGCACCTCTGACAGTGTCCACTGAACCATGTGCTTCTGATCCAGCCAGGGCTCCCAATTTCATAGGTCGCATTCTCAAAACCGACGTTGGCTGAAGCGTCAAAGTTGACTTAGTGAGTCCACCAAGAGGAGCAACTGGGCCACCGGGGTTCAGTTAAAGGAAGCACAGCAGCAGCCAACACTGTCCTCCCCAACTGCTGTCTTCAGATCCCAGACACCTGTCTCTGCAGATTGAGTCCAGGCACCAGGTCTAGATCCATTCATCACCCCAGTGAGATGGGCGGACATGCAGGAGAGCAGCGTGGCCGTGAAGAAGCTCAGGGAGCTCTGAAGGATGAGAATGCTACAGACCACTGGCTGTCCAGAGTCACATCTCAGGACCTGCTGACAGTCTATTCCACTGTGAGCATTCTACAAAGCCAGCAGGAGGGCTGGTGTGACTATGACCATTCCTAGGAAGCAAAGACGAAGGCTCCTTTCCCAAAATTGGGAAGAGCATGAAGAACATCAGCTTTTATAAAACCTAAGCTACTTTAGCTAAATCTAATTTTGTACAGAAAAAAAAAAGTTTATTTTGGATGTCTGCATGTAACCTATTCAAAACACAACAAGAAAAGATTAAGGCATTCTAAAGTGTTGAATATGAGCTTAGGTTGGACAGTAGCAAGCTGACCACTAGTTAGAGGAATGCATTTAAAATTCTGCTCCATCAGCTACAACAAAAAGGACAGAGTCTGTAAGAGGCCGTCAGAAACATCCACACAGTGGCCGCTGTTCTGAGGGGGTGGGGGGGTCTGCGCGGCACTCCCTTCCGATCGCACCCCTCCTCCACTCCTACCCAACTGCAGAGAGCCAGAACATCAGCAGCCGCTCCCAGGGGGTTACTGCCATGTGCCCTCTCCTGTTAGACTGGGAATAGCTCCCAAGTGACTGCTGTGCCTCTTCTATCTTCAAATCCTTAGGACATAAACCCAGGGCAGAGAGCAGGCACTCCAAGTTCCAATGCATGAACAATGGGCACAGGGAATGACCAACCCTTGTGTTGGAGAGACCAGAAGGGTCACTGACATCTGGAGTCAGAGGAGCCCCTAAATGCATGATGGGCAGGGGCCATTGGGGTCAGCCCAGCCAGTGCCCAGAGAAGCCGGCTCAGAGACGTGACAGGGCCCTTGACACATTCACATGACAGCCTCGTAGGTATAGGAGGTAAGAATGGTGCCAACGCCAATGGCAGCAGCAGAGGCTCTGGCTCATTCGGCCGTGTCTAAGCTTACTTCACGTAACCCCAACCACTCTGGGAGGTAGAGACTGTTAACATACCCATTTTATTGAAACATATGAAGAAACCAAGGCACAATGAAATTAAATAGATCGGCTGGGCGTGGTGGCTCACACCTGTAATCCTAGCACTTTGGGAGGCCGAGGTGGGCGGATCACCAGAGGTCAGGAGTTCAAGACCACCCTGGCCAACACGGTGAATCCCTATCTGTACTAAAAATACAAAAAATAGCCGGGTGTGGTGGCGGGCGCCTGTAGTCTCAGCTCCTCCGGAGGCCAAGGCAGGAGAATTGCTTGAACCTAGGAGGTGGAGTTTGCAGTGAGCCAAGATTGTGCCATTGTACTCCAGCCTGGGAGACAAGAGCGAGACTGGGTCTCCAAAAAAAGGAAAAAAATTAACTAGATCTCCAAGGCCATCCAGCCACTTCAGCAGCAGAGCCAACACGCAGATGCAGCCCCCTGGCTCCTGAACTCACAACAGACCCCAGCCCCCTCCATCAGAGGTGATGGGGAGTCAAGAACTTGTCACCAATAAAAGCTGTAGGGCTGCAATTCAGGAATTACTTCCCACAACTAGAAGGAAACCAGAGCAAACTCAGGATCACTCATTCACTTGTTCACCTGCATGCCTAACGAACATCGACAAAGGGCCTAGCATTGGCTAGGTCCTGTCTAGGTGCTGGGGAAACGGCAAACACAAGCCCTTATATTCCATCCAGTGGGGAGAGAGAGACACCAGACATGTCAGGGAGCTGGGGTTTATGGGGAAATAGGAAGCAGGTGAGGAGGTGAGGAGGAGGGGCTGTGGCTGGGAGGAAGGCCAGGTGCCACGGAGGGTCCTCAATGACACTGGAGGTGAGGCTGAAGGATGCGAGGGCCAAGCTGCAAGGGCCCCCAGGAAGGTTTTCCAAAAAGAGGAAGCAGTGCAGACATGTAAGGGTCAGGAGCATGCATTTGGTTGAAGGATCAGCAGAGCCATGAGCAAGGGGAGAGTGGCAGAAGGCGAGGGCCAGGAGGAGGTTTTGGCAGAGGGCATCACACTCTGACCCGGCTTCTCAGGGATGCCCCTGGCTGCTGGGCAAGTGGACTGTCCAGGAGAGTAGCAGCATCGGCTTGAAGAGGTGAGCAGTAATCCGCCAAGCAACGCTGCTGCCCGGGACCAGGGTGCTAATGGCTGAGGTGGCTCAGGAAGCCACTGCATCCTGGATATACTTTGAAGGCACAGCCCAGCATTTGCTGATTTCTGGAAAGTAGTTCTATTGTCAGCATCCATGCCCGGCAGGAGAAGAATGACAAGTCTCCAGCATGCGAGGGCTTCAGCTGTGACAAAGAAGGTCCCTGGGGGCCGAGGGCAGGTGCTGCAGAGGCCCAGGAAGGCAGCACCACACCTGGAGGCACAGGCAGCTACAGAGACAGTAACATGTGTCTCCTTGGGACAGCCATGCCACCAAGAACAACTGGCCCGGGATCGGGGCGCCAGCAGTGGCCAAGGCTCAGGAAAACCAAGCCCAGCATATAGTCTGGCTGCGCACTCTGGACAAACCTTGCAGAAAAAAGTAGAACAGGGCCCTTGTTGCAATGCAGAATTGCCCAGACACCTGTGCTATCAGAGGAGGTAGACACTTGAGCTGCTGGGACAATGTGCAGCAATTCGGGCGCCGAAGCTGGTGTTGCTGATCTCCAGCAGCTGGCCGCCTCTTGGCAATCTTGTCCCCTTCTAGTGCAGCCAGCCCAGGATGCTCATGAAATTAAAGGGGTGGACATGGGGAAAAGAGCTGCATCTGCAGGGAGCCTCTTCTCTCCTCCAGGCCAGAGACTGCACTCTAGATCCTAGGCTCCAGCAGCCCCAGGATTGACCAGCTCCCCCACTTCAGCCCCAGGTTTGAATCCCAGCTCCCCCACTTCAGCCCCAGGATTGAATCCCAGCTCCCCTACTTCAGCCCCAGGTTTGAATCCCAGCTCCCCCACTTCAGCCCCAGGATTGAATCCCAGCTCCCCTACTTCAGCCCCAGGATTGAATCCCAGCTCCCCCACTTCAGCCCCAGGATTGAATCCCAGCTCCCCCACTTCAGCCCCAGGTTTGAATCCCAGCTCCCCCACTTCATGATGTGAACTCGGGCAAATCATTCAACTTCTCTGAGTGTTGGTTTCCTTCATGGTAAAGTGGGGATCGCCCTGTCCTTACTGCGTGAGTTCCCTATTACCACTGTAACAAACCACAAACTTGGTGGCTTGCTTGACACAACACACATTTCTTACCTTACATCCAAGGTCTAAAATCGACATGGGCTAAAATCAAGGTGACTTAGGGCTGTGATCCTGGAGGTTCTGGGGTAGAGTCCATTTCCTTGCCTTTTCCGGCTCCTAGCGCTCTCCCCCATTCCTTGGCTCATGGCTCCATCACTCCAGCCTCTGCTTTCATATTCACATCTCCTTCTGTGACTCTGACCCAAAAGATCATTCTTACTGCCTCCTTTTATAGAGACCCCTGTGATTATGACAGATCCACCCAGATAGCCCAGAATAATCTCCCAACGCAAGGTCCTTAACTTAATTTCTTTTGCCAACAGAAGGTCACACATTCACAGGTTTCAGGGATTAGGACTTGGGACATCTTTGGGGGCCGTTATTACGTCTACCACATCTACCCACCCAGGTTTTGATTTCTGCTTTTGTTTTGAGGGTTAAATAAGATTATACATACCACATAACAAGAGCTCAGTAATAATAATTATTAACAGCCACTATTAAAATTTTAAGTCTTGTAATTTTAAGCTTTTATGGTACATTATTTAAATATAAGCTTAAAAATGGACCTTAATAAAAAGATAAAATAACTAAAGCCTTTTCATCTATAAATCCTTAACTTGAAGCTTTATGCCTGAATTGAGACTGAAAATTTTTGCACTAATGTGAAATGGGTCTACCAGAAAGTGAAGGTTAGAAAAAAACTAAGAAAGACCAGACCTGCAGGAGGTCAATTAAACTGGACAGATAGGGGCTTCAACTTGCAAGATAGACCAGGTGCCCCATGACAACAGAACCTAGTCACATTCACTCTGTAGAGTAGGATGAAGGCCAAGGAAAACCAACTGCTCCCGAAAAATCACCTACAAAAACCTACTGGAATTTTCCAGCTCTTGTGGTTTAGTAATGATAACACAGAAATTGCTAGCATCCCATGTATTTGGAGCTCTGAGTCAAAATAAACAAAGAAATCACAGTAACTCATGGATATCATGGGTTACACATCATCAACGCAGTAACAGTAAAAGGGAGCAAAAACTGCACGCGCCCAAGACCGAGCACATCCCACCCTCCAAAATGTGTGCGATCACATACAGACGCAGATCTTCCAAGTCTGAGCTTCTCACAGTTACACAAGTTGCATCCTCTTGGTTGATGCTCCACGAGATGTGAGCTACTCAACTCAGTTCAGTTAACTCGCCGGCCCCTACAAACCCACAGCACCACAAGGGAGACTCAGGTCCCCCAACTGCCATCTTAGTATGTATTTAAATTCAAAAGTGCATGCATGCATATCCCAAAACTATGCACTGCATCCACTTACTTAATAAAAGAAATCTGAATTTGGAGTGTTTTTAAAAACAAAAAACAAATACTCATGTATGCAAGACATGTTTCTATCCAAACTATTAGCCAGGCCGCAGAAACAGAGATTATAACTCAAAAACAAATGTTCTTTTGTTTGTTTGAGATGGAATCTCAGTCTGTCGCCAAGGCTGGAGTGCAGTGGCGGGATCTCGGCTCACTGCAACCTCCGCCTCCCAGGTTCAAGCGATTCTCCTGCCTCGGCCTCCTGAGTAGCTGGGATTACAGGTGCCCACCAACATACTTGGCTAATTTTTGTATTTTTAGTAGAGACAGAGTTTCACCATGTTGGCCAGGCTAGTCTGGAACTCCTGACCTCAGGTGATCCACCCACCTTGGCCTCCCAAAGTGCTCGGATTACAGGTGTGAGCCACCGCACCTGGCCAAAAACAAATGTTCTTTACAACAACAAAATTAACAGCAAGCACACTGCTGATTTGGGGCCTCATGATTTCAACCACTATTCTAATTTCCTCTTAAAAATCAAAAACGTTTTCAAGAATTGTTTGTAGAAAAAGTAACTTAGCTGTGCTTTGAACATTAACAAAATCTAATTCTCTGGACATTTTAACCTAGTTTTTGAAAGTTATTATTTTAACTGCTGTTCCTCATCTATTCACACATGTTTGTTTTGTGTTTTAAGAACATTTTTCCCCCTACATTACGATTAATTCTTAAAATTAAAGTCACAATTCCCTGGTAAAGCCACTTCAGCATGCCAAAAGTGAAAGCAAATGTTTCCCTTCTTTACAGCAAATTCATAAAATGTGAGCCCAGCCCAATCCCTAGAGAGCTGATGTGACTTTGACTTTTCAACTCTTTCCAAGCTTAAAAAAAAAAAATAAAAAAAATTTAAAGATGCACGTTTGTTCATTTTACAAGCATCCCTAGGGAAGTTAATAATGGCATTTAAAAATTACAAGATACACCCCTCCTCACTTCAGCGAAGCAACAAAAAAGTACGTTTCCTAAGTGTTAGGCTACAAAATGATTTTTAAAATCATACGTTCAGAATTTTGTTTTCACTATTTGTTTTTAAATCTGTTCAGGACAGAAACATTTATTAAGGGTCTACTCTGTGCTAGGCACCAAGCGTTTTCAAGTTGAACACAACTGGGCAGAATGAAACCACAGGTGGGGCAGGAAGCCAGAAACCTATGAAGTTTTCTATACCCACAAATGTGTTTTATTTAACGAGTTTAATCAATCTAGGGTTAAAAGAAGATAGGCAGAAATGAAATTGCCAGGTCAGAGGTCAAATACATTGTTAGGGTTTTTATTACTGTTTGACAAATTTCTCTCCAGATGGCTATCTCAATTTACATTTTTCCCACTAAAATGTAAAAGGGGAACTATTTTCCATCACCTTCACCAACACTGGGCCTTTGTTTTTAACACTGAACTTAACCAGATGAAAAGAAAGAGGTCACCTTTTTTTTTTTTTTGAGATGGAGTCTCACTCTGTCACCAGGCTGGAGTAGAGTGGCGCACTCTTGGCTCACTGCAACCTCCGCCTCCTGGGTTCAAGTGATTCTCCTGCCTCAGCCTCCCCAGTAGCTGGGACTACAGGTGCACGTCACCACACCCAGCTAATTTCTGTATTTTTAGTAGAGATAGGGTTTCACCATGTTGGCCAGGATGGTCTTGATCTCTTCACCTTGTGATATGCCTGCCTCTACCTCCCAAAGTGCTAGGATTACAGGCTTGAGCCACTGCATCCGGCCCAGAAGTCACCTGTCATTTTAATTGTTACTCTTTAATCAACAAAGCCAAATATATTTATATCTTAATTGCTCCTTTGTTTCTTCTTTTATGAATTTTGTGTCCATTTCCTTTAGTTAGGAAATATTTTTCTTATTGTTTTATAAGAACTCTTTACATATAGAAGACAATGCTCTATATGTAATACATATTTTTGTTGGTCTTTTAATTTTGCTACAAGTGTTTGTGCTGTTCAGAAGGTGTTCTGTTGTTCAGATGCTGTCAAAGTAATCCCCTTTCATTTATTTTCTGCCCTTGAAGTTCATCCCCAAGAATATAGGAACACTCAAAAATTCATTTTTTGAGGAAAGGATTCTGTCTTTGGAATGGCTATGAGCATAAAGAGAAAAAACAATAATTTGACCTAGTTTCACAATAACCCAGCTCCCCAAGAGGCAAAATGCATAGCTATCCTGTGAAGTCAGGGGAGCAGAGGAAAGCTGACCCCACTTCCTTAAAATACTTTCTCTTGGCATTAAAAAATAGGTTGCAATGGCTCAGAGATGAGAATCATGCCAAATGTGCATTTGATCCATGCTTACGGATAAATTTAGGCAAGATTTAATAAATTCTCTGCCTACAAACAGTAGAGAGATAATGCTTTGAAAAAAAATAGCTCAGGCTGTGAGTAAAGAATGGGATCATTCCAACTTTTGGTCATATGAGATCACTCCAATTGTAACAATACTGGCAAGCTCCTCAGTGGGACCCATTAGAAGGCAGTGCGAGGCAGAGCAGGGAGGATGGATGCTGTAGTCACATGCCCTTTGAAGTCTGGTTCTGACTCCCAACCATGTGACCCTGGACAACCCAACCGAGGGTGGGGACGTCCCTGGACCGTGCAAGCTGGCTGGCAGTGGAAGTGACAACACCCACCTCTGTGGGTTGTCATAGCAATCAAATGAAGGAGCAGAGGCTGCTCATTCCCTGCGCGGAGGAGTCAGGCGTACTTGCACTCTTCATGGAAGGGGCTGTAATCATTTGCATTTTATTAGAAATTTTAAAAAACCACACCGCCAGGAAAACCACTCACCTTGAACAGCCTCCTTTATTTGAGCGCACCACACACAGGCAGAAGTTTACTTGGACTTTGACTATTTTCAAGTCGGCCCCAGTGAACCAAATTTGTTGTAAAATATCACATACGGCATTGGGCCCTGAGTAGAGAAAACATCTCAGCTAAACCATTAATTTAATAGCCACAGAATCAAACTGATTCCCTAGGAGGCCAAGAAAACAGGAAAAGACAGCACCCTCTTGGTACCCAACGCTGTGTTCTATTTCCCACAAAAGAATTCACGGTGAATACTGAGTTAGCCAGTCTCGTATCTTCCCTAAGCGTGTGGAAAAAGGGCCCTGCCCCTGAGCCTGGCACACCCCAAACCACAAGCCAATCTGCAACGGGGGTAGAGAGCCAACCCACACTCCTGCAGGCCTGGGTGCTCCAGATGGAAGTGAAACTGCTAACAGATTTTACACCAGACAGCATTCAATGACTTTCCACTGCTCACGGGCTAAAGAGCAAAGCCCCCACCCCTCGCCATGTTTCTCCTTGCCTTTTCTCTCCCTTGAGCTACAACTGCCTTCTTCCCTCCCCAAATACATCCAGCCCATCACAGGCCGTTTGCTGCTGCTCCTCTGGGATGACACACACTCCTATGCCATCTGAGACCTGAAGCAAGAGCAGCGGCTCCCTAGAAAACTCCCACTCGCCAGCAGCCCTTTCCGGATCCCACTTTTGTTATACACGCTCCAGCACCAGCCACCTCCCCGCTTTAAGTGACGCTGGCCACACTGCTAACTGTATGATTATGGGGTGACTCTGGCCAATGTCACCATCCCTTCTAGACTCCAAGGACCCCCTGAGGCCAAAGACCTTGCCTGTTTCTGCTCACCAGCACCAGTAGGGTATCTAGCACATTCGCAGATGTACAATCAATATTTGGTGAATCAATATATGAACAGATACCACGCAAGAAAACTTAGTGCTTTTGAGTATTTGGCCAAAACACACAAAAGGGGGAAAAAAAAAAAACCATACCAAAGATTCTGAATTCTGACTCATGCACAATATTCCCATTAACAAAGGGTTCTTGCAGACTACCACTAGCCAGGTGTCACCTAAGTCCCCTACACAGCAGATGGACAAGGCCACCCTGCGGGCCACACGGCGCCACTATATGCTAATTCACTGTTAATTACAGCCTCTCCTCGAACTGCAGGAGGAGCCTCATTCTACAGGGAGGCCCGCGCCAATTAGGCACATTCACAAAGGAATATTTTAAAGTAATTACCAGCTTATATTCATCTTTCTTTTAATTTATCAGTAGATCACCTGGAATAATAGCAATAAAGTGGTTCTAGTTATCTGTGATTTATTTTCCTCTTTTATTCTCTTCCTTACCATTTCTTGTAGTTTTTTCAGGGAGAATGGGGAGATAAAGGGAGAGAGGCAAGAAGGCGTTATTATTTACCTAAAAACACTTTCCCTGGCCTCTATCTCCTTAAGGAGAATGAAGAGTTCTGTTGGTTTCTGAATCCACAGTTTCTGCTCAAAAAGATATAAGTCTTCTCATTGAAGGAAGGAAAAAGGTTTGGGTAACAGCTCTCAAAATATGCATTAAGTGTAAACAACTTTGGATTTTAAGATAGAACCCATTTGCTTATCAAATAAGCTGCCAAATTAAAAGGTGCTTACATCCCCAGGGCTGCTTGCCTCAAAAATCTCAGGTAAATAATATTAAATGTGGCCGGGTGCAGTGGCACAGGCCTGTAATCCCAGCACTTTTGGAAGCCGAGGCAGGCAGATGACTTGAGGCCAGGAGTTCAAGACCAGCCTGGCCAAAATGGCGAAATCCAGTCTCTACTAAAAATACAAAAATTAGCTGGGCATGGTGGTGCCTGCCTGTAATCCCAGCTACTCAGGAGGCAGAGGTTACACTGAGCCGAGATCGTACCACTGCACTCTATCCAGCCTGGGCGACAGCGTGAGCTCCATCTCAAAAAAAAAAAAAAAACAAAACTGAAATGCAAAATTCTCTTGTTACAATCTATACGTATTTGCTAACCTCACCTGGGAAAGAGAGGTTAACTCCAAATTAGAAGGACATCCTTAGGCATCATCAGAGATGCCTCACATTGGAGAGATAAAAGGCCACAAACATAACCTGGGCGGAGTCTCACTGGAAGCAGAAGCCAGAATCCAGAGACGTGGGGTCATTCCCTCCACAAGATCACAACATCGGCTGGCAGGCCAACCTGGAAGCAGGTGCCAGGTATGCGTCCGGCATGCAAGCCCAGGTGGCACTCAGCACACCTGGCCGGCCACCCCATGCAAAAGGACCACTGTGCCCAAGCAACCCTGGATGCGCTGGTCAGGATTTCCCAAGTTTGGTACACGTGAACCACAACTGTTCTTAACATGAGTTTCATGCATTTGCAGGTTCTAAGGAGTCAGGGAGACCCCCACACAGTCACGTTCTTTTCCCTTAGCACCTGAATACAATCAGCTATTAAGTAAGTATTTGTCAGTTTGAATAAGTACAAAGGCAAAGACCAATTCATAGATCATCTGGAAGGGCCCAGCACTCTAGGCGCTGCCCCTGAGATCTCATTACCAGGGCCAAGGGCTCCAGCTGACATAAATTATTTACTGCTGTCCTTGCCCTCTGATTATGCACACACATTAAATGCAACCAAGGGGCATCTGAGCCCCACTTTAACCAGGCACCGCCTCCACGCCACAGGAGGGGTGCAATCAATTCACAAGCACCCCTGAGATGAAAGGTGCTGGTGTAAAATCTGTCCACTCTCTCTTCCAGCACTGCGAACCCGCCCAGCGTACACCCAAGCAGCAGGTTACCTGGGCTTCACTGAGAAAAGAAAACGTGTGAAACAATAAGCCATCTGGAAAACAAAGTCCTGAAATTGCACTCAGATTACGATTACAAGTAGAAAATAAAGCATGTCTGATTGTTCTCCAGTGAGACTCTAGGCTGCGGACAGGAATGATTTTACATAATTATTAACATCAGTATTGATGGAGGACTGCCTAGCAGGGAGGCCGCTGGGCCGGGTTTGTGACCGCCACCTAGGATGTGGTCTCAACCCTTAAACCGTGCCCACAAGCATGCCAAACAGCAATGCTCCCAGTCACAGAACGGTGACCATATGTTCCACAACTGGAACAGGGAGGGAAGGATTTCTTTGTCTCCTATGTAAATCTAATTTATATGAAAACTACAAAGGTAGGAAATGAAAATCATTAATATCATTGATGAATGCTCTTTAAAGAAATGAAGACAGTTATACCAAATCTAGATTTCAACAGAAACTCAAGGTTGTTTTTTCTCTATACAATGTTCCTCACAACTGGTTTACTATCCTGCTTATCAATCTAAAGATCCAAGCCTCCCTGGGCTCCCTGTTCAGAGAACACATGTGGAGAGGGATTCTCTAATTACACAGCGTCTGTAATCTGCAGGCCTGGGCACCACAGGGAAGTACACAGGCATCATAAATCACCACCTCAAAACAGGAATCAGAACCACCCACCCCATGTTATCACAGATGTGTGCAACTGCAGACAAACCACTCCTCCAAAAATCAGCTCCTTCACAATAACTATTCATTATGAAAATATGAAGGCTGCATTGAGGATGGCCATGACCTTGAATATTAACATCATTTTCTATTATATTCGTTGCAGCATCCTGACCTCAAGGGGCTTGCAGTCTGAAAGGGAGACTCTTCATCTCCAACGAAAGTGTTGTGTGGGCCACAAGGGAGTCAAACCAAGACCACCTTTGCAGCTGCCTGGGAAGGTGCTCTGGCAAGACAGCATGAAGTGGCAGTCCCTACACTAGGCAGGGGAACATTTCAACTGGCAAAATGAAGTGAGAGGTGGAGGATCCAGTAGGGCAGAGTCCTCCCCTCGGGGCAGTGGAAGGTCAACACACTAGCCCATCCAGGGAGCTGACTCGGCTATGGGGTTGCAGGCAGGCGGCTGGCAGGCTTCCGGAGGTCATGGGCACAGTTTCAATGAGGAAGACGGTGCCTTAGGAAGAAAGCCAAGCTAACGTCAGTCAACCATCCTACTGGGCCGCTCTTCAGAGGGGCTGAAAAGGATTACAGGCAGAGGACAGGTGAAACGAAACTGGGCTACAGGACAAGAATGAGAAGGCTGTGGGCAGGGGGTGGTGTCAAGGCAGGAAGTAGGACCTGCAAGAGTTTTCTGAACCAGAGCACACCTGTGGCCCAGTCTTAGCGCACCTCCTCCCCAGCCCAGGGTTTCCACTCCAGGGCAGGGAGCTCACGGGAGCACAGTGCGTTTGAGGATGGCGGGTCTGCAATGTGGATGTGTGCGGAAGCGCTGTGCTATGGGCTGTATTGAGCTCTCCTGAAATTTGTATTTAAAGCTCAACCCCCAATGCGATGGTATCTGAGGTGGGATCTTTGGAAGGTAATTAGGGTTGGACAAGGTCATAAGGATGGGGCCCTCATGATGGAATTAGCACCCTTAGAAAAAGAGACAGCAGAGAGCTGGCATGCTCTGCACCACGTGAGGATAGCAAGAAGGCAGACATCTAGAAGTCAGGACAAGAGTCTCTCCAGAGTCCAACCATGCCAGCACCCTGATCTTGGACTTCCAGCCTCTAGAACTGTGAGAAAATGCATTTCTGTGGTTTAAGGCACCCAGCGTCTGGTATTTTGTTATGGCAGCCCAAGCGGACAAGTGCACGGTGGACTCCAAGATGACGAGGTATCATAAGGATACAGCAGATCCTGTCTGGCCAACGAAGAAGCTAGAGCCATGTTCGGTGCAGACTCAAGCAGGCACACAGGATGACTGTGGCTCTATCGGGTAGCAGTCAACACAGATCAGAAGCCAGGAGCTGGGCTGGAGCTTACTCCAATGGTGGAGACAAGCCTGTCACCATATCTGTGACTAGGAGCTAAAAGTGCTGGCCCTGCACAGAGTTGGGGCAAATGCAGGAAAAGCATTGCTGCTGGCAACTTTACCATTATCCTACCCTAGCTAAATGGAGCTGTTGCCCAGTGCCAAACCGTCCCTGAGGAAGGAAACACCAGGTATTCTCAGGTGGTTGGCCACTCACTCCCTGCACCCAGCCCAGTGACTTCACCTCATGCACCTGGCGAGCAAGACTCCATTTACCAACCTCTGAAACACGAAGCCAAGAGTTGCGCCTTCAATCCTGCCAAGCGCCAAATATGCCCACAGCCTCCCACTACACTTTCTGGCCTGTGAGTTGGGAGTGAAAGTGGCCACATAACTTCTGAGCCACAGCATACAACAGCAAACAGAAGACCTCCAGAGCTCCTGTTCCTCCGGTACAGAACCAGGGACGTTTACCATAAGGATGCTCCCTCAGCACGGGACCCCAGAGCACTGAGACAGGCAGGAGCCCCTCTGCCATCCTCAGCGCGCATGCAGGTCCGGGGTCAAAGTGAGGAGCAGGCCTTCTCTACTGAAAACTCAAGACATGTAGGCTGCCTATAACCACAGCACGCCCAGCCTGCCTTCCCCACTCCCTCTCGCACTTCTTCCACAGCCCAGCCCCCAGTTCTTACCTCTTGGAATCTCGAATGATCGTGCCCAGCAGCCCTTGCTATTTTCTCCACCTGTTGTGGAGGCTTCCCGCTCATTCTGAAGCTCTCCCTGCCCCATGTCCCCATGTCCTCTGGCCATTTTAACAGGGACTTCTCCTGCTAGGGACTCAATTTCATTGTGTTCTCTTCCAAGCACCAGTGGCCACATCTGCTTTTCCTTATGTTCCCACAGCTTGTTTACGGTCATCATCAGTGATCAAGAAAAAGTGCTCAGAAAGCTGCCTCACTAGGACCTGGTCACAAACCCTCCCCACCATCAAGAAAGAAAACTGCCAAAAATAAGGCAAGAAGGAAACAAATTCATCAGCCCCCTGTGATAAGCATCCTTCCCAATGACAAAGCTCTGTGCAAAAATCATTTCTATGCAGAACTTACCACTGCCTCCTTCCTCCCTCCTTAGCTTCTTAAATTTGCTCTTCTGTAATTATTATTACTACTTCTACTACTATTATTCCTAGTACTATCATTTGCATAGTTGGGGGTATTAGGGATGGGGGGGAAGTCAAGAACAAGCTGAAAGGTTTTACGGTCAAAAGTGGGTCATGCCAGCTCTCAAACCTTCGTACAATCTATTCGAATTTCACCCTTGTCCCCTGATCTCCCAGGCCTCTGACAGACTGACCTCAAGACCTGCCATCAGATATATTCCATGGAAAATTGCTCCTCTCTCCCCTACTAAAAAAGGAAGGAGAAGAACAATTTTTTGGTTGGAGGCCAAGTAGCAGCAGGGCGTCCGGAATCCAGAGACCTCGTTCCTCTCTTGGCTCCACTGTTTTCTGGGCCTGGGACCCTGGATGCGTCCCCCAGACACTCTGGGCATCATCGGCTCCCCAGTGTCCTTCCATCCGTCCAGAGGGCAGGGTTGGTCTCACTGGGAGAGGCAGAGGGTCCCAGCCCAACGCTGGGCCAGGGAGGCTGCCAACATGGGACCCAGGGCCTGACCACCCCCTTCCCTGAGCATCTCCAGGTCTCCATGGCCTGGGGCGGCTCCACCTCCTGAAGGCCCCATCCCACAGAATCCCAGCCAAGCCCTCTCAGCTAGTCTCCAATCAGCGAGTTTCCTCCCAGAGCCAGATTACTTGGGGGAAAAAAAGACACAATGGAATTTTACAGAATACGGCCATGGATCCAGCCTGCTCTGATTCTGACAGTATCCAGCATGTTTGCCAACACACTTTCCCTGCAAGATGAAGAAGAACTGCTAGACGTGGGCCAAGCAGAGAAGAGATGCTGAGGCTCCGCAAGGGGATGCTCCAGAGGCATCACTCTGTGAAGCCAAAAATGAAAAGTGGGCAAAGCTAAAAACGACCCGGTCAACGTGCAGACGATGCCAACCCGCCCACGCTCTGAGACAGGCAGACTATGAAGTCAGGGGTAATCTCTTCAGCATCCACCTCATGTCTGAGACAGCAGGCACTCGCTCACTTGAGGCACTTCCAAGTCAAAACTCGAAGATCTAGATGCATTTTTTTGGTCTAACATATTTCCAAAAGAACAATATTTGTTTTGGTAGAACACAACATCTAGATATTATCTATCCTTTAAAAAATCCTAAAATACTATTAAACCTCAAAGAACGTTCCCCGATAGTGACTTGGGGCCTGGGAATCCAAGCATCCCACCAGCGCAGCAGTCTCGCGCCCCGCTGCCCTTCCACCTCCAGGAGGCTGCCCTCGAGGCTGGCCTGCAGCTTCCCACACCCAAGCCCGCACTTAAAGTGGAATCCAGAGACCTTGGTGGAGGCTCAAAGCTGTCCTCTTGTGTGCACCAGCCGAAGGGGGCCTTACAGGGCTCAGGATCCAGCCCCTTCAGGTGACAAACAAAGCAAAGGCTGAAAAAGGTAACCCCAGATCAATCTCCATCCTCTGACAGTGGACACCCAGGCCAACGGGCTCCACCCAGGCCAACGGGCTCCTGGCAAGGCCGCCTGAAGTCAGAACAGCTCCTCCTGCCCTGGGCTCTGTGAGTTTGCTTGTTGCTGTGGGGAGCCCTAAAGGTAGACTAATAATTCTGTATAATAGCTAGATTTCCACATAACTGTGAGATTGCATGAATATAAGGTAAAGTTTGATCCAAGTACATTGTTTTTAGCACACAATGGAATATTAGAACCCAAGTACTGGTGGGCTAAATCATGCATCGGGCTTCAACAAAATGTCCTATTTCCCACCTAGCATTCCCCTGCATGGTCTAGGGGCAGCCCTGGGTCTGGGCAGGGAAGGGGGGGCTCTGGATTTGGAAACAAACGAACTCACCGTGGTCCCACTTCTGCCCCTTAACGAATCCGGGAAACGTCCCTTACCCAGCTGACCCTGTTTATTTTTGTCAGTGGGATGTAAACAATAATTTAATACCCATTTTTCTCACCTGCCAGTCTCATGGGCCAGATGAGATAATATGTGTGAAACAGGTTCGTAAACAATTATAATTTAAGGTAAGCAGTGCTTTTTTTTTTTTTTTTTTTTTTTCAAGAGGCAGTCTTGCTTTGCTCTGTCATCAGGCTGGAGTGCAGTGGCGTGATCTCAGCTCACTGCAGCCTCCGCCTCAAGCGATCCCCCTGCCTCAGCCTCCTCAGTAGCTGGGACTGCAGGCGTGCGCCACCATGCCAGGCTAATTTTTTGTATTTTAGTAGAGACGGGGTTTCACCATGTTGGCCACACTGGTCTCGATCCCCTGACCCTCAGGTGATCTGCCCGTCTCAGCCTCCCAAAGTGCTGGGATTAAAGGCGTGAGCCACCAAGCCAAAAGGTTTGCAAACAACTGTAAACAATTAAAATTTAAGGTAAGCAGTGTTCCTTCTTTCTTTGAAGTTCTGGCACCAGTCAATGCTTCTATGACTCAGGATTGGCTTTCGATTTGGTGACATGCAAGATTCATTCTGATGCCCACTTTTTTAAAAAAAGGTTCATTATGGATGTGATACTAGACATTCCAAACATAAACCCAGATGATGCTTTCACAGAAGTAGTTCTTGGTCTCTGAATCGAGTAACTCATTCCTGCCATCCCCAAACCCCCAAATCTACCAGATGCTGGCTCCAGGGTGAAGGATGTTCATCTCTGGCAAACAGGTTTTGCTTTCCTTAAAAACAGATACATGATCGGCTCTCAGCGGTCTGCTGTTGTGGAGAACAGAAGGCCTTTCTTCTGCCTCCTACATCACATTCACCAAGGGGTTAAAAAAGGGCAGCCGCAAACATATGTGAAGCAATGCCAAGGGTGACCAATGGAACGCAAGCCACTGGCCAGAGCAGATGCCTTACTTCTCACCGGTGAAAGGCCGGGGAAATGGCCGATCTTGGGAACCATGAATATTCAACACTGTTTACAAGAACTCTTCTTCTCTGCAGACCTATAAACATGTTTGCTTGTTTTGTTGTTTTCCTTATAAAACACATACTTATTGGAGAAAGTGTAGAAAATTCTTAAAAAGTAGAAAGAAAAGCTCTGTAATTTCACCAGGCAAACACATCTTTGTGTCTGCAGACAGCACTTAAGCAACCGGAGTGCTGTTCACCACCACACTGCAGCCAAGGGAGGAGGATGTGCATGCCTGCGTTGCCATGGCAACACAGGGCGTACACCGCGTCCTCTATACTCATCGGATCTGCGCTGAAATTCTAGAGTCATTGACTAATTGCTGGTTGAGAACAAATGTTAGACAACAAAAATGTGCTGACCGGGTACAGCTGGCAATTTTTACAAAAGCAGCCTCTTCAAAGACCTCCCTGTTTCTGATGGAGAATGAGTCTAAAATGCTTAAATTTTTCTGTGCCTGCATTTCTTAAATATCGCTTTCCTTCTGGTCTCCCTTAGGGTGTCTTGAATAATTGGTGTTTCCAGCCGTTAGGGACCCACACGTGCCTTGGCAACAAGGTAGGGAGAAGATAAATGATGCCGGGATACAAATGGTGGGTACCAGATAATGCCGTGCTGCACGACAAGCCGGAAGGGCCGGCGTCGTCTGGTGAAAAACAGATTTTAGGATTAGCTAGAATCTTCGCATGTGGCGAAATTCTGCTCTCTGGGTATTAGCTGTGCAGCCTCGGGGTGGTTACAATCTCCCTTTCCTCATCGGTAAAATGGGGATAATTAAGAACAACAATATAAATGAAGATGAGGGGCGTGAAATGCAAAACAGCTCAGCACCTGGAATGTGAAAAGCACTCAATTATTATTTATTACTTATTACCACTTATTTATTACTATTAAATGTTATCTGTCAAAAGAAACATGAGGCTGGGCACAGTGGCTCATGCCTGTAGTCCCAGCACTTTCGGAGGCAGAGGCAGGCGGATCGCTTGAGGTCAGGAGTTTGAGACCAGCCTGGCCAACATGGTGAAACCCATCTCTACTAAAAATACAAAAATTAGCCAGGCATGGTGATGCACGCCTGTGGCCAGCTACTTGGGAGGCTGAGGCACGAGAATCGCTTAAACCTGGGAGACAGAAGTTGCAGTGAGCCAGGATCGCGCCACTGCCCTCCAGCCCGGGGGACAGAGAGAGACTCCGTCTCAAAAAAAAATGGTAATAGGCTGGGCGCGATGGCTCACGCCTGTAATCCCAGCACTTTGGGAGGAAGAGGCGGGCAGATCACGAGGTCAGGAGATCGAGACCATCCTGGCTAACATGGTGAAACCCCATCTCTACTAAAAATACAAAAAATTAGCCAGGCGTGGTAGCGGGCGCCTGTAGTCCCAGCTACTCAGGAGGCTGAGGCAGGAGAATGGCGTGAACCTGGGAGGTGGAGCTTGCAGTGAGCCAAGATCGTGCCACTGCACTCCAGCCTGGGCAACAGAGCGAGACTCCATCTCAAAAAAAAAAAAAAAAAAAAAAAAAAAAGATAATAAAAATAAAAAAGAAACACGAATGTGCAACCTAAAGGAACTGGCATAAAGAGGACAGTAACAAGCACTTTTTTTTTTTTTATTTTGATACAGGGTCTCGCTCTGTTGCCCAGGCTGAAGTGCACTGGCACAATCGTGGTTTTCTACAGCCTCAACCTCCCGGGCTCAAAGGATCTTCCTGCCTCAGCTTCCCGAGTAGCTGGCACTACAGGTGCACACCACCATGTTCAGCTAATTAAAAAAAATCTGTTGTATAGGCGGGGTCTCACTATGCTGCCCAGCCTGGTCTCAAATCCCTGGAGTAAAGCAATCTTCCCACCTTGGCTTCCCAAAGTGCCAGTATTACCAGGCAAGAGCCACACTATTCTTTTTATATATGCCAATTGGAGGAATGATACATCTGAACCAATTTTTTTTTTAAATTCCATTCCTGATGCCAGGTTCTGAAACCAGCCTGAATTCTGATATATTTATATTAAAAGGAAAAAAAAAATGAGCAAATAAACTAATCACATGGCTGGAGAGCTTCTAGCAAGATCCACCTGCTATGCAACAGTTTTTCATCTTCATCTCGGGGATGCTGGAAGAAACCAGAGTCACCGTGTGTCATTTTGATGGGTGCCTGTGCCAAGACTGCAACTTGCAGACCGTCAACCAACCCGTCAACCAACCTGATGGACGCATTCCTTTCTGACAAATGCGGTAAGACCCACCTAACTAGCGACCAAGAATTCCAGTGCTCAAATTCCCCATGAAATGTTGCATAACCGAAACACTTACAAGCAGGACTTCACAGATATGAGAGGAGAAAATACTTCACACATGGAGAGACACTCACTGTCAAGAGGAAAAGATAAAAAGCCACTTGTTTGAAAAACAAATCACTGAAAGTTGCCTATTTACAGCACTGAACATAATTTTACTGAAAGGAGAAGGTATCTAACTAAAGAATTGCATTTCCTGGTGTATACTACAGTTTCTTAAAGCATTTGCTCTCTGACTTTTATACTGCCTCCTAGCACCTGAACTGTGTAACTAGTCATTCTACATTAAGTCATTCAATAAATAATGTATTGAGCACTGCGAAGCACCCATTCTGATCTTGGTGTCTGGCACATATCTGTGCACTCTGGGAGCTCACAGTTCCGCAGTGGTGCACAGACAAGAAAACAAATACAGTAGGTGCCTTAGTTCGTTTTTCATGCTGCTGATAAAGGCATACCCTAGGCTGGGTAATTTATAAACAAAAAGAGGTTTAATGGACTCACAGTTCCAAGTGGCTGGGGAGGCCTCACAATCATGGCAGAAGGTGAAAGGCACATCTTACATGGCGGCAGGCAAGAGAGAGACGAGAGCCGAGCAAAAGGGGTTTCCCCTTATGAAACCACCAGCTCTCAGGAGGCTTATTCACTACCATCAGAACAGTATGGGGGAAACCACCCTCATGATTCAATTATCCCCCACTGGGTCCCTCCCACAACACGTGGGAATTATGGGAGCTATAATTCAAGATGAGATTTGGGTGGGGACACAGCCAAACCATATCAGTAAGAAGTGTGTCCGATGGGCCAGGCACGGTGGCTCACGCCTGCAATCCCAGCACTTTGGGAGGCCGATGCAGGAGGATCACCTGAGGTCAGGAGTTCAAGACCTGCCTGACCAATATGGTAAAACCCCTTCTCTACTAAAAATACAAAAATTAGCCAGGCGTGGTGGCAAGTGCTTGTAATCCCAGCTGTTCGGGAGGCTGAGGCACAAGAATCATTTGAACCCAGGAGGCGGAGGTTGCAGTGAGCCAAGATCGCACCACTGCACTCCAGCCTGGGTGACACAGCGAGATTCCTTCTCAAAAAAAAGAAAAAGAAATGTGTCTGATGCGGATAACTGCTAAGGAAAATGGAAACAGGATAAGAGGAACTGTGGAGGTGGAGGAAACATGCACCATTAGGCTGAATGGGATGGCCACACTGAGCAAAGGCTTGAAGGAAGGGCAAAATGCAGGAAGCGGAAGGGCACTCAGGCAGAGGGCACGGCTAATGCAAAGGCCCTGGGGCTGGCGTGCTAGAGGAACAGCAGGGACTGAGTGTGGCTGGAGCGGAGGGAGTGAGGGTGAGCCTGGCGGGCAAAGAGGTAGTGAGGAAAGAAGGCCAAGCAGGGGTTAACAAAGTTCCACTGCCACGGGCCAGGGAGTAGATAGTTTAGGTTTTGTGGGCCAAGAGACAAAATCGAGGGAATTATGTAGATCTCTGTCACAACCAGTGAATTCTGCTGATGTCACATGAAAGCAGCCACAGATAACATTTGAGCAAACAGGCATGGCTATGACCCAACACGGCTTTATTTGTGCTCGCTGAAATATGAATTTCATATCATTGTCATGCACCACAAGTTATGCTTTTGATTTTTTCCCCCAACTACTTAAAACCACAGAAACTGTGCTGAGCTAGAAAGCCATACAGAAGCAGGTGGCAGCAGTTTGCCAGTGCCTGCTCTGCGGCCCTGGAGGTCATAGTAAGGACATCGGTGTTTATCCTGAGAATTTTGGAGAGCTGCTGCAGGTGTGAGGCCCAGGAGTAATGTGATTGGACTTGGGTTTTAGGGGTCACCCTGGAGTCTCCTTTGAGAATGGACCTTTTGGGATGGGGCACGGAGGCCCGCTAAGAGGTTACTGCAGTGACCTGGGTGATGTGGTGGCTGGATTGTGTTGAACCTCCAGTGTGACTGTACCAGAAAAACAGGGCCTGCTGGGAAGTAATTAACTTTAAAAGAGGTTGCCCAGGCTGGTCTTAAACTCCTGGCCTCCAGTGATCCTCCCGCCTCAGCACTGAGATTACAAGTGTGAGCCACCACACCTGGCTCCACGGACTGGTGATATGGTTTGGCTGTGTCCCCACCCAAATCTCATCTTGAATTGTGGCTCCCAGGGACCCAGTGGGAGGTTACTGAATCTTGGGGGTGGGTTCCCCTATTCTGTTCTGTGGTAGAAAATAAGTCTCACAAGATCTGATGGTTTTATAAACGGGAGTTCGCCTGAGCAAGCTCTCTTGCCTGCCCCCATGTTAGATGTAACTTTGCTCCTCATTCACCTTCCGCCATGACTGTGAGGCCTCCCCAGCCATGTAGAACTGTGAGTCCGTTAAACTTCTTTCCTTTATAAATTACCCAGTCTCAGGTATGTGCTTATTAGCAGCACGACAACAGACTAATACAACTGGTGTTCTTATAACAAGAGGAAGAGACAGCAAACCTGTCTCCATCTCTTTCTCCTTCCCTTCTCGCCTCTCTCCCCACCCCCAAGCACAGAGAGGACACAGTAAGGAGGAACTATCTGCAAGCCAGAAAGAGGGGCCCCACCAGAAACGCCACCTTGACCTTGGACTTTCAACTTCTACAAACTGAGCAAATACACTTCTGTTAAGCCACCCACTCTGTGGTCTCTGTCGTGGCAGCCCAAGCTAACACAGTGGCATCCAGTGGAGGTGGGGAGCTGGCTGGACCCTGCAGGTACTGTGGCAGTGGCGTTTCCCAGCTTGGCTGGATACTGAAGGCAGTGAGAAGAGGAGAGGCGTTACCAGGACTCTGAGATCTGGGGCCAGAACAACAAGCAGTAAAAATAAAGTGAGCACCAGCTGAGATGGGGGAGGCTGCAGGTGAAACAATGGTGGGTATGCTGGTTAATACTGAGTGTCAACCTGACTGGATTGAAAGATGCAAAGTATTGATCCTGGGTGTGTCTGTGAGGGCGCTGCCAAAGGAGATTAACATTTGAGTCAACGGGCTGGGGAAGGCAGACCCACCCTCAATCTGGGTGGGCATCATTTAATCAGCTGCCAGCAAATATAAAGCAGGCAGAAAAACATGAACAGGCAAGACTGGCTTAGCCTCCCAGCCTGTATCTTTGTCCTGTGCTGGATGCTTCCTGCCCTCGAACATCAGGCTCCAAGTTCTTCAGCTTTCGGCCTGGGACTGGCTTCCTTGCTCCTCAGCTTGCAGCCAGCCTATTGTGGGACCTTGTGATCCTGTGAGTTAATACTCCTTAATAAACTCCCCTTTATTACATATCTGGCCTATTGGTTCCATCCCTCTAGAGAACCCTAATCCAGCGGGGATGGTGGGGGTCTGTAATGAGGGGGTATCTACAGGAGTATGGGGGTCTATAGGGCAGAGGGTGGGTAAGAGGAGGGCTTCAGGTGAGGGCTCCCTGAGCCTGAGTTGCTACTGAGTGTTTCCAGCACAGTCCATGCAGGCTGAAAAGGTAGTGCCAGCACCTCCCTTAGGAGCAGCCCCCTGGAAGCAGGCACACTGATCGTCTGTGGGGTAAACAGAGGCCATAAATCATCCGAATTAGATCATCAGCTCTGGCCCTGCTGCCAGATGAGCTACAGAATATTTCCAGTGTCGGCTTTTTGGATTTTGGACAAGGGACTTGAACCTGTAATTACTGAGTAAATAACAGTTACGAGAGAGGAAGAAAGGCTGGGATGGAGAGAGGGGCTCCCTGGAGGCTGTTTATATTCCCCTGAAGTTGACACCCTGAAGTTTACTGTGGCTGCAGTTTGCACCTACTCATCTTTAAAGTTGTCTGGAAGAATCGCCTGTTTTCAAATCACAGTGGAACCTCCGCCCTGAACACAGGCACTTCCCTGAGTCAGTTTCTCAGAAATTATTTTCCTCATCCTTCAGGGCTCCACGTCGTGGGTACCAGCATTGCCTCCACCAGGGGCGACTGACCGTGCCATCACATCCCAGGATCCCTGCTCATCTTCCCAGCCCTGGGGCAGGCGCTCTCTCTGAACCTGGAGGGGAAAAGCCCTAGAGAGCCAGCGATCAGGTAGAATCACGTGGGACCCAGAAAGGGCACTGGAGGAAGTGACGCTGGGCAAGTGGACTGCAGGATTCCTCTGAAGGATGAAAACAGGCTCTACGAGCCACTCCCAGGAACTTCCGGAGCCACATGGGCCATGGCAGGGGATCCGCAGTTCTCCAAAGCAGAGTGACCATTCTGGACAAATCCTGACTTGGTGGGGGCTTTTTATAAACTTATTTTTGTGGCTATGGAATAAAGAGTAAGATAGCTTTGCAGTCATTTCCCACATCACACATAACTGCCCTCTGCGTGTGGCTAATTCATGCAAATACTTCCTCCTGGGTCGCCCAGAGCTCACCCTGCAGCATCCACTTCCCCAGCCTCCTTGCTGCCCGCCACACCTTCTCCATCACCAGACTCCTCCTGGGCAAAATTGGGGCAGGAAGAAAGCACACTGCCACCCCCCCAACACACAGTGTAAACGTACTGCAGCCCACAGGCCCTCGGCCACCGAAATGAACAGCTGTGTGGGTTCTCGCAGCATTCGTGGAAGGGACTGGCTGCGTACCCTGGGGTGTCTTCTACAAGCAGCTAGAAATTTCTTTGTTGGCGTCAAGTAAGTTCTCCACAAGGAAAAATAGAAGCAGCATCTCAAATGGACTTACTGCAAGCATCTGAAGGCATGCGAGTAAATAAATACATTCCTACCTGCTCCGAGGACAGCAGTGAGCTCATCTGTGTACACCACCACAGACGCAAATGTCAACAAGAGGAAGACAGGCTCCCACTCATCTGCCCAGCCAAATATTTAAAGCAGCTGAGCCCATCCACAGCCCTAAATATTTAGATGAGTGAATAAAGAACTCATTTCTCATGTGCTTTTTAAATGGGTTTTCATTTTGAATAAAATCTAAAAATAAATTATCTTAAAAAATAAAGACTTTGCCAGGAGTCTGGCTGAGGTAGTGGGACTAAGACGTCCCACTGTGCACCAAACACACAGCCCTGGGCCACCATGCTGAGTGGCACAGTCAGCACCCGGAGGGACGACTCCGTTACAGCAAAAACGCATCATCTGTACATTTAGCATAAGCGGCTCCTTTTCATATCTTTGCATTTAATTTGGCAATTCTGAGTTTATACTTGAATAATCCCAGGATGATGAGTAAAAGAAAGTTAAAATTAGTTTCACGTCATCCAGTAAGTCCTCACTTCACATCACCAATAGGTTCCTGGAAACAGCAACTTTAAACGAAACGACATACAATGCAACCAAGTTTCCCATAGGGTAATTTGATATAAACAAGAGTTAAGCTCCTATGGCTTATTTCTGGTCACAAAAACATCACCAAACTTCTAAATAAAGACCAAAGCCCTTCTAATATTAAACACTGCAATAAACGTGAGCTTACATACATGTAAAAATAAGTAAGATAATTATTTACCCAATTATTCCAGTTCAGGGTGGTGGGAGCCTGTCCCAGCAGCTCAGTGGGGGCAGGCAGGAACCAGGGCGCTGTTCCATCGCGGGGCCACTCACACATGCCCAAACTCACTCAGACTGGGATGCTGTAGACACGCCAGTCACCTAATGTGCACAGCTTTGGGACGTCGACGGAAACCGGAAGACCCAAAGGAAACATGGGAGGGCGTGCACGCTCCACACAAAGGAAACACGGGAGCGCGTGCACGCTCCACCCAAAGGAAACACGGGAGCGCGTGCACGCTCCACACAAAGGAAACACGGGAGCGCGTGCACGCTCCACACAGGAAACACGGGAGCGCGTGCACGCTCCACACAAAGGAAACGGGAGCGCGTGCACGCTCCACACAGGAAACACGGGAGCGCGTGCACGCTCCACACAAAGGAAACACGGGAGCGCGTGCACGCTCCACACAAAGGAAACACGGGAGCGCGTGCACGCTCCACACAAAGGAAACACGGGAGCGCGTGCACGCTCCACACAAAGGAAACACGGGAGCGCGTGCACGCTCCACACAAAGGAAACACGGGAGCGCGTGCACGCTCCACACACAGGAAACACGGGAGCGCGTGCACGCTCCACACAGACAGGGCCCCAGCGGGAATCCATTTTTTTCATCACCAACGTTAGAACAAATCCATGTCATTCGAGGGCGTGCTGCACATTTTTGGGTAACCCTAAAATAATAATAGTATCAATTGTGCAGTAAGGTGGTTGCAATGTTTTCCTTTACAAGCAGTCTGGACAGTTATTTACAGCTGGAGACACCCCTTAGGGTCAACTAGTCTGAAGCTCAGGAGACAGGGAAAAAGGAAAGGAAGTGACGGAAAGACTGGCCAAGCAAGGGGTGCTTGCTGGGTGGCCAAGGTGTGTGGCCCTGGAGGGGCCAAGGCCTTGCATGAAGGGCTGTGTGTGGCAGAGGACAAAGCAAGCCCCGTCCTCATCTCTGGGAGCTGTGCTTGCAGAGTGGAGGTGGCCCTGAGCACACAACATTCACTCCCAATTCTGCTCCACACGTCCTGAGCACCTCCAGTGCCCCCAGCTCTGCCCTGGAGGCGGGCAACAAGGGTGACAACGCTGAACCACAGGGCATCCCTGGCCTTGGTGGTTGAAGGGGCATCTTTCCACATAGAAGAACTCAGGAGCTGGAGTCTGGAACCTTAACTCTTTTGATCTCCCTTAATCTGGCTGTGATGAGTCGGCTGGGGCTGCTATCACAAAGACCACCGGCAGAGGCACTTCAACAACACACGTTTACCTCTCACAGTTCTGGCAGCTGGAAGTCCAAGTTCAAGGTACTGGTCAATTTGGTTCCTGGTGAGGCCTCTTCCTGCAGAAGCCATATCTCCTCATGATGTCCTCATAGGGTACAGAGCAAGCGCTCCTGAGGGGCATTCGTGCCACCACAAGGGGTCCACTCCCATGACCTGATACCTCCCACAGACCCACCTCCTAATACCATCACACGGGGTTGCAGGGACACAATTCAGTCGACAGCCCCGGCCTTGGGAAACATCATTGCTTTTCTCATCACTAGGACTGGGGCACAAGAGAGGAAGAGTGAAAGCTGATTGACCTCCGAGGTTTCTCTTCTATCTAAAAGTCTATTATTCTAAAAATAAATTTAACAACATCTTCTTACACAATCCCCTCAAATACAGCCATACGATGACACAGCACCTGCAACCAGGAACCCGGGAAGGGTCTCTCCAACTCTGCCTGCCTTTCCCCAGACCAGGGACCAGCAGCCGGGGTGCTACCTGTGGCTCACCAGAAACACAGACTCTCAGGTCCACCTTGCCTTGCTGAATCCAAATCTGCAGGTAACAAGGTCCCAAGGTGACTCCAGGCACACCGGAGTTAAGCAGCTGGAGTAAGTCTCTGGGATGCCCCTCCCCAGGTAGACTCCTGTCCTCAAGGTCCTTGGGGCTCCAGTCTGAGACTCTATTTCCTCAAAACTCTGTAGTGCCCCACAGGCATCTGGACAGTCCCACCTGTCTAGTTTGAGCATCTGTTAAATAACAGTGAATACACATCCATGGCCGGGTTCTGACTCCGTTTAATCACCTTAGATGGAGCTGGGAATGTTTACAGTGTTCATGGATAGCTGTGCCACTTAGACTTGACATGAAGTTAGACTGAAGGCTGTGCTTATGGGTGATTTCCATGGAAAGACGGCATCACTGTTAGGAGCACAGCTGGCTCTTAGGGCACACAATTCACAGGGCTGCGATTTTCACAACCACTTCCAGGAGCATAGCTTCATAACATCAGAAACATCTGCCGGCCCCTGTACACAGTACGCAAAGTAATACATTACTGCTTCATTCTGAGACGAAACACTTTGACCTTGTGCTTCTCCATCATAGTTTAAGAAGCTGCCCTAGTTTATGTTGATTTATTCTTAAACAGTTCTTAGCAAGGCAAGTAAACGTATAATTTTTCTTAATTTTCAAAGACAACGGAAACTTTCCCAAATAGCCTTTGCCACCTCATATCGCTGTCAACTGCTAGTTTTTGTTAATTTCACATCAATCATCGGCTATAAATATTTGTGCCATATCAGCAGGGGATTTATTAGTGAGCACGCTTTAGCAATGCATCTGCCCAAACACCAAGCATGAGGGACAGTTTGTTTACGCATCTCACTCCCTCCACCTGCTGGTGGCTGCTGGAAATGAGTCCCCCAAAAATCCAGCCTTCACTTTGTAGGAAGTGGCACTGACAAATCCACCTAGTACTGCTTTACTTAGCTGTAAGTAACAGCATAATTGAAAGTGCTATACGTGTTTATCAGAACAAAAACACAGGAGCAGGCACATTAAGGCAGCAGCAGGCCCAGGAGTGAGAGTAAGCTGAGTTCTGGACTTCAGCTACACTTCCTTCCTGAGAATGTATTTCAGTGCCCACTGGACCTATGTGCTTCTGGTCAGTTTCACGGTTTCCGGCCCCTCGAGGGTGTGCTCCCCAGGAAGGCTGCCTTTCTAAGAGTCAGCTCCCAATACTGGTGAGAAGCCCAGGAGCTGTTTCCAGGCATCAAGACCATGCTGGCCAGATCCCTTACAAACCTTCAGTTTTCCTCCCCTTCCCCTGGAGGCTGGGCTGCACTTACTCCTCTCCCAAGCCGTCTGAGTCAAGGCTGCCCCTTATTCTCTGAAACTCCCTTTCTGCAAAACACACTGGAGTTCTTCAGGTCTGCAACAGGCCCCTCTGGCGCCACACCCGCCTCACCTGGGTCATTCCGTCCACATGCCGGGAGGTGCCCTCTCCTCCTTGCCAGTGCCAGCCTGGTGCTCTGGTTCCAGCTACCTCCTCTAGATAGCAGCAGATGAAACTTTCTTTAAAAAATATGTTGATACTTTTACATCATAAAAAAAAAAAAAAAAAAAAAAACAGCAATCTGGGCCGGGCGCAGTGGCTCACGCCTGTAATCCCAGCACTCTGGGAGGCCGAGGCAGGTGGATCACTTGAGGCCAGGAGTCCAAGACCAGCCTGGTCAACATGGTGAGACCCCATCCCTACTAAAAATACAAAAAATTTAGCTGGGTGTGGTGGCATGCATCTGTAATCCCTGCTACTTGGGACGCCAAGGCAGAATTGCTTGAACCCGGAAGATGGAGGTTGCAGCGAGCCGAGATCACATCACTGCACACCAGCCTGGGTAACAGAGCAAGACTCCCTCTCAAAACAAACAGCAATCTGGAAAACTCCGCATCATATTGTCAATTCTTCTTTAAAATTGATAAATCTCATGAAATGCTGAACACAGTACCTGGCCCACAGAGATGCTCTACCCATCAGAGGAAGGAAGGACAGAAGAAAGAAAGCCAAAAGGAAACTCATTTACAAAGAACAGCAAGAGACAGAAAGTTATTCCTCCTCTCAAGGAAGAAAGGAGAGTACAGAGGAGGAGACGCTACCTCTGATCCTCATTTTGTTTTTCAGGTTCAGTAATAAAACTAATATTTAAATATGAAAAAAAAAAAACCCCAGAATGCCTATTTGCTACAGATATTATAATCTTCCTAGTCACCAGAAGGGGGCAGCATCTTAAAAGCCATGTAAGAACTGTATTCTGTCTCTAGAGTAAGAAGCTGAAGTACTAAGTCTATTTGAAAAGCAAACGCCTATCAGATGCTATTTAACATCTCAATCTCCACTTCCTTAACACCGCTTGAAAACTATCCTTACTACATGTGCACCTATGATTATTACTAAATAAAAATCTTCATTAAACTTATGTATACTCTCAAATTCACCTTAGAATTTGATTGATTTTTTTTCCTTCTCTTCTTTTTCCTTTTGAGACAGGGTCTTGCTTGCTCTGTCCCCCAGGCTGGAGTTCAGTGACACAATCATGGCTCACTGTAGCCTTGAACTCCGGGGCTCAAGTGATCCTCCTACCTCAGCCTCCCAAGCAGCTGGGACTACAGATGCTCACCATCATGCCCAGCTAATTTTTGTATTTTTTGTTTTTAGAGATGTGGGTCTCACTATGTTGCCCGGGCTGGTCTTGAACTCCTGGCCTCATACAGTCCTCCCACCTTGGCCTCCCAAAGTGCTGGGATTACAGAAAGGAGCCACTAAGCCTAGTCCTTATTACTGAATTAGCTGTAGCGCTACACGATTTGAATACACATTTTTGAAAACCTCAAAGCCAAAACACACAGTAGATATATTTAAGTATATATCTATATACACGGAAAACATATTTAAGTTGTAGAGTTGGCAGGCATCATTTGTTTAAATGAAGCAAAAACCTCGAAGATTTTAACAGTTCATCAGAAACATTTAACATGTAAATCAAGCAGGAAAAAGTACCATAATCTAAAACAACTAAAATTAGATTCTGTCCTCCCCACCCAAAAAAACATACTAATATCACTGTAACTCATTCTGAAATAAATTTTAAGCCTTTGCTTTTGAAATCAGGAGGTTGTTCTGTTCCACTTTTGTTTCCTAAGCTCAGTCTCGGGTCTCTGCGTTAACACCATCCCTCCAGGGAAGAGCCTATTTACCCAATCCACTTGTTACCCACGTGCTGCAAGACAGAATCTCCTTGAGGGCTCAGGAAAAGCTGCCCGTCTGAATGCCAGCTTGAGAGCCACAGGTGATTCCAATTTACATCTCAGGTTGAGGGTGGCTGATATCAATAAGGATTACAGGCCCACAACCTGCATCCCTCTCCCCTCTCCCTCACTTCCGAGCCATCTCTCACCTGGTCAGGTGAACAGGGGCCTTCAGCAGGTCAGGGTCACCTAACGCTCATTTCAGAAGCTCAGCAGCCCTCCCGGCCACCGTCCCAGCCACCGATCATCCTTAACTGAAGCTGTCAGACAGCCTCTCCTTATTTTGAGATGCCAGGTGTCTCCCTGAGACACCAGTGTTCCTGGAAACTGTGCAGCAGCTGATCCCCACCTCCATCTTCCATTTCCCAAGGGGTGCTCTCTTCTCCAGACGAGCAGCCACCCCGCACTCTCACCCTGCAAGGGCACAGCTTTAGCCATCACGTCCCCAAGCAACCTCGGCCAGATACAGGCTTTGGGACTGACACCATAACTAAGATGCGCCCATATCTCCATGTGCGACATCCAGCAGTACTGAGGTCTCCCCTCCCTGCCTTGACTCTGATATAGCTACTCCTGTTCAACACCCCTCCCGTGAAGCCAGCTTGGAATCTGCTCAAAACCACAAGAAAGGAAGGCCTGATTGGCTGACTCCTTAGGGAGAACCTCCAAGAGCTCATGCCACAAGCCGCAAGCCCGGAGTCAGCCCTAAATGAGCCTCTCCTGGAGCCCTGCCCTCCAAAACCCTGGAAAAGCGGGGTCCTCTCGTGGTTCTAAGCTCCTTCACCATCCTGCTCACTGCCCCCCAGAACATGGCTCATCTACTCCTCCTTCACCATCCTGCTCACTGCCCCCCAGAACATGGCTCATCTACTCCTCCTTCACCATCCTGCTCACTGCCCCCCAGAACATGGCTCATCTACTCCTCCTTCTGGCGCGTGGTGCCCAGAATTAAATGCAGCATCCAGGTGGCCAGGGCAGTGGAGGAGGAGCCTCCTTGGCTGCAGAGCAGGGATACCTAGCACAGCTCCTGGCCTCCAGCCACCCTCCCTCCCCAGGTCTTCCTGGCCACAGGGCGCTGTCCAGGCAAGCCTGGGCCCCTGGGAACCAGCGCCACTTCAATGTATGACTGTGTGAGTCTGTTCTTGCGTTGCTATAAAGGAATGCCTGAGGCTGGGTAATTTATAAAGAAAAGAGGTTTATTTTGGCTCATGGTCCTGAAGGCTATACAGGAAGCTGGTAGCAGCATCTGCTCTTGCTAAGGGCCTCCCAGAACTTCCAATCATGTGGGAAGACGAAGGGGGAGCAGGCATGTCACATGGCAAGAGAGGAGCAAGAGAGAAGTGGTGGGGGGTGGGGGTGGGGGCAGGCTCTTTTAAACAACCAGGTCTCTTGGCACCTAATACTGTATACTGTTGTGTAAAGGAAAATTAAAAACAAAACAAAACAGACCTCTCATGAACTATCAGAGCAAGAATTCACTCATCGCCAAGGGGATGGTGCTAGACATTCATGAAGGATTCACCCCCATGACCCAAGCACCTGCACTAGGCCTCGCTTCCAACACTGGGGATCACATTTCGAAGTGAGATTTGGAGGAGAAAATCATCCAAACCACATCAGTGACATCAGGCTGAAGAGGCCGTATGCTTATCCCAAACTCGAGGTCAAACAGTTGACTGCAGCCTGGGGCACATTTGCCTCTGTGGAGTCAACATCACACCAAGAGAAGGAGGGATTAAGCCTCTAAACCCAAATCCGTGCGCCTTTGTTGTGCATTCTGCCCAGGGCCACTGCGTTTCACACCAAGACCCGGGCAGCACATTGCTTCCCACTCCACTCCCCCTCGTTCAGTCAATTCATTCCCGTTGCTGTTTACATAACTTAAAAAACAGGGCTGGGCGCAGTGGCTCACGCCTGCAGTCCCAACAGTTTGGGAGGCTGAGGCGGATGCATCACCTGAGTCCAGGAGTTCAAGACCAGCCTGGCCAACATGGCAAAACCCCATCTCTACTAAAAATGCAAAAATTAGCTGGGCATGCTGGTGGGTGCCTGTAATCCCAGCTACTCGGGAGGCTGAGGCACGAAAATTGCTTGAACCCGGAAGGCAGAGGTTGCAGTGAACCGAGATCGCCCCACTGCACTCCAGCCTGGGCAACAGAGCGAGACTGTCTCAAAAAATTAAAAATATAGGCCGGGCGGTGGCTCACGCCTGTAATCCCAGCACTTTGGGAGGCCGAGACAGGCGGATCACGAGGTCAGGAGATCGAGACCATCCTGGCTAACATGGTGAAACCCCGTCTCTACTAAAAATACAAAAAAATTAGCCGGGCGTAGTGGCAGGTGCCTGTAGTCCCAGCTACTTGGGAGGCTGAGGCAGGAGAATGGCATGAACCCGGGAGGTAGAGCTTGCAGTGAGCCGAGATCACACCACTGCACTCCAGCCTGGGCGACAGAGCAAGACTCCGCCTCAAAAAAAAAAAAAAAAAAAAAAATGCACACACACACACACACACACGCACACGCACACACACACACACACACATTAAAACAAAACAAAACAAAAAAAACAGAAACAAAAACAAAAATGAGTGGCCTATCCTGGCAGGTTCTGTTATCTTTAAATTCGAAAAGCAGGTTGTGGTGGAGAGGGCAGTGAAAGGCATTGCTGGTGACCCCCAGAAGCCCTGTCTCTGGGCATGGTCACGGTTTCCAGCCTCCCGTCCCTTCCTGCCCACACCTGTTGATCAACAGCTTCAACATCCAGCCTCGCGGAGCTCAGGCCTCCTTCCATATCCCTAGGAGGTGCAGACACCGGGAATCTGTGCAGACACTCCCTGGTCAACTTGGCATCTGGCATAAAAGGATAGGCACCTAAAGGTTAAGAATATTTATCTTTGGGCAGAGAGCTGATGGGTGCTTACATCTGTATTTTAAGAAAGACTAAAAACTACTTTTTGAAGCTGGAGCTTTTAAACGTTAACACCGAGTAAAAACTCAGGGAGACAGTAACAGTGAGAGAAAAGAAAGGGCCGGGCGCGGTGGCTCACGCCTGGAATCCCAGCACTTTGGGAGGCCGAGGCGGGCAGATCACTTGAAGTCAGGAGTTCGAGACCAGCCTGCTCAACATGGTGAAACCCCCTTTCTACTAAAAACACAAAAATTAGCCAGATGTGGTGGCACTCACCTGTAATCCCAGCTACCAGGGAGGCTGAGGCAGGAGAATCGCTTGAACCCGGGAGGCAGAGGCTGCCATGAGCTGAGATTGCACCACTGCACTCCAGCCTGGGCGACAGAACGAGATACCATCTCAAAAAAAAAAAGGAAAATAACTTCCTACTCATTCCCAAACCCTTTCCTAAGAGGTGAGCCTCTCTCTCTCTCTCTCTAGATGCTCTGAATTCTGGCTACCCCAACTCAGAGTGAGTCCTGGCCGTGCTCTCCTGGCTACACAAACACTAAAATGACCACTGCTTCCTCCAATTATCTCCATTCTATATCTCTATCTATCTATCTATCTATATTTTTTTGAGACAGGGTTTCATTCTGTCATCCAGAATAATTTTAAAATGCAAAGAGAGCCTTCCCAAAGAGGACAAGCCACCTAGAGCGGACATGGTCCTCCTGCCCATGAAGAACCAGGAGTTACACTTGAAAAGTTCGGTTGGATGGGAAATTCAGAAATAAGCCATTAACTGGGACCAGCACTGGCGCGGTGGCTCATGCCTGTAATCCCAACACTTTGGGATGCCAAGGTGGGCGGATCACCTGAGGTCAGGAGTTCGAGACCAGCCTGGCCAAAATGGTGACACTCCATCTCTACTAAACATACAAAATGTTAGCCGGGCATGGTGGCAGGCGCCTGTAATCCCAGGTACTTGGGAGGCTGAGGCAGGAGAATCACTTGAACCTGGGAGGCAGGGATTGCAGTGAGCCAAGACCGCGCCATTGCACTCCAGCCTAGACAACAAGAACGAAACTCCGTCTCAAAAAAAAAAAAAAAAAAAAAAAAAAAACAAAACAATAAGCTATTAACTGGTAGTTCTCAAAATCTCCTTTTCTACCAGCATCGGGGCTCCTGAAACCTTCCAGAGGCCCTGAGCGCTGAACCCAAGAGGGACCAGAAAGGGCATTTCAGGGCCTCCCAGAGCAAGGAGCACCTGTGAAATCTGGCAGAGCTATTCAAGGTCAATAAAACACAGTTGTATTTCGATAGGAAAACAACTCAGCACGAGCACAACGAACAGTGGGAAATACAGACTGCTGAGAAACCTAGGGGCCAGGCAAAATTCTCAAATAAGCCAGGAAAGCAGGCCACTCGGGACCTTTCCCAGCCGGAAGATTCTTTAAAGGTCTCGTCAGTAATCACAATCCCCAACGTGCTGGGTAAAGGAGGCAGAATGGTGTCTACAGAGCTGACTGCAAATTTCAGTGAATAATGACATGTATGATATTCTTGATCTATAATTTACCCTAGTAATCTCCAAATCAAAGATAGATTTTAAAGGAACAGAAAGATAACCATTTGTGTTACTCCGTGAATTTAACAAAATTCAGAAATTTTTCCAAAAAGGAATTAGGAGTCAAAATGAATATGGTATAATTTCTTAAAAACTCAGCTACAGAAGACTGTTAACAGCTCTTTGAAAACCCAATTTTTTTTTATCCAGATTTTACTATTTGGAGGGGTTAAGTGTGAGAGGCCAGATATGACCAGGGTGTAGCAGCCACCGGGAGTCCTGGGTTCTAAGGGGTCTTGAATGTCTCAGCATCAAGGGTGAGGAAGGTGACGGTGCGTTGGCATTAAAGAAATGGGAAGGGTGGTTGAGTGTAGAGAAGTGGAGGAGAAGAAACCCTAGCCTTCCCTTTGTTCTGGTATTTTATCCCCAATGGATCCTGAGAACTAACTTCCCTGTAACAATTTTCATTTAACACTGGCAGAATGAAATCACTGATGCAAATGTGCATTTTTTTTTTTTTTTGAGACGGAGTCTCACTCTGTCACCCAGGCTGAGTGCAGTGGTACAATCTCGGTTCACTGCAACCTCCACCTCTCGGGTTCAAGCAATTCTCCCGCCTCAGTCTCCCGAGTAGCTGGGACTACAGGCATGTGCCACCATGCCCGACTGATTTTTGTATTTTTAGTAGAGACGGGGTTTCACTATCTTGGTAAGGCTGGTCTCAAACTCCTGACCTCAGGTGATCCACGCATGTCGGCCTCCCAAAGTGCTGGGATTACAGGCGTGAGCCACCACACCCGGCCACAAATGAGCATTTCTAAGGCTGCCAGATGACTTCCCTTCCGTTCATGGGAAGCTGCAGGGACCGGGCAGGCGTGGAAGGAGCAGCAGGACCTGGAGACCCCTGTGGGGCTGAGTGTTAGCTCCTGACCCTCACACTGGCCTCTTAAGCCCGTACTTAAGTGAAACAGGTTGTTGTGACTTTTTTTTTTTTTAAGGCGGAGTTTTGCTCTTGTTGCCCAGACTGGAGTGAAATGGGGCTATCTCAGCTCACTGCAACCTCCACCTCCAGTGTTCAAGCAATTCTCCTGCCTCAGCCTCCAGAGTAGCTGGGATTACAGGTGCCTGCCACAATGCCCGGCTAATTTTTTAAGTATTTTCAGTAGAGATGGGGTTTCACCATGTTGGCCAGGCTAGTTGCAAACTCCTGACCTCAAGTGATCCGCCCACCTCAGCCTCCCAAAGTTCTGGAATTACAGGCATGAGCCACCGCACCCGGCCTGTTGGGAGACTTAAACAAAATGATGCATTTCCGGTCCTTCAAACAGCACCCAGCACATGGTGAGCATCCCGCTGCCCTGAGCTCGGAATCCCAGCCTCCCACCTATGGTTACTACAAGGAGGATGCGCAACTGAAAAGACAGCTGCTGCCTCTCAATCTCTGTCACTCTCTGGCTGTTTGCAGCTCCATCTGCTTAAAAGACAGGACTCCTCCGTCCTCCCCTCAGAAACTTGGTCCGACTTTTCCACCCAGAATGCTCTGCACAGAATGAGGAGACAAGAGGTGTTTGCTCAGTTAACAAGTGAAATCAACGTGAGTCTATTATCACCACCATGTTTCTGTTTGGGTAATACCTTCTCCATACAAATGGCTCAAAAACTATTCAATTCAAACCACTGACTCATCCATTCAAATAAGGATTTTGTGAGCATTTAAACTGCACTAGAATTAACTAGAGATGGAGCTAGACAGAGTAAATGTGTTTGTTTTCATGGGACTCAAAACTGCCACCCTAGTAATATTCTGCCTCTTGATCTGGTTACACACGTGAGTTCATTCAAGCTGTATGCTGACAGGCTGTGCATGGTATATGAACTACACTCCGACAAAACCCGTCCTCAAGAAAGCTCCCTCACTCAGGTCTTCCCCAGCCAACCGCTCCCTCCTGTCCTATCAGGAATGGGAGGATTTGTCCCCCAGACTATGTTTCCTCTGATGGAACAGCTTTGTCACATCTCTTAGTGGTCTGTGTTGTTCACACATAGAAGCCGTACTGTACGGGGCAGTCCTGCACAGTCTCACTCTGACAACCCAAGTTGGAAATGCTGCAAAACCAAGGCCCAGGACAGTGTGTGGATTATCACCAAGAGACCTCAGCCTGCAAGGGCCTTCAGGTCACACAGGCCTGTGCACAGCATCCTCTGGAGTCAGCCTCTGCATGGACATAAGGAGCACTCAAAATACTTGCTCGTGGCAGCCTTGACTGCTGTGAATCCAACACACCACATAACAGCTGCCTCCACCTTGCCTTCCACAGGGGAGTCCGAGTATTTGGGGAGGTCACAGCCTCTTCAGGCTCAACATCCGTCTCTTTCCCAACTCCACACACACCCAGGGGGTTGTAGCAGTGTGCCCACCTGCATCCTTCGTGGAGTGAGCGTGCAGAGGGCAAAGTGGGTGGTCTGGTCAGTGGAGAGTGCAGCGGGCTTCTCTCTCCTCTCTTCTGGATAACATGCCCGTATGGCGGGCTGAGGGCTCACCCTCTTTGTGTGTATGCGCACACACACAAGGTAGTGTTGACTTACACGGAGACAATGGCCGACCTAAATCCTTACATTTACTGCTTTTTCCAGGAGGCATTTTTTTCAGCCACTTCCCCAACTTGCATTTGACTCGCTCATGAAGCTCCTAAATCCCCTTCCCACTCAAGCCCAACACCAAGTCTGTTGCCAGAACCTGCCTAAATACACTTCTCAGTGGCAGCTGCAACCCTGAAACCTGAGAATTTAACTGATTTCTCCATGTAGTTTGGTTTGCAAATCCATGCAGGATTCACCGGGTTTTTAACAACTCACCTGTGCTCTCCAGGCGCTCCAATTAAACAGAAAGGACGAGACAGCCTTCATTTCGGGTCCGCGCAAAATAATGAGCCAACACAGCAGCAGAAGGTAAGACGGTGGTGGGTGGTAAAAGTTGGCGTGTGATTGGTTTGAATGCACCTGTTGGTTTTTACCTACAAGTTTTTCTAAAGGTAAAAAGTACATTTAAGTAAAAATGGACTCAAATTTCTGTGGAGCCTTAAGTTCCTCTTCCCAAACCTAGATTGAGAATCACCTATCCCCTGCAGATGATGATGTAAGGATCAAAATGAATGTAGAACTCAAAGAGACAAAATACTAAGCCTCAGAACACATTCAGGCTGAACAGTGGCCCCCAGAGATGCCCACAGACTCATTCCTGGAACCTGAGAGCATGTGGCTCCACGGGGCAAAGCCACTGTGTGCATGTGAAGAGGTGAAAGATTTTGAGATGGGGGTTTTGCAAGGATTCTGGATTACACAGGTGGGTCCAATGTAATCACAGGGTCCTTCCAGGAGGTCAGGGTCAGAGCAGGCCACGCAGCTACCACGGCAGAGGCCAGAGGGATACAGAGCTAAGGCCAGGAATGCAGCAGCCATTGAGGCTGGAAAAAGCAAGGAAATCGAGTCTACCCCACAGCCTCCAAAAGGAGCACAGCCTTTGATTTTAGGCCCGTAAGACCCATTTGGAGCTTCTGAGCTTCCGAACTGTAATAAATCTATGCTGTTTTAAGCCACTTAGTGTGTGGTAATTTGTTACAACAGCGATAAGAAATGAATCCACAGCCAAGAGAGGGAAAGACCAGAGCTAAAGAAAAAGGCCAGAGCTACAAGATATCCACAAGAGTCTCTCTCAGAGAGTCAGAAAGAAGGTTTCAAGAAGCCGGGGGCAGCAGCAGCAGCACTGTACCTAAGTGGGTAGGGGGGTGACGCCTAAAAGGAGTTTTTTGGTTTTGGGTTTTCTTTAAAAAAAAAAAAAAAAAAAAAAAGGTAATGACTTAGCCACGATACACGATACACAATAGCCAATGGCCTCCAAGTTTCCGCTGAGAAAACGAATAAAAGCAGAGACCACGTGGCAATGGGAGAGGGAGGAGTGAGCGGCAAACAGGTACTCAGAGGTTGTGGGTAACTGTGGGGAGGTTAGCACTGCTGTAATCAAGTACCACAAACCAGGTGGCTCAAACAGCAGAAATGTATTCCCTCGCAGTTCTGGAAGCCAGAAGTTCAAAAATCAAGGTGTCTGCAGGGCCGTGCTCCTTATGAAGGCTGGGGGAGGGGATCCCTCCTTGCCTCTTCCTAGCACAGCTTGCTCCGACCTTTGCCTCCATCGTGACATGGCCCTTCCTGCGTGTTGCTGTCACAACCTCCCTCTTCTCAGATGAACACCGATCACTGGATCAGGACCCACTCCAATCTAGTATGACCTCATCTTAACTAATTACATCAGCCAAAGACCATCTCCAAGTATGGCCACACACACAGCTACCAAGGTTAGGACTTGAACATACTATTTTGGGGGACACATTTCAACCCACAACACAGTCGTCCCTTAACCTTGTTCCTATAAGAACAAAGAGTGCAGAACTTAAATCATTCACTTGTTAATGTAATTATTACGTTCAATGACAGGCCAGGACACAGGCTTTCCCAAGGCCTTCTTTCTTCACAGATTTCCATGCAAAAAAAAAAAAAAAAGTGGTTTATTGAGGGTCATGCTTCAAGTTCTTAGTGAGGCAAGGCTGGAAGACAGCCTGATGTCATGCTCTGCAGAAACCCCAAGCGTACCATGAGCTACATCTGCACTCTCCAGGAGGCTGTGCCACTACTATGTTTTCAATCCTGATAATGCAATGTGGGCAATTCAACAATTAAAAACAGGCCCTGGCCAGGTGTGGTGGCTCATGCCCATAATCCCAGCACTCTGGGGGGCCGAGGCAGGAGGATCATTTAAGTCCAGGAGTTCAAAGACCAGCCTGGGCAGCAAAGTGAGACCCCATCTTTTTTTTTTTTTTTTTAAGACATGATCTCATTTTATCACCCAGGCTGGAGTGCAGTGGTACAATCTTGGCTCACTGCAACCTCTGCCTCCTGAGTTCAGGCAATTCTGCCTCAGCCTCCCGAGTAGCTGGGACTACAGGCGCACACCACCACACCCAGCTAGTTTTTGTATTTTTAGTAGAGATGGGGTTTCACCATGTTAGCCAGACTGGTCTCGAACTCCTGGCCTCAACTGATCCACCTGCCTCAGCCTCCCAAAGTGCTGGGATTACAGGCATGAGCCACCACACCAAACCTCTGAGACCCTATCTTTACCAAAAAAAAAAAAAAAAAAAAATTAGCCAGGTATGGTGGTGCATGCTTGTGGTCCCAGTTACACGAGAGGCTGAGTATGAGGCTGAGTATGCTCTCTTCCTATCAGGCCAACAACCACCGGCCTGAAGCAGCCGCATAGGTTCAAATGAGTTTCTCTGGTAAGATCACCATGGCTGGGGTTATATGGCAGTGAGACCAACGCAGGCAGGGGACCCGCACCTGACCCTGGCCCACTTGGAGTTACCCCAGAGTTACATGAGAGGCTGAGTAAGAGGATCATTTAAGACCAAGGTTCAAGGCCGCAGTAAGACATGTTTATGGCTGCTGCACTCTGGCCTGGGTAACAGAGTGAGACTTGGTCTAAAAACAAAAGCAAACAAAACAGGTTCTTACATTAAAACCCTGAGTTTACATTAAAACCCAGGCAGAGGACCCACACCTGACCCTGGCCCACTTGGAGGTGCCCCAGAGCCCCTGGCTTCTGGCTTTTCCCTTTATGAGTCAAGGACAAATGAAGTTTATTCTAGAAAATGCAGCTGGTCTGAAAGTGGCCAGTTTACTAGGGAACTATTTCAACTTTAACACACAGGGGTCCTTGGCAGGTTCCGAGCCAAATCCCAACAACATAAAATGAGTGGAAAGCAGCCTTACAAGCTTCCTCCCGATTCCGGAACACACTCCATCAAAGGCTCACCAAAATCCTTGCCAGTGCTGCCTCCTGGAGTCGGTCAGTGCTAGAAAGCACTTTAGGAAATGCAGCATAAGGCTGTGATGCCGGGAGGCTAGGACGTGGGACTCAAGTGCCAACTCCTGCTAACAGCAATGAGAGCCCAAGAAGGACCACGAGCCCCCTCTCTCTGACTTCTCCCAGGCTCCTTCGGCCATCACTCCAGCAGCTAAATCCTTCCTTCTGAAGTACACTCCGTGCTTTTGTTGTAAAACACTTTTAAGAAATATTTATAGGTCCTCCCCCAAAGAATCCTTCTTTTATATCTGAGAAGCTCAAAATGTGGCATCCCTTTAATCTCAAGGCACCAAACCTCAACACATAATTACACGCATGACCAACCAACCCCACGATCTGACTCAAGAGGGCTTCATCAATGCAATGAGCTCCCATGATGTCTAAGGGGACACCCATGCTTCTCAATGAGGCATTTAGGGCAAGTCGCTTCTACACTGTGTGGCTCCTGTCCAGCACACTGCAAAGGACAAGCAATCCTGGTCTTGGGCTTTAGTGACACCCTAAATGCCAGCACAAAGAGCCACACCACCTCGGCAGGCAGCACCACGCAGCGGGGTAGAAAGACTCAGCACACTCCTGGACCTGCCAAAGGTCAGGCTCAAGCTGGGGCAAGAATGGGTCAAAACCACAATCATGCGCTCCAGGGCTCACATCTGGTGACCAGGGGCCACCACTAGGATCCAGGGGTCTCTGCTCCTCGTATAGAGCAGACAGCCCCATAGCATCACTATCAACTCCTGCCTGCTGCAATCACGTCTTCCCTGGATGGAAGGAACATTTCATGTCTCCTAAAGACTGCGTTAATATGTTGGGTTGCTGAAGGACATCAACACTCAGGCCTTAAGAATTTCCTGGGGTGAACACAGAATAATAAAACCTCCCCGGGTGCTAATTCAACAATCATAGTCCAGTTTTCTTCTTCCAGGTTTCAATTTTTGACACCAATCATTGTGATGTTTGAGAATGTCCCCGTGACTGCAGGATCTCCATGGTAACCTTGTTATTTTCTTTCTTTCTTTTTTTTTGAAGATGGAATCTCGCTCTGTTGCCCAGGCTGGAGTGCAGTAGCACGATCTCGGCTCACTGCAACCTCCACTTTCCGGGTTCAAGCAATTCTCTGCCTCAGCCTCTTGAGTAGCTGGGATTACAGGCATGCACCACTACACCCGGCTAATTTTTTGTATTTTAGCAGAGACGGAATTTCACCACGTTGCCCAGGCTGGTCTTGAACTCCTGAGTTCAGGCAATCTGCCTGCTTTGGCCTCCCAAAGTGTGGGATTACAGGCATGAGCCACTGTACCCAGCCTATTTTCTTTTTAAATGGCCTCCTGGAATATATTTCCACCAGTTTCACACTCAATCCATTAAAAAAAAAAAAAAAAGAACAATATAAACAATCTTCTTCATGATTGAATTCTTAAAAAGCTGGGGACAAAGACCAAGCTGGAAGTCCTGCACCTCCACTGAACAGTGTGCAACCTCCAAGTCTCCATCTCTTTCACCCTCCATCTTTTTTTTTTTTTGAGACGGAGTTTCGCTCTTGTCACCCAGGCTAGAGAGCAATGGCATGATCTCAGCTCACTGTAACCTCTGCCTCCCAGGTTCAAGTGATTCTCCTGCCTCAGCCTCCCAAGTAGCTGGGATTACAGGCACCTACCACCATGCCCGGCATTTTTTTTTTTTTTTTTTTTTTTTTGCTTGAGATGGGGTTTCACCATGTTGGCCAGGCTAGTCTCGAACTCCTGACCTCAGGTGATCCACCGACCTATGCCTCCCAAAGCAGTCTCTGTTTCTTAAAAAGCCTCCACTCCACACCTCACGGGATTACTGTAAGGATCAGAGTGTGCAATAATATACACAAAAGTGCTTTGTAAACTGTCAAGCCATGTGGTAAACACAGCAGTCACAAGTTATTCACCATACAAGGAGCAGGGCCACATTACACCCTAAGGTCGAGAGCAAGAACCCACTGCTCAGAGACAGGATGATCACCTCTCATGCCAGGTCAGATAACATCCTCTCTAGATTTTTTTCTCTTTCCACCTTGAACTCAAGCTGTGTGATTTCATTCACTGTTGCAATTGCTGACTGTCATCTAAGTGCCACTGTCAAAACATTAGAGGCCAAAGAAGTCAAAAAGAACTAAACACAAAAAGATAGCTATCAGCAGGTAACAAAACCATTCTCAATAAACTCAGCTTCAAGAACTCCTGTACATGAAAATGCCCATAGTCAGGCACAAGTAGCTGTTTTTTCATATGTTAATGTCATTTATTCTAAGAGAGAAGCACTCTCAGATACACTCGACTCTACCTCTAGAAGACACTAGAATGGTGGAGTAGAAAGCGCACCCTCCCCAACCCTCCCTCCCCCACTGCCTCCAACAAGCACCGAGGGAAAAGCCAGCACTGCCACTGTGAAGGAGATGCAAGAAAATGAAGAAATCAACCCGACAAAATGTAAGCGGCCGGCACGTCTTCATTCTCACCACTAATGATGGGGAGAACAGTATGGCGGTTCTTCTCAAAGTCAAATACAATTACCTTTCCAAGCAACCACTCAGCTCCTAAGGATATACTCCAAAGAGGTGAAAATGGCAACTCAAGCAAATCCCTGTACACGCACGTTCATAGCTGCATGGTTCCCTGTAGCCAAAAGATGGACACAAACGCCCATCAACAGATGAATGAATAAACAAAATGTGGTCCCTCCATACAATGAAATATCATTCAGCTGTAGAAAGAAATGAGGCACCAATGCATGCTACCACCCTCGATGAATCTCAAAAACATTATATTAAGGGAAAGAACCCAGTCACAGAAGGCCACATGTTGTATGGTTCTGTTTATATGAAATGTCCAGAATGGGCAAACCCACAGAAACAGAAGACTGGCGGTCGTCAGGTGCTAGGGAGAGGGGGAAATGGGCAATGACTGCTGAAGAACATGGGGTTTCCCCTGGGCGGGGGTGATGAAATTGTTTTGGAACTAGACGGGTGGGTGGTTACACCATGTGGTGCATACGCTAAGTAAGTGTTCACTTTTTTTTTTTTTTTGAGATGGAGTCTCGCTCTGTTGCCCAGGCTGGAGTGCAGTGGTGCCATCTCCACTCACTGCAAGCTCCTCCTCCTGGGTTCACGCCATTCTCCTGTGTCAGCCTCCCGAGTAGCTGGGACTACAGGTGCCCACCACCACGCCCGGCTAATTTCTTTGTATTTTTAGTAGAGACGGGGTTTCACTGTGTTAGCCAGGATGGTCTCGATCTCCTGACCTCGTGATCTGCCCGCCTAGGCCTCCCAAAGTGCTGGGATTACAGGTGTGAGCCACCACGCCTGGCCAAGTGTTCACTTTTAAATGCTTAACTTTATGTTATGTAAATTTTGCCTCAATATTTTTTAACGACAACAACAAAAGAGCCAAGTCGCCCCCTGGGATTGCAACCCACAGCTGTATTGATCATGCCCAAATAAGGTTTGTTTTGTTTTAACAAAAAGGCTGGAGACCTCAGGGCATGGGAAGGACAGTGAAAGGTTACGTCACACCAGGAAGGATTAAAGCAAAAGTGTCGCCTGGTAAACTGAGCCCGGCTCTGCAGAAGCCAGCTGGGCATAAATAGAACTGCCTTTCATTTCTGAAGCCCTCAGTGGGCAGGGGCTGACACAGTGCGCCCTTATACGAAAGTTTTACGACAGTAAACCAGCCACAAAAATGAGCGCTCCACTGTGACACAAGCTGGGGAAGGCTGCTTCATGGTGATAATTTGGTTTCCTGGTTTTCTTTCCAAGATGATTCAACTGGGTACCTTTTAACTTTAGCCAGTAATAAGAAAACCCTTAATTCTTCTAAGACTTAGACTAGCAAAGAGAAAGAAACAGAAGTAATTCAAATTACATATCTATATCCGTCTGTGTGACTGACAGCTAGAGGGACAGGCAGATAGGTAGACAAAGGTAAAATTTTGACCCTCAACAGTGAAAAACTATTGGGCTATACACAAATGTTTATTTAAATAGCTTATTGTAAAAAAAAAATTTTTTTTTTTTTTTTGAGACTGAGTCTCGCTGTATTGCCCAGGCTGGAGTGCAGTGGCACAATGTCGGCTTACTGCAACCTCCGCCTCCTGGGTTCAAGCAATTCTCCTGCCTCAGCCTCCCAAGTAGCTGGGATTACAGGTGCACACCACCACATCCAGCTAATTTTTTTGTATTTTTAGTAGAGACGAGGTTTCACCATGTTGCCCAGGCTGGTCTCAAACTCCTGACCTCAAGTGATCCGCCTGCCTCAGCCTCCCAAAGTGCTGGGGTGGCATAAGCCACTGCGTCCAGTCTGTAATTTTTTAAACTGTGGCAAAATACACACAAAATGCATCATTCTACCCACTTTTAAGTGTGCAGCTCAGTGGCACTAAGTACATTCACACTGGCACATGCTTACCATCATTTTTAAAGGTCTTAATCATGTCACTGACTTCTCCCAGGACACCTGGGGGCAGGTAAGGGGAACAGGCATTGTGGTTCTTAGGTTGTAGTTTGAGGAGAGGTCAGGTCCTTGTCAACAAAGGTGTGGGGGCACAGTGCAGGTAGGAGACGGGCACCGTGGAGCTCAGGCTGGCTCTGACAGTGGCAGTTTCATGACATGGGGGGCTCAGCTCCAACCTTGGTGGCCAAGTCCTTTATAGCTCTACTGGTCAATGGTGGTCCCAGAACTGAGGCTCGCCCTGGAACTCTTGTCTCTGCTCCCAATCACGCTCGGACCCTCAGACCAGCAGGCAGGATAACAGTGGTACCCAGCTCCTCACGAGGGGAAGTCCTGATGGCGGGACCAGCACACGCAGGCACCTGGATGGTGTCGGGTGCGATCCAGACCCCCTGTGCAGACACTGCTCCCTTGTCTGCATCAGGAGCCTCAACAAACAGCCCCGCTCAGACCAGGCTCAGTGTTTGGTTTTTTTCATCCGTACAAAGGCGAACTATCAGGTCCCAGCGAGCAGACATGGGCCTTTTGTGCAGCGCTGAAGGAGGGATTACATTTCAGGAATAGCAAACCTACTCTCTCTCCCGGGGGAGGCCAGCAGACAAGCCTGTGTTGAATGCACTTTTTGTTTACTGGCTCAATCAGCCAAGCCTTCGAGGGGATGACGACACACACGTTCCACTCGGCGAATGTTCCGAATGCTCAGAGTTAACTGCCCAAACAAAAATAACCGGGGGAAGAACCATGTAGTCAGGCAGCCACACAGCCATGCTCCGGGCAGCAAGGGACTCTCAGCTCCCACCGACTCCAGCAAGCGACCAGGGACACAGGAGCTTCCGATCATTTCCAAACAAACACAGGACTCTGCTCCAAGCAGGCATTCAGCGAGAGGCAGTGTCTCATCTGGCAAAGGCTTTGGGCAGAAGGTCAAGAGAATGGGGTTTTAATCAAAACCCTAAGGCCGTGGTGCCCAATACAGTAGCTCCAGCCACAGGTGCTACTGAGCACTAAAATGTGGCCGAATTGAAATGTGCGATGAATGAACATTACACAGCACCACCCAAAGCATCAGTACCAAACAGGATTATAGCAAACCTCGTCCACAAATTCCAGATAATTGCAATGAAAGGATAATATTTTGGATATGTTGGATTAAACAGTTTATTAAAATTAATTTCATCTGTTTCTTTTATTTTTTCTAATGTAGCTAGTAGAAAACTTTAAATGACGTATGTGGCTGGCATTCTACTTCCACTGGACAGAGGTACAAGGGGGTTCAGGAAGGCCTGATATTTCAGGACAACAGAAATGCTTTTCTTGGTGAAGATGCAGAGGTAGAGTTTGGCATTTGGGGTATGGAGGGAAGATGGATACCTGTGGAAGGAGGGGAAGAAGCAGAACTGGCCAGAGAGAGGCTGAACTGCCAGGCAAACCTGAGGCCATCTCGCCAACCCAACAGGGAGCAATGGAGAGGCCATTAGAATTGTCCCATGATGGGTCCAGATGGCCCCACCTTTCTGCCCTTCACACCCTGGAAGAACAGTCACGGGAAGAGGGTCTGACAGGATGTACCCTTACGCTGGGCATCTCTCCATGAGGAGCTGCAGCTAATGATGCTCCCAGCAGCAGGGGCGACAGTCCTCCCTCAGAGGGGGCCCAGGCCAAGGCATCCCCCTCCTCTCTAGAGTTCCACCTTCTTGCCTGCGGGACTCGAACCTGCCCTCAACGGCCCCTGAGGTTCTAGCAGCCTTTAGGGCACAGCACGACCACTTGGGAACACTGCAGTCAACCAATACCTGCAACAAAGTTCTTAAAACCAGCTGCAGTGAGTCACCTCATTAAAATCAGGCAATGCTTCCAGCACACGGAGAGGAGATATTCCCCAAGCACCACCTGCCTGGTGACCAGAATATACCATACTCGTCAAACTTCAGGGGAAACAGCAAATGAGGACACAGCGCACTGAGAAGCACGTGCTGAGTACAACACACACAAAAATAATCAATGCATTAGCTTCTAGTGAACCAGGTTAACAACTTCTGGCCCCCAAACACTTTTATAGAAAAGACTGGAGAGTAAAACGAATATGGTGACTGACAAACTGGACAAAGACTCATAGCACAGAGGCGACCAAAGCCCCTATCCTACCTTTGCCACTGGGGAACCTGAGGCCCAGGGTTGCGCCAGGTATGGACCCAGCCTCCTGCCTGGTGCCCTCCCAGCCTGGTGGCTCCTCCTGTTGCAACCGGGCTCTGGGGAGCGACAAATCACCCACAGTTGGTCTCTGCCACACAGCGGCTTATCACAGGCTGTGCACGGACAGTGACACCCAGAGAGGCTTAGGTCCCTAGGACAAGGGAAAGGTATCCAAGAAGTTATGTGAGGGGACAACACGTCTCATAAAAATGCCACTTTTTTTTCACATCATCTTCTTTTGAAAACAGAACAGAAGGGAATGTCTTATCTGATGTCGACAGCAGACAATTCAATGGAGACAGACTTCCCTCCCCAATCTCAGTAAAGAGGTGGTTATTTTACGGAAAGAAAAAGGACACCAGAAACAGAAGAAAGACACATCTCCATTTACTTGAAAAGAAAAAAGCTGAAAAGAACCTTTGCAATAAAAAAGTGTTATAATTTTAGGCATGCAAACCTGTGCGTTCACACCTTTCCCTACGGCAGCCCTTTCTCCCAGGTTCCAGGAGTAGAGCCCAGGGCGCATGTCTGAGTTTGTCTCTGGATACTAGTGTCAAACACCTGGCCACCCGTGAGCACAGCTCACGGAGGAGGCAGAGCAACAGGACAAACGGGTATCTGAAGATATCATTCAACAGCCTAGAATCACACTGGTCCTTAAAGGAGAAAGCCTTCCAGTTTCCTCGGCTCAGCTTTTCCCAAACTTCATGCACCACCTTTGTGGCTTCTGCCACATTCAAAGACCACCTAAACTATCACCTACTTCAACTCTCTTCAACTTTAAATTCTTTCAAATCTTAAGTTTATCCTAAGTATTAATATTTATGAACTCACACCTTTGGTGTCTTTTTAATACACATTAAAACATATACAAATAATCAACAAACATGACATGTAATTTAGGAATTTTGGAAACACTCATCATATCAAGCTACATTTTGTACAACTATTGAGCAGCTGGAAAAATAGCCACAAATCCAACCACCATCTCTTTATTCTCAATGTCACCTTTTTTTTTGGTTTGTTGTTTTTGTTTTTTCGAGACAGGATCTCACTCTGTCACCCAGGCTGGAGTGCAGTGGTACGATCGTGGCTCACTGCACCCTCAACTTCCCAAGCTCCAGCGATCATCCCACCTCAGCCTCCCATGTACCTGGGACCATAGGTGTCTGCCTCCATGCCTCGCTGATTTTTGTATGTTTGGAAGAGTCAGGGCTTTGCCATGTTGCCTAGGCTGGTGTCGAACTCCTGAGCTCAAGTGATCCATTTGCCTCGGCCTCCCTAAGTGCTAGAATTACACGCGTGCTCCACTGCGCCCAGCCTCAACAAAGTTTAGATTCTAAACCAAAGGTCTCAGAAAATATTCAAAATTAGTTATTTGGTCTTGTGTGATTTTCTTTCTTTTATTTTTCTCGTTCATTCCCTCCTGGTGTACTTGGTCCATTATTCCTCTTAATACAGTCTCTTTAAAAAGCAAAAGACCTTCCTTTTAGGGGTCAAATGCACATGACTATTCATTAACTGTCGCACAGAACCAAAAAGGACCTAAAAGAACACTGCTTGACTTTTTGAACAGCCTGGTAAAAACTATCAAATCAAGGAAACCAAAGACTTCAGTGGTGGGAAGTGTTTAAAGAGATTTAAAGGTATAATCTGATCACAGCTATTAAAAGAGAAACTACACTGCCAAAAAGGGCTCTTCCCAGTGGCTGAGATTTACTTTATCAGATAATGCACCTTCACTAATTACATTTCGTTATACAGTTTATGCATTTAGCAAAGAAGAAAAAATGCTTCACACATACAATTAAATCAATCCATTGAGGCCTTTCCCTTAAGGTAAGGGAACATTTTCAGCTTTTCTGTTCGGAAGATTTTAATGCCTGATGGCAGGAGTGGGGGTGGATCTCAGAGGCGTTTTTAGGATGATTATCCAAACAACCTGAAAGAGTCCGTCCAGGCCCAGATGCTTCAGGTGCCAGAATGCAGTCACAGCTGAATGCCCAGCTGGGCCTGAGTGCTGCTAATGAAGCTGATGACAACTTTTAGGTGATGTCCCTGCAGGCTGTGGACCTCAGATAGGACAGGCCCCAAGGCACCCAGGCCCTGCCTCCCTGACCAGCTAACAGTCAGGGTCTGGTGAAGCCAGTGGGCTCCTGGCCAACACAGGAAGGGAGGGGTCAATAAAAAGGTTGTGCGACAGCAGGGGAAAGCTGAACAGAATGCCAACCCGCTGGGAGGCTCTGCCAGGAGCCAGCCCCAGCCATGAATACACGGGGTCTCCAGCCTCTCAGCTGGCCAGGCTCAGCACTGGGGTGAGGCAAGCATTTGGATTTAGGAATGCACATTCCATGTGGTAACAGCTATCCTGACCAGCCACCCCTGACCTGACTCTCCAGATGAGCCGGGGCACACCTGCCAAGCCCACCTGCTGGTGATGGGGCGCACTCATGGGGCGCACTCATGCCGTTTGCAGAGACCAGAATTCTGTCCTCCAGTGTCAGCAGTGTTGTTGCCACACTTTCTTCCATACGCTTCCTTCTAACTATTATCACATCACTTAAATATCACACAAATCGATGAAATGGGAGTTTTAATAATAGTAACTATAATGACATCATTTGATTAAACATTATACACACTGACTAAATAAGAATTTAAATAAGAGGACTTTTTCCTATGAAAATTAAGTTGAATGTTTTGGTAAGTCTCAATGAAACAAGCTGCTTTAAAAAACAAAAAATGTAAGTACGTGTGGGTAAGACAATTTTAAAGATGGAGCAGCAGCCGGGTGCAGGGACACACACCTGTAATCCCAGCACTTTGAGGGGCTAAGGATCACTTCAGCCCAAGAATTTGAGACCAGCCTAGGCAACAAAGTAAAACCCTGTCTCTACAAAGAAGTAAAAAAGTAACCAGGCATGGTGGTACATGCCTGTGGCCCAGCTACTCTAGGAGCACTTGAGCCCAGGAGATCCAGGGTGCAGGGAGCTGTCTGTGCCACTGCAATGCAGCCTGGGTAACAGAGTGAGATTCTATCTTTAAAAAAAAAAAAAAGGAAGAAGAAGAAGAAAGAAGAAAGAAGAAAGAAGAAAGAAGAAAGAAGAAGAAGAAGAAGAAGAAGAAGAAGAAGAAGAAGAAGAAGAAGAAGAAGAAGAAGAAGAAGAAGAAGAAGAAGAAGAAGAAAAAAGATGGAGCAATCGGGGAGTCTGACAGCAACTCTCGTGCTGCTTCTCATTCACGTTCTAAAAGGAGTCTCAGGCAGAATGTCTGCTTGCCTGCCCCCAACACCAGGAGCTCCCGCAGCCGAGCTGGTCCTGTTCACATGTGTAGCCTCACTCAGAGCTGGGCACACGCTGAGCACACAGTAGGTCCTCCTTTGTGGGGCTGAAGTCAGTGTGATGCACACAACGGCCTGCCAGAGCAGGAAGACTCTAAGGGCAGCTGCTGTGGCATTCCAAATGGAGGGGTGACTTCTAGCCAAGGTGATGGGGAAGTTGGCCACTATTTTCTGGAGAGGTGAGATTTTAGCTGGGGCAGAAGCCCAGGTGCAGAGAAGTGGGCAGGAAGCCCCTATAGGAGGGACTTCAGAGATGAAAACAGCAAGAGAGATGATGAGCAGGGGTGGCAGGACCTGTGGGGTATGGTGCAAAGGACGCAGGAGGCAGGACATCTAGAGGACAGAGGAGCACCTGCGGGGGAAGGGTGGTGGTGCCCAGTGGTGGAACCTGCTGATGGATATCACCCCCACTGCCTGAAGAACTACCCCACCAGTGCACAGCAACAGTGAGGTGCCACTGATGGGGCTCAGCCACCCCATGCCTGGTGCCAAATGCACTCAAATACCACTCCTGAAATTATGTGCATCTAGAAAGTCCTAAGTCACACAGCCATGCTGAGCTGCAAGCGGGGGTCAAGAGTCAGCTGACACACACACAGGGCACGGCACGCAATCTCCCCCCACCCTCAAGGGCTCTCAGTAATGCCACCTGGTAACACTTTCTTCATTGCATTTGCCAAGCAAAGCTCAATAAAGTTCAGACCCAAATTAGAGGCTAAGCCCCCAAAGCCAGGAGCAGAGCTGTGAGCTTTGAAAATCAGGTTGGATGTTTTAAGAAGTTTCAATAAAGACGAGCTGCTTCAAAAAAAAAAAAAAAAAGTGTGTGTGTGTGTGTGTGTGTGTGTGTATACATATATATGTATACACACACACACACACACACACACACAAAGTGTGGGCAAGACAACTTTAAAGATGGAGCAGCAGCTGGATGTGGTGGCAAACGCCTGTAGTCCCAGCACTTTGGGAGGCCAAGATTGGAGGACCATTTGAGCCTAGGAGTTTGAGACCAGCCTGGGCTACAAAGTGAGACCCTTTTGGAGGGCCACTCTGTTGGGGAAGTGAAGCCCCTTTCCCTTCATTGAGCACTGACTATATACTACAGCGTCTGCCTCTTCCCTTTCAGCAAGCCATATCCCAGGTGAGTTGCCTTTAATATGAAAATTCACAATTTCCCTGTAACACAAAGGGCTACCCAGGAAATAAGTATTGGAAAAGAACCAAGGAAATGGGTTTAGATACAAAGGAAGTGTAGGTGGTTAATATTTTAACCTTAGCTGAACAAGCACTGGCCAACAGAACCTCTCAGCCGTGACAGAAACCTTTCACTATCTGTGTGGTCCAATAAGGCAGCCATCAGCAGCACATGGCTGTCAGGCCTGGAAAACGTGGCTAGTGTGCCCAAGGAACTGAATCTTTCATTTCACTTAAATTTAGCCACAAGTGGCCTGTGGCTACCATACTGGAGGATATACAGCTACAGCACATAGAGACAATCATTCATAAAATGTTTTACTATGCATAAGACACTGATATGGTGTGAATCCTTGTCCCCATCCCAAACCTCATGTCGAACGGTAACCCCCAGTGTTGGAGGTGGGGCCTGGTGGGAGGTGACTGGATCATGGGGTGGATCCTTCATGAATGGCTGAGCACCGTCCCCTTGGTGCTGTTCCTGTGATAAGGAGTTCTCACGAGATTTGGTTGTTTACAAGTGTGTGGCACAGCCCCCTGCAACCCCTCTCTTACTCCTACTCCAACCATGTGAAACGTGGGCTTCCCCTTTGCCTTCCGCCATGATTGTAAGTTCCCTGAGGCCACCCTGAAGCTGAGCAAATGGTGCCACGCTTCCTGTACAGCCTGCAGAACTGTGAGCCAGTTAAACCTCTTTTCTTTATAAATTACCCAGTCTCAGGTATTCCTTTATAGCCGTGTGAGAACAGTTGAATGCAGATACCTGAGATTCCTCGAGCAGCAGTACTTGCCAGGCACCGGCCTAATCACCTACACGTAGTGTCACACCAAATCCTGATAAAATGTTTTCAGATGTTTGCCATTATCTCCACTTCATAGAGGAAGAAACCGAGGCTCAAGGAAGCTGGAACCTAAATGGTCTTTGGATTTAAAAGAATCTTGGGACACCCAGAGAAACTTAATTTTAAAAAACTAGTCTCTAATGCCGAGGCCAAAGAGCAGCACTGAAACCACCACCAAACACACCTAGCAAGTGATCAAAGGAATGCTCGATGAGGGCACCTGCTTCTTCTGAAAGTCTCTGCAAAGAAAGACAGGAACGGGAGGCTGCCTTTACATGGAATGTGCTTCCCACATTAAAAGGGACCCAAGCATATTTGTGTGATAAGTCTTTGTCCTCTTTTTAAGCAGGACTCTCTCACACATTATAACAAGATAATGATCTGGCTTTAACATTCCTTTTGGCCAGCAAGAGGGAGACCAGCATTAAGCAATCTGTTGTTTTCTTGAAAGGAACCTCCTGCCCCTACCTAGGCCCCATAAATAAATGGCTTCCTAATGGAGGCAGGGGCTTGTAGGTGGCAACAGCCGCTAGCCGGGGACTGCTCAAGCCTTCTCCACCAGGGCAGAAGCACCGATCACTGCTTTAGGAAGAAGAAATGTAACAACTCCTTCTCATGGAACTGGGCACAGCAAGTAAAGCAAAGGCTAGGGGGAAGCCTGGGAACTCCCTGTGAAGAAAATGAAAATAATTTCCCTTTGATTCCGTCTTCAAAAAGAAAAACCAAAACTGAAAGAAACAGAGAGAAGGAAAGAAAAAGAGAACTGAGAAGAGTTAACAAAGACGACAGGCGCTGCAAATAATTTGGATCCCGGGCCAGTCACACCATGTTTTCCTTAGATATACAACTCTGGTTTTCGTGTTCAATTCTATAAACATTCTAAATTTTTGCTGTTTTCACTAAACAAGTAAAGAGACCAGCAATCGGAAAAACAATAGCATCCACTTTCAGCTACTGATTGGCAATGGGGATTTGGGAGAACTCCAGAGAGCCTAAGAAATAAAAACTACCCAAGGCTCGGTCTCAGAACCTACAGGTTCCATAGAAAGACCTGCATCTCCTGTGAGGGGCAAAACCCAGAAAGGGTTTGGCAAAGGTGTAAGACTACAAACCCTCACACAGGGGCACAGTGAACACACCCTACCTGGGCACAGCCCCTCCAGGGATGTCCTTCGAATCCTCCAAACCTATCCACAGGAAGGTTTGCTCACAGACCATGCTCACATGGGCAGAGGGCAGAATTCGGGGCTCAGAGGTACAAGAGGCCAGGTTTGCTTTCCATTTTGCCCTTTACTGCCTATAGAGCCACCAAAAGTCTCTCTGTGCCTAAGTTTCCCTATCTGTAAAACTGAATCCCGAAGCCTACTTTGGAAGGCTGCTAGGAAGATTCAAGGATAACATACACAAGGGGACACCTGGCCAGGAGAGGCACCCACTCGGGGTCATGTACTTCCTCCAAGATCCTTTTTTTTGAGATGGTGTCTCGCTCTGTCGCCCAGGCTGGAGTGCAATGGCGTGATCTTGGGTCACTACAACCTCCGCCTCCTGGGTTCAAGCGATTCTCCTGCCTCAGCCTCCCAAGTAGCTGGGACTACAGGCGCCCGCCACCACACCCAGCTAATTTTTATACTTTTAATAGAGACGGGTTTCCGCCATGTTGGCCAGGATGGTCTCTGACAACGTGAGGGAAACTGAATCATGGGTCCCCCAAAATGTCCATGTCCCAACACCCAGAACCTATGAATACGCTGCCATATCCTTATATGGCAAAAGGAACTTTGCTGGTGTGATTAAATTAATGGCATTGAGGTGAGGGTGTCTTGAACTATCCAGGTGGGTTCAATGTAATCACAGGCATCCTTCTAAGAAAAAGCAGTAAAGCTAGGGGACAACATGATGATAGAGCAGAGGTGAGAGGTCAGAAGATGCTCCATCCGCTGCTGCCTTTCAGGATGAAGGATGGGCCCACAAGCCAAGGACTGCAGGTGGCTTCTGGATGCTAGAAAAGGGAAGGAAATGGATTCTCCCTGCACCCTCTAGAAAGAACACAGCTTTGTGGATGCATTTAAGGACTTCTGACCTCAAAGAGAATGACGTGTGCTGTTTTTCACCACTAAGTATGTTGTAATCTGTTACAGCAGCAGCAAGAAATAACTGCAATTGCTTCCTTTTACAACCGGCACTGAGCCAGCAGCGATCCACATCCTCCTCCAACACATACACAGCTTCTCCTTCCTGCCGTCTGGGTCTCGGTTCTGCCACGAGTCCATGTCCATCCCACGCATGCATGCCAGGTGCCCGCCACATGCTAAGTGCTAGCGGCTTTAGGACATGGCTTCACTTCATCAAGGAGCTTCAGTTTCTTTCTCCATAAAACGGAGAAAAACTCTGGTTCAACAGGTTGTTGCATCAACAGAGTAAGAGAACGGGCGTCCATGCTCCGCAAAGTGCCTGGCCCACAGCAGGCAGCCCACGAACAGCAGCAGCTCGGATCCCACAGAGCTGCTCATCAACCTGCAAGCACGCCTTTGCCCTCAAGTTAGCTGGCGGGGCATCACCAAGCCCAGTAAGGAATGACCTCCATGTGGGCCTCGATCTGACAACCTGCCACCTTCAGGGGCCTCCTTTCATGGAGGCTGCAGCTCAGGATGCTGTCCAGGGTCCCTGAGGGCACTAGAGACATCACGAGGTCAGTGTGGGAATCCCCACTGAGTCAGAGCCCCAGAGACTGAAGGGAACTGGCAGTGTCACCCAGCCCACACAACCTCCCAGAGGGCATATACCTGGCATTTCTTACATACCAGCAAGGATGCTGGCTCCAAAGCCACCTTCCAGAAATGTCTCAGTTCTGCGCCAGTGCATCCTCTAGTGCACAGCCCTCCTGTTTTCAAGCCCCTCCGCATATTGAGAGGCCACTGTCACCTTCCCCCTTTCCACCTTCATCTTTGTCCTTTCCTCTCTCCTCTCCCACTTCCCCTACAGGCCCAGACCCCTTGGCTTCCTCAGCCGCCCCCCACAGTGGACAATTCCCACCCTGCCCACCCCCCAGTGCCACGTTCCTCCTGGCCACCACCATCAGATGCTCTTCCCCTGCAGCCCCTTCTCCCCACCACTCCCTAGACCTCTAAATAGTCCACCAGTCCCACAGTATGCGACCGGCTGGGAAGCAGGTTGAAAACACACCTGGGTTCACAGCTCCCCAGCTGCATACTGGCACAGACCTGAGACCCATGAAAAGACAGCTCCCATACAGATGGACAGCGCAAGAACAGACACGGGGAGAAGCAAGGCTGCAGGTGTGGGTAGGGAGCTGTAGAACCTCTCCCAGGGACAGTGACTGGGGCTTGCAGAGGATGACCAGGCAGGTGCTCAAGCTAAATGACGCCCAGGGCCCATCTCCCAGCTGAGGGCAGGGCCCTTTGGGGCTCTGGAAGGGAAGGCCATGGGCCAGCTGAGGGCAGAGCAGTCCTCTCTCATGAACAAACACCGCTCCGCCTTTTCCCATTCTCATATCTGAACATCCTTCCAGCTGAAACCAGGACAGGAAAGAAGAGAGGCAAAGACATCCGACCCGCACATCCAAGCTCTAGGCACACCCTCTGCCAAGGGCTGCCCGCTGGCCTGGGGGTGGGCACACTGCCAGTGTGCTCCCTTTAGGGGGACAGACCTGTGGGAGAGGTCCACACAGTCCCCGCAACCAGGCTCAAGCTTGTACTGGGGTGAATAGTGTCCTCCCAAAATTCACACCCACCCAGAAGACACATGCCGGGAAGAGGGCACGTGATAACAGAAGCAGAGACTGGAGTGATGCAGCTGGATGGGACACCAAGGATTGCCAGGGGCCACCAGAGGCCGGAAAAGGCTAGGAGGAATCCTGCTCTATCCTCTGGAGGGAGCACAGCTCTGGGCACACCTTGATCCTGGGCTTCAGGCCTCCAGAACTGTAAAAGAATGATGTTCTGTTGTTTTAAGCCACCTAGTTTGTGGCTGTTACGGCAGCCACAGGAAACTAACACGGGGCCCCCTTCAGGCAGGGAAATCTAGGGTCCACTCATGTTAACCCCAACAACTTCCTGCCTGAATATGCATCCTGTGTTCCTCGAACAGCCTCTCCCCGGTCCCGGCTGGTCCTGCGGCATGAGGAAGGTGTCAGGCATACAACATAAATAAGAGAGGCAGGAGACAGACCTGCCCACTCACAGCACTGGTCATCTAGTCCTCTGTTCCATAAAATAAAGTGCTGGCCAAAACGTACGGCGCACTGATGATTTGTGCTTTTCACTGTTTATGAATGCTTATCTGGAAATAAAAAAACAAAACAGTAAATCAATATTGATCTCGAGTTAATAATAGCAGCTATGCATGCGGCAGTCCTTCAGTCTGCCGTTGACTTTGCAATGCATTGAAAAATAATACAAGGCCGGGCGTGATGGCTTATATCTGTAATCCCAACACTTTAGGAGGCCAAGGCAGTTCGAGACCAGCCTGACAAACATGGAGAAACTCCGTCTGTACTAAAAATACAAAATTAGCCAGGCGTGGTGGCGCATGCCTGTAATCCCAGCTACTTGGGAGGCTGAGGGAGCAGAATCACTTGAATCCGGGAGGCAGAGGTTGCAGTGAGCCGAGGTTGCGCCACTGCACTCTAGCCTGGGCGACAGAGTGAAACTCCACCTCAAATAATAATAATAATAATAAATCGAGGAATGGACAAATGAAAGATGACACAAGCAGAGGGAAATATTGTTTACAGAATCTTGGCAATCAGTGTACAAGTACTCACTATAAAATTATTTCCACTTTTCTGTATGAAATTTTTCATAATGAAATGTTGTAAAACAATAGTTTAGTGGCAAAACATTCTTTAACAGTTTCTTAATATCTTGGGAGATTGAGGTGGACAAATTGCCCACCAGCCTGGGCAACATGGTAAAACCCTGTCTCTATCAAAATAAAAAATGAGCCTGGCGTGGTGGCGTGCACCTGTAGTTCCAACTACTCAGGCGGCTGAGGTGGGAGAGTGGTTTGAGCCTGGGAGGCAGAGGTTGCAGTGAGCAGAAATCATGCCACTACACTCCACCCCGGGTGACAGAGCCGACCCTGTCTCAAAAAAAATACAAAAAGTCTTTTAATGTCAATGACATGAGAAGCTTTTGGTATTGACACTTTATAGCAGGTCTTTTAAGAGTATTTTCATCACAAATAACTAATGAGGTAAAGCACCTTCATAATAACATTCACACACAGGAATCCCTGGTTAGTTCCTGTGAGCCCCGCCCCACCTTTCGTAGGTCACACTGTTAATTATGCTGGGTAGGCATGAGTGGTGTAACTGCACAGGCAACAATGCAGATGAGAACCCTAAGATGAACTTGTTAAAGTACCCCCTTCATTCCTATAAAACAGATACCACAAAGCTAAGTGGGACCTCTTCACCTTGGTTTAAAATGCTGACAAGGGACAAAGAGTGTCATGTGGCATGGGGCCAATGCCAGGCTGCTCCTGGCTCATACCTGGCCCTGCGAAGATGCTCCTGGCTCACACCTGGCCCTGGGAGGATGCTCCTGGCTCACACCTGGCCCTGGGAGGATGCTCCTGGCTCACACCTGGCCGTGGGTGGTGGTCCAGGCTCACACCTGGCTGTGAGTGCTGGTCCAGGCTCACACCTGGCCATGGGTGGTGGTTCAAATTCACAGCTGACCGTGGGTGGTGGTCCAGGCTCACACCTGGCCCTGGGTGGTGGTCCAGGCTCACACATGACCCTGTGAGGATGACCCTGGCTTACACCTGGCCCTGGGAGGATGATCCTGGCTCACACCTGGCCATGGGTGGTGGTCTAGACCCACAGCTGGCCGTGAGTGGTGGTTCAGGCTCATACCTTGGCTCTGGGTGCTGGTCCAGGCTCACACCTGGCCCTGGGTGGTGGTCCAGGCTCACACCTGGCCGTGGGTGCTGGTCCAGGCTCACACCTGGCCGTGGGTGCTGGTCCAGGCTCACACCTGGCCGTGGGTGCTGGTCCAGGCTCACACCTGGCCCTGGGTGCTGGTCCAGGCTCACACCTGGCCCTGGGTGGTGGTCCAGGCTCACACCTGACCCTGGGTGGTGGTCCAGGCTCACACCTGGCCCTGGGTGGTGGTCCAGGCTCACACCTGGCCCTGGGTGGTGGTCCAGGCTCACACCTGGCTGTGGGTGCTGGTCCAGGCTCACAACTGGCCCTGTGTCAGGCTCAAGGCAGGCAGGCCCTCAACTACATGTGAACTGGATGAAAAGTGGAAGAACCTTAAATTTAGGAGTAGCACTTGAAGATATACTCAGAAGTATAGATGGCTCCATGGAATTTGCAGGGAGCTAGTCTCGGTTATTTGGCCTGAGCAACTAAAATCCTTCCCCCACCGAAGGCACCTGGAGGCCTCCCTGGCCTACTGTACGGCAGAAGGAATCAATTTCTGCAGCAAATAATGCTCACTAATAGTAACAGTATCCCCAGAGAGTCTGACTGCTCCAAAGCAAGGCTCAAGGCTGTCATTTAAGCCAGGTTTCTTGGTCCAAGAAAAGCATCCTGGCTGTCACCCCTGGTCATGAGCAGCCAGATCACTTTAGGATTCGATGGATAAAGGCCAGGGCTACGATCATAAATAAATTTTAAAAGGTTGTGTGGACTAAAGAAAAAACGTACATTGACAAAAGCTAATTGTAAAGAGGAAGACCTATTGACTGGTCCGGTGACATTTCCTCCAATCGCAGAGCCACATACTCGCCATGACACATGCACTCTCCCACAAAGAGGCTCCAGGAGGCATCTGAGGATGGGTCTGGGAATCACAGACCTGTCCACACCCCCCACCCAGCTTCCCACTGATAGCCATGTAACCTGGAGCAAGCTTCTTAACCTGCTGGAGCCACAATGTCCCCATTTGTAAAAGAGGGTAACAAGACCACTTCAAAGGGGTTGTGACAAGGATTAAATCAAACAGTCCAATTCAGCAGCCAGCACAGTGCCTAGCATATACCAGACCCTCAAGAAACGCTAGCTTCCTTCTCTCTCTCCATGCAGAGGCCCCTTCCCAAGCCATAGCAAAGTTCATTAGAATCAAGAGAATACAGCAAATTCCTAGAACTTACCCAGACAGCCAAAATCACCCTATCCAAGAACAGGATGATCACTTTCTTAACAATCCAAGTCCCCCCACCCCCCGCCCGGGCTATAATTTACACAGGATAAAGTTATAAAACGACAACTTCCTGTCTGACTGTAAAAATAGCCCAGTGTGTGCTGAGGACCCTGGATCCAATTAACACATTACTTTCCTCCACAGAAGGAGCCGAGGCATCTTAGTTTCTGCCTGGGCAGAGGAAAGTGGGGCTGATTAGCAGAGCTCAGGTAGCTTCTCAGGGGGTCACCTGGGCAAGAGGCACGGCAGTGTGATCTCAAGCCGTGGCCAGGACAGGAGGGCACAGAGGCAGACACAAGAGCAGTGATAAAAGGACCAGACACAGCAAAGGGGGGCAGGACGGAAAGAAATGAAGTGCTGGGGACGCCGAGTGGGCCAGGGCAGGGGGGCACAGCCAAGGCCAGGCAGCTCGGAGGGTGCGAGGCATGAGATGCTGGGGCTGCACACCTCCCAAGTACAACAGAGATGCTGCATTCAGCACAAGGCAGGTCCTGTTTGCAGACTCCCCACAGCAGCCCCAGGGCAAAGCGACTGTACTTATTTTATTTTATTTTAATTATTTTTTGAGATAGGGTCTTGTTCTGTTGCCCCAGGCTGGTGTGCAGCGGCTCACTGCAACCTTGACTTCCTGGGCTCAAAGGATTCTCCTGCCTCAGCCTCCGGAGTAGCTGGGACTACAGGCGCACACCACCGGCCGGGCTAATTTTTTTGTATTTTTTAAAAGAGATGGGGATCTCCCCATGTTGTCCAGGCTGGTCTTAACCTCCTGGGCTCAATCAATCCTCCCACCTCAGTCTCCCAAAATTCTGAGATTACAGGCATGAGCCGCGACACCAGCCAGCATCCCCATTTTAAAGATGAAAAACACAGAGCCATGGTGACTTGCCCAGGGTCACCCAGCTGCAGAGGACCGGAGCCAGGACTGAACCAGAGCTGTCTGGCTCCAGGGGCCCTGCTCTTAAAGAGGACTGAGGGTTTTCACAAAAGAAGGCATGTGGAGGAGGGTTTTGTGAAGGACTCAGAGATAGTCCTGAGTCTGCCAGGCCACCAGAAAGCATGGGGCAGCGGAAAGGAGAGAAGCCGGACTGCTGGGGCTGGGGAGGCACCTTGGCGAGTTGACTGCAGGAAGGGAAAGCAGTCTCACACACCATGCTCAGAAACACGTGCAATCCGTGCTATTCAGGAACAGGGCGCTCTGCCCCAAAACACACAAGAGGGAGGGGGCTTCGGGGAACCATCTCTCCCCACCGTTAGTGCCAAGTGGTGCAAAAAAAGACACCTTTCCACTCCTCACGCCACAGAGACAAAAAGTATAATCACGTGCTATAATCACTTGATTGCAGTCATAATATGTTATGATTTGACTACACTGCTTATCAAGGCATGAGAAAATAAAGGTACAGTTTCAATCACACTTAATGTAACAGAGGAATCAAGGAATCACTTTAAATCATGGTGAATAGCCTTAAAAGTTAACTAAAAACTGATTTCCTTTAGAAGATTGCTTGACATAATCTTTTACATGCAAAGGTGTAACACTACACATACCCCAATCTCTCAGCTCAAATATTTTGCCATCATTTGTTAAGATGTGTGTTTTTGCTATTTTGACAATGTCAAGGTATGAGCTGGTTTGCTTTGGAGAAAAACCTCAAGATAGTCCATGGAAAAGCCATAAATCTAAGTTAAATGAAAAGCCTTGAATTTTGTAAAATATGACAGAAGTCCAACTGGGAAGGGTATAAAGAAAGCTATGTTTCAACTTGACTGGAAGTCATGGCTCTCCTCTGCAAACAGAAGCGGCTTAGGCTCCGATCTGTCAACAGTTTTTAAATCAAAGGCCTTAGTTTCTGCCTTAAACACTAAGTCAATTACAGTTCTAATCCACAAAAGGTATGTAATGGGCCTCTATTTAAGTTTACAGATACTTTTTCCAAATACTGAATTAGCTAAGTAATCCTCTCAACATCCTCCCCAGCTAGGCAGACAGCAATAAGCCTCAAGAACACTTGCCTGGGGCTGGGACTGTCCAGGGTCAGCCCTAAACCTTAGAAGGAAGCCAGGCACACCCATCCCCAACTCTTCAGCCCTCCCCTTCTCCCAGCATCCCTCCAAGTCAGCAGCCAGAGGAAGCAGGAGATAAAGGGTGTAACTGTTAATAATTACACACCTGAACCAACGAGTAGGAATAAAGAAAAATTCTACCATGTCAGGAAACCCCTCCCAACCTCGCCCCCTAAATCAGTGGAAGAGCTTAGGAAGCCCTCCTGTTCTTACCCGCAGACCCCAGCAGCTCCTGACCTACAAGGTTTCCTAAACGTCATTTGTTTGTGGGCAGTTTAAAATTGGAGATACTCTTCCCTAAGGAAATAACATTGGAAACAGCGACTAGGTCTGTGGACAATTCACTGAAGCCTCCTCATCCCACAGTGAAGCAGAAACTCTGTGTTCACATAGAGAGCACAGGCGAGGAGGCAGTGACCCTATGGAAGCCAACACAACAGAGAAGGCTAAATGGACACCCTAGGCTCCTGCCACAAGCCTTCTGTGCATGGCCCAAACAACCAGGCAGCGGCACCCACTCCAAAGAAACACTCCCACCTCTACTGTCTGTGCTGACATTCTGGTCAACATTTTTTATGACTTTTCAAGGACACATGAGAAACTGATGGAGGGTGGAGCATCTGGCTGTGACCTGAGGTTTCCTGGAGCATCGCTTGGCCTAGTGGAGAAGGCAACACCTGAGGTTTAGAAGGTTGGAAAGGGGAGGTGCACTCATCTACTGCCGCCGTGACCACTCAGCTGACTGGTTTAGAACGACGTGATTTCACTGTCTGACAGTTCTGAGGGTCACAAGTCCAATGTGGGTCTCACCAGGCTTAGGTGTCAGCAGGGCTGTATGCCCTTCAGGAGGCTCCAAGTTTCCTCATCTTTTCCGAAATTTTAGATGCCATCCACATTCTTTGGCTGGTAGCCTCCCTCCATCATCAAAGCCAACAGTGCTGCAACTCTCTCGCCCTCCTTCCACAGTCCCCGACTCTCCTCTTTCACTTCCCTCTTCTACTTTTAAGTACTCTCATAATTACCTTGAGCCCACAAGATCATCCATCTCAAAGTTCTTAATCACATCCGTAAAGTCCCTTTTGCCATGTGAGGTAACATCATCGCAAGTTCTGGGGATTAGGGGACAGGCATCTCGGGGCCATTTTTCTGTCTACCACAGTAGGGGAAGGGATGGAGGGAGGCATGGGGAGGTGAGGAGGGAGGGATGGAGACGGGAAGGGAAAGGAAGCAGAAAGAGAGAAAGAAAGAAGAGAAAATCAATCAAATGATCTAAGCATGCTGATATGAAGACAGCCAAACATGCCGTGGAGGGGAAAACCAACTTGTACAACAATATTAATAGAATTTCATTTTCCTTTTAAAAAATTGACAATTACCCCATCTTACACCATATACAAAAAGTAACTCAAAATCAAAGACCTAAACGTAAAAGAAACCATCAGAAAACTCTTAGAAGAAAACACAAGGAGTATATCCTCATGACCTTGGATTAGGCAGCGATTTCTTAAATATGACACCAAAGTCCAAATAATCAAAGAAAAAACAGGTAAATTAGATTTCATTAAAATTAAAAGCTTTAGTACCTCAAAGAATATCAAGAACATTAATGGACAAACCACAGAAAAAAAGAATATATTTGCAAATCATATATCTAATAAGTGTCTAGTATCCAGAATCCATAAATAACTCCAACCACTCAACAATAAAAAGACTCAATTTAAAAACAGTCAAAAGATTTGAATAGGTATTTCTCCTAAGATATACAAATATATAAATATGCTTTAAGATAAGCATATTTAAAAAAAAAAAGGTCAACACCATTAGTCACCAGGGAAATGCAAATCAAAACCACAGTTGAGATACCACATCATACCCACCAAAATGTTAAATTTCAGGGGTATAGAAAATTTCTGGGAGGCTATAACGTAACATATAACCACATAACAGTGGTCACGTCTGGGGATCTGGATGAGGGATCATGAGGGATATCCTTTAGCTTTCTATTTCCTGTGCTAATTTTTTCTACACTGAGTACACATTATTTACATAATGAAAAACTGATTTTCAACCTTAGAGAAGAATGTTCGCAATGAGAGATACCGACACTAACGTCAATCAATCACTGGCACACGGCAAGCACCCACCAGCGTCTGCAGGCGCTCATCACAGACGCCTCTGGCTTGCCACAGAGAAGCCGATCAAGTACAAAACATCAGCACTTGCTTGTCAGAACAACCTTCCAAACAGTCTTGGGACACCCAAATCACCCCTTCATCGTATTTTTATAAAGACTAAGCTGGCAAGTTTCTAAAAAATCTTCAAGCCAACTGTGGTGGCAGCTCAGGCCTATAATCCCAGCACTTTGGGAAGCTGAGGTGCGAGGATCACTTAAGCCCAGGAGTTCAAGACCAGCCTGGGCAACATGGCAAGACCCCACCTACACACACACGAATACAAAATATTAGTCGGGTGTAGTGGCGCATGCCTGTAGTCTCAGCTACCTAGGAGGCTGAGGTGGGAGAATTTCTTGAGCCTGGGAGGCGAAGGCTGCAGTGAGCAGAGATCACACCACCGTACTCCGGCCTAGGACACACAGCGAGACCCTATCTAAAAAAAAAAATCTTCAATGACGTGTAATGAACTTTTTTTTTCCTTATTAAGAACAGACATGTCTGAGGCTATGGTAATGATTTCACAGCACTCACATGTGTATGTGCTCTCCTTCTACCCACAGTACCTTGGGGCTCCTCAAGAAATCAATTTGCACAATGTGTTTATGGCTGAGGGCATAACGGCATTATTGTAAGTTGCTGCGGCTGAAAGCGGGTGCATCTTTCTAATCGCACATTTCGAGGCAGAGTCCTTTGTGAGGAATGCAGTCCCCATCCCATAACATTGTTCCTATGGGAAAACCAGACTCAGCTTCCTGGAACTCAGTGTGGGGGAAAGTAGGCTGGCCTCTCTGGGGTCTTTTTATTTCTCCTGAAGGCTACGACTGGAGGGTAGCGGGGTTAAAGCAGAAAGGGAAAGGAAGTGGATGGAGACATGAGAACATTCTGGAAAAGCTCTGAGTATTTTCAAGGGCTTGAGAGGTCAGATTTCAAAACATGGTTTTCCTGGTCACACTTTATTCTTGGAATCAATCATACACATATCTCCCAGAGATGCTGGGAGACAGGGAAACCAAAACCAAGAAAGACACACAGAGGTCTCCAAAGCACAGAAGCCTGTCAGGGACAGACAACAGAGGTGATGAGAAGGAGGTGACAGAATAGAAAAGGAAGAGGTGACAGTACTCAAGGAGGAGAGCCTGGTCCATCTCCACTGAGCATCCCACCCACCTCTACACACAGCCCATGCGGAACCGAGTAATCCCCATAAATGTGCGTGTGTACTGCATACCCTGCGGGGCCAGGCACACAGAAAGGCCCCTTCCACACAGGGAAGGCCGCCAGCCTCCTACTCGCCATCCCGCTTCTCCACAGCCCGTGCCTGGTACTCTTCCCACTCACAGATGGACTCTGCCCCAGGTGTATCTGCCTCTAAAGACCACTTTGTTCATCTAAACCTATTATTTTACAAACAGGCAGCCTCTGGAGGGGAGCTCACCTGTCCAGGACCACAAAACCTCACTCACATGGCGCAGGGCTCAAGAAAGCACCAATAGGTTCCTCAAATGTCATTTAAGCATCAACAGTTAACTGTGAATCTAAAGTGTCTAACTTCCCCTTGTCGAAATGTAGCCAAGTCCGTTGTTTTCATAAGGCACAACCCCAGCACGTACCATGAAGGTGCACACGGCCATGGAGCGGGACCTGAAGTGCCCACTCTGGGGTCAGGCTGTCTGGGTGTACCACAGCAAGTTCCTCGACCCTCTGTGCCTCAGTTTCCTTATCCAGACAGCAGGGAAAGTTCTAGGACAGGATGCTGGAAGGATTAAGTGGGCTTCTTCAGGTTAAGCACTGAGAGTTATTGGCACAGAAAAAAAGGCCAATAAATGTTCACTGACATCATCGTTTCTCATTTTCCATTTTTTATAAGTTCTCTTTATATAAGTTCTCAAAAGCCAGAATCTTCGGAATGAACTCAGACTTCATGCCTTTTACCAAATCAAGATGACTCCAGAGCCTGTACCCAGCATCACCGTCTTCGGAGTGATTTCCCTTCCCAACGGCGATACATGGACAAGCCTTTCCAGTCTTAAATAAAATCAACACGCGGTGAGCAACAGCTTCCAAGGTGAACAAACTGTGATCCCATGAAAGAGCCGGGCTCTGAGCATCCCCATGGCCAGCCCAGCTCAGTTCCAGCCTTCCCCTCTCATTCCAAGTGGCAGTTCCCAGGGCTTCACCTCCCAGGATCATGAATGGTGGTTCACGTCCCACAGGCTCTGCTATGGAAGCAAGCAGGAGGCAGACCAGGTCAGCAAGACAACCAGACCCACGGGCTCCAGAGCTCACCCCAGGACCCAGTCCCCTAAGTCCCCAGTCCCGCGCCAGCTGGGAAGGCCAAGTCTGCCTTCGGGATCCGCCCCCCAACCTCCAGAAAGCCCTGAGTTGCACAAAAGAGGTGTGCACTAAACGCTATATCCTCAGAAAATGATCAAACCTGGATTTAAAATAAGACAGCCCTCAGTTCAAACTTGACTTCTACATTGCCAATGAAGAGCAAAAGACCACACAAGCTTAGGTCAGGAATTTAGCCAAGACACTTCCAGTAACACATTCACTCCAGGGTAAATAAGTGCCACTTCTCAAATATACAATAAGCAACGACTTTCAGATTCACGATCTTACAGTCTGAAAAGTTTAATATTCATCTTACTGTACTTTCTAAGGCAGTAGACACATATAACTATCTTACATTCATTTGTGTTAATTTACATATAGTAGCATGTTATTTACTTGCACATAGGGGAGAGAGGGAACCAGAGTATTGGAAAGGAAGACCACCTTCCACTGAACTCAGCAGAAGGCTCCTGATGCCTTCCCTCCCCCAAGGTGCCTGGTCAGAGCAGAAAACAGGTAAACGGTTAGGCACTCATGGCCCTCTGCTGAAGCCCTTCTCTGGTTTGTGTCACCCCAAAGTCCCCCAAGACTGCCTTGTCCCATCCTGAAGACCTAGGTGTGGGCAGCCTGGACGAGACTGGCCTGGGCCTTGGGGTCAGTGTCCCTCCTCTCTCTTCTGTAGCCACTGGAGCAAAGGGTAGCCCCAGAATGCAGAAGGCAGGTATAGGCCAAGGACAAAGGGGACCCAGGGGGTCACAGGCTTGTTCTTGGACCTGGACCTGGGGGCTGATCAGTGGCCTGGACAGAAAGGGTGCTCTGTGATTGGCCAAGGCATGAGGGGGCAGCTCTGAGGAGCTGCTGCAGGTGTGCAGGCCACGGTCCACCAGGCTGGCTCCCTCCCACATGCACAACCCTTCTTCAGGTCTCAGTGCCCCCGTCCATCCTTCTGGAGGCTTCCAGAAGCCAAGCTGGAGGCATTGCTCTCCTGCAGGATGCTGTTTCTCCCTCACATGTCCCACGTGCCCCACAGGCAGAAACACAAGGACACAGCAGATAGGTCTACATCGCTTTGTTTTTGAGGTCTAAGTATTGCTTTGCCTCATTGTGTACATGGCCCAGAGCAGGTGCCCCAAATATTCCTCAGCCAATCAACCAACCAACCAATCAATGCCCTGCACAAACCTGCAAACTCAGGCCTCACACACATGGCATGACCCCGAACCAAGTCACTATTTAACTTCTGTAACTCAGAAATGAGTGATGACCCCCAAAGTCTCCTCTCCTGAGCACTTCAGCCAACCAGGGCTTCACTACGGTCTGAATCACAGAAGGAGACTGACAAGGCCAAAGCAGAAGTTCAAAAATGTGGTTTGGGCCAACTTCCTTATATTCTGCCAAAAGGAATCTGATGAAAAGACCCCAAGGCCTGCATAGCTCATGCACAGCCCGGCCTCCAAACATGACTACCTCTTCCTGCTGCAGGACAGCTGGCGGTGGCAGAGGGAACATGACATAAGCTGCCTTCGCTTGCAGCCAGTGACCCCCATGCCGGCCCCAGTCCAGCCCTGGATGTGCCTGGAGAGTGTGCCCCACATGCCTATTCCCTGAGCTCCACCCATCCACCTGCTTGAGGTCCACGTGTGTCACTGGCAGGAACCAGCCATCTATGAGCATCTTCCTGTGCAAGTGGCCAGGCTTTGCAGACTGGACTGGGGACTGCCTTTACTCAGACACTAGAAATGGAGACCAACGAACACAAAGAGACAGGGCAGGGCGGCAGGTTCTGTGCATCACAGAAGTGGGTGGGAGCGGCAAGAAGGATGGCACTGCAGGGCGGGCAAGCCTCTGGCTCCTTTAAGAAAGACTTTAGAAACATCCATCTGGAAAGAAGAATCAGCAACCCCTGTGCCTCTGCCTAGGAGCATCCAGGCTGACCCTGGCGGCCGCGCTCTCCTCATCCCAGCCCCACCCCACGATGCTGAGAAGGCAACTGCTCCACCTCCTCTCCAGGACCCTCTACAATTGAACTGGCTGGAGAGAAAGCATTGTTTGAAAAACTCAAGAAACAATTCTGGCCAGGCACCGTGGCTCACACCTGTAATCCTGGCAATTTGGGAGGCCAAGGCAGGCGAATCACCTAAGGTCAGGAGTTTGAGACCAACCTGGCCAACATGGTGAAACCTTGTCTCCACTAAAAACACAAAAATTAGTCAGGCATGGTGGCAGGCGCCTGTAATCCCAGCTACACGGGAGGCTGAGGCAGGAGAACTGCTTGAACCTGGGAGGCAGTGAGCCAAGACTGCGCCACTGCACTCCAGCCTGGGCAACAAGAGCGAAACTCTGTCTAAAAAAAGAAAGAAAGAAAGAAATGGTTCCGTGATTTTAAAAGGGAAAGGAAAGAGAAGAAAGAAACAGCTCCAAGTGGCATCAAGGCATTTTTCAAGGCACTTGGAACCTCCAACCACAGGCGTGTAAATGGACCATCCTCCCTAAAGCTGGAGCCCTTCTGGTGGTTTCCTGAAAGGCACTGGGAACAGCAGGCCCACATGCAGCAGGGGCTTCTGATTAAAGGGCTGTAACACAGCAGCATGGCCTGGCGTTTTCTTTCCTTCCCAGGAAATCAATGCCCGGGCACAGGTGCCCCATCTCTACTCTGGGGTTGTCAAGAGCTCACCCCTGGGCCCTGGGAGGGACCTCAAAACAAATGTCACTTGGCCCAGTCACATGCAAACTTCCCAAATAAGAAACCCAAATAAATGGTGCGGAGCAGCTAAGCAGGCCACTCTCTGCTTCAGCGTGAGCACCGTAAGGCAGGCTGGACCACGCTAATTAAAATGAGATGCTCAAGATCAGAGTTCCTAATTACCTGCCAAATTAATGTGCTGTCTTATAGGCTCCTTCTGCTTCTCCCAAAAGTCCTACCTTCACTCAACCTTTCTATTTTTGAAGATCACTTTCCCCAGAGCCCTTCGGCAGGTCTCCTGCAGTGACTGGGTGGTATTAGTTACAAATAAGCTTCCCTAAATTTCTGGCCAGAGGTGAGTCACACAGAAAACCTTTGTCCACCCAGTAAGGGGTCCAGGAGGGCTGACCTCAGAGGGCTGGTCTTGGCACACGCCGCACCACGGGGTGGGGTGGGAGGCGGAGGCAACCGTGCTTCGGGATCCTTACGTGGAAGTTCCTTTCACTTATCAAGTGAATCAAGCCATTGTCGGGTGGAAATACGACGTCAGTTGCTCAGCATGAGGAGTGCCACTTACGAATGTCACATGTGCTCAGAGGTGCCCTGAACGCTCCTCTCCTGCACCCCACCCTCACCTGCTTGAGACTCTGGCAGTTGGCTCCCTCCAAATCCAGGGCCCTGGAGGCAACTTTCCAAATGCTGGCTCCAGACGTAAACTGTACCTGGGTCACCAGGGACCAGGCTCCACTTCACGCACAAATGCCACACCCCCAAATGTGAGCCAACAGGCCAGAGAGATGCGTGGACTCGCCTTCTTAATATTGACAATGATGATTCTAGCAGAAGCAATTGTTTACTAACTACTCACCATGTGCTAGTGACCTCAAATCAGTTCTTAACTAATCCTAGCAACACAATCATGTAGTTTTTAAAACTAGCTGTGGGATTAAAGGAGAAGTATGTAAACAACTATGTTTTATTAAAAATTCACAGGAACATCGTGACCTGACCAAGACAAAAAAAAACCCAACTTCCTCTGACCCCCACTGCCTCCCAGATGTCCAGTCGTTGGTCATCTCTTGATCTCAACCCCCTCCTCTTCCCCCAGCCCTTAATATAAAAAGCCTAAAATCTGTACTGACTTAAGACAGTACTTGAGAATGTTAGTTCACCATCTTCTTGGTTTTCAAATATACCTGCTGTTTCTCCCACCAACCCTTGTCTCTCAAGTCTGGCTTTCGAGTGGTGAGTAGCTGACTGTATATTCAGTTATAGTATTAATGCTACTTGCAGATGAAATAAAGCAGAGGCTCAGAGGAACCACCCAGCTAGGGAGCTGACTGAAAACTGAAACCCAGATGTGGCTGTCCCCATACCCTTCACTGTGTCACACACACAATCAGATGCACATGTGTGGATGTATGTGTGTGAGAAGTTACGACCAAGGCAGGCGCTGCCTCTCTGCACTCCTTGAGCCCACAACAAGGCCTCCAATGCTCTGCAGAGTCAGAACCCGGCTCAGCAGAGAGAGATGGGGCCCATCACACTCTGTCAGGCACTGCATTCTGCAGCTGGCTTTCTGAAACTCAACTCTCTCCACTTTGGCCACTGCTCTCTCCTCACTCTTCACCTCTCTGAACTCTCCTGGTCTCCTTTTCCTCCATTCTCTGGGTTAAGCCTCTCTGCATCCCTCACCCACAACCCAGCTCCAAACCTCTGCCAGGTGTGTGTGCACCTGCCCATACGCCGCATCCCCAGTGCCTGGCCAATGGGAGCAGCATCCCCCTACACACATTGCGGGTGAGCTCATGAGGGCAACTGAATCCAGGTGTGAATGAAGGAGTAGCAGAAAAAATCCCACACTTCCCAGGAAGTCCATTTCCCAGTGCTCTGCACTGCACTCAAGCAGCCAATGGCTCTACTTGACTTAGTTGGTCTTCCTGACCTCCAACAATGCCAAGCCTTAAACACATAATGAAATCCCACTTGCATTATAACGACACCAAGGCAGCACTCCAAACCTGGCTTCCTAAGCTACTTCCAGTTATTAAATGTCCCCGATAGGATTTCTTGGCACCAATGTCTCTCTCTTTCCTGCAGAAACTGTATTTCTCAACACCAGCAATAAGCAGAACTGCAGGTGGTTCTCAGAAGCCCTGTCCAGACTACCGCGGCCAGAGTTACGGGGCAATGAACACCAAGCACACAACAAACACTTCCCTGCAGGCCCCTTCCAGCGGGTGGCAGTACCGCGGCCAGTTATGGGGCACTGAACAGCCAAGCACACAACAAACAGTTCCCTGCAGGCTCCTTCCAGCAGGTGGCAGGGACCAGAGAAAAAAACATTAGCTCTACAACTCCAACTAGAGTTCTTTCAAGAAATCTTGTGAACTTCCTTTTTAAAAGACGGTAAAATTAACCAGGAGAAAGCTGGGATCGCCCTCCTGGCTCCTCACAGCTGAAAGACAGCAGTGGCCGCCTCCAGCATCACTAGAAGCTCCTGAGGCCCAGCAACGCTCAGTTTGTGTTCTCCAGAGGACCCTCTTTCTACGCCTTCAGGATCTACCAGTCAAGGTGAAGAGCAAAGGTAACATTCAGAGAAAGTCTTTTAGGGTTTGTCCTGCTTTCCCTAAAGATGCTCCACTCACAAATGCTCAGCAAACATCCTGCAGGAAAGAAACAGCACCCACCTGCCACGTGCCTTGGAAAGAAAAACGTTTTAATTAGTCTCACAAAGTGTCCTTAGAATGCATGCAGCTCAGGCTGGCAATGGTAGTTGATGCCTATAATCCCAGCACTTTGGGAGGCTGAGGTAGGTGTATCCCTTGAGCCCAGGAGTTAGAGACCAATCTGAGTATCACTGGACGACCCGTCTCTACAAAAAAAATCAGCCAGGTGTGGTGCTGCGCACCTGTAGTCCCAGCTACTTGGGAGGCTGAGCTGGGAGGACGACCTGAGCCTGGGGAGGTTGAGGCTGCAGTGAGCTATGATCAAGCCACTGCACTCCAACCTGAGTGACAGAGTGAGACCTTGTCTCAAAAAAAAAAATCTGTCTAGCCCCTCTCTCCTCACCCTTTCAGAATCAACTCAAGAGATGCAGAGGCCTGGAAATCCTGATCCAAGAAGGCATACAAGTGAGACATGAAGACCTTTCCCGGGTGGCCCCACCTCAGATGACATCAAGCAACCAACTCACACCACTGGAGGTGGCCAGGGAGGTGGGATGCCCCCGACCCCCCACTTCTCTTCCTCAGAAGCAAACTCACTCTTAAGAAACACTATCTATGGCCGAGCGCGGTGGCTCACGCCTGTAATCCCAGCACTTTCAGAGGCCGAGGTGGGTGGATCACTTGAGGCCAGGAGTTCGAGACCAGCCTGCCCAACATGGTGAAACCCCATTTCTACTAAAATACAAAAATTAGCTGGGTGTGGTGGTGCACGCCTGTAGTCCCAGCTACTCAGGAGGCTGAGGCAGGAGAATTGCTTGGACCCAGGAGGTGGAGGTTGTAGTGAGCCGAGACAGTGCCACTGCACTCCAGCCTGGGCAACAGAGTGAGACTCTATCTCAAAAAAAATAAGATAAAAATAAATAAACACTATCTCATCAGCATCAAAGAGCTCACTCTTTGGCCACAGGAAGGATTTGCGATCGTCACTACATTCCGCATCATGCCCGGAGATCCCCACGCCTCAGGTGTGGATGGTGCTGATCCTGTGCTACAGTCCTGCTGGGCCCTCGGCACCTCTGCGGCAAACACACCTGTCTGTGGCTCCCAGACCGACGCCTGCAGACCCTCATCAACTCTGAGTCTGGAGTCGCAGGTGTGGGGTGGGGCCCAAGAACTGGCATTCTAGCACACTCTGGGCAGGCACTGACACTGCTGTGAATGGCATTTGAGGAGAGGAAGGCAGAGCTGGGACCAGGACCTGACAGCCCGTGTGCATGCTCAGTGACTCCCAATGACGAACAGCTATGAGAAGTCACTGGCAGTGATTTTATGAAGAGCTCAAAAGGCAAAGGGAACACAGAGCCCCAGAGAAAGAGTGCCAGAGGGGACCCTAGTACAGGGCATGAACGTGGGGACGTGCCCTCCTCGCCAGTCAGGGCTGCGGAGAACACTGTGACGAGGAGGTGCCTCGGGCTGCCTGTGTGCTCGGTGATAATCCACCTGCTAAGACTGCCACGGGTGCTGGGAGTGTGCAGGCTGCACGCAGGATGATGGTTCTGCCCCACTCAGGGTCTACTCCAGATGTGGACATGCCACTTGATCTCTGAAGCAGCAACCCTACCCGTCCTTCCTAAAAATGTACAATACAAGGACATCCATCATATTATACAGCTGCAGACACCAAAGAGTTATGTGAGACTACCAGAGCCAAGGCCCAAGGCCCAGGTGGTTCCCCCACCACTGAAGACAGCTTCACACCTGTGGTCATCCGAAAACGTCCCCAGCCTCTCATCACCCTCCACCTGCGCAGGGCGAGTCCTCCCACTCACTCCACTAATCCCCATGCTCCCGGGGATGTTAGGCCGCGGTGAGATGCAACTAGGATGTTGTCTATACCTGTTTGTTAGAGTAAGAATCCTGAGAGGTGTAAACAGTTCTATATAGAACGCGAACTGCTAAGAGCACTCTTAAATGCATGTGAATGCTCGTAAAGTATCAATACATTTGCCAGGTGCTAAAACGTGAACAGTATTAGGCTCATTTTTAAAAAATTAGATGGTGCCAAGGAGTTTTAAAGAAACAAAAGTAATCCAAAGGAACAAAAGCTGCCCACAGGCACGCGGAAGACGGAGGAGCAATGCAACTCTGTACGTGAAAAAGGCTGCCAACACCATCTAGAACAGCAAGGCTGGGCTAAAGGCACAGGCTGGAAGCGAGGGTCTCATGCTGGCTGATGAACACCCTGCATTGCCTCCCAACCTCAACAGCATCTCTCCAAGTAGCTGGGGGAGCTCTCTGGGGTCCTCTGACAGGAGGAGGCTTAAGCAGTCTGCAACCCTGCACGCTGACCTTCCCAGGTGAGAGCTGGCATCCCAGCAGGCTGCACTCGCCAGCTCTCTCCAGTCATCCCTGTCCTCCACGTTCCCCCCAGCTTTGTCACCTACAGAAACCAGGCCCTTCTAGTTTGTATTCCTTAGAAATAAAAGGTCTGGAAAATCCTGCTGAACGTGGCAAACTGTCCTCAAAGAACTAGGAGGTATAAAATCCAGGAAGAAGAAGGCTTGAATGATTTAGTCATTAGCATGAGCTCCAAGTACCCTGGGGTTGTGTCTCTACAAGGAGAGCAGGTCCCAGTTTCTGCACAAGCTGCCCTGCAGTGCTTTCCACCCAGGCTCGGACCACCTTGCAAGCAAAGCAGGGCAGGTCCGCTCCAGAGCAGGGGTACAGATGCTTTTTCTGTAAGGACCAGGTACAAACACAGCCAAAGGCAATATAAGCGAAAGGCTATGGCTGTGTTCCAATAACCCTTTATGTTCAAAAACGGGGCAGTGGCCTGAGTTGGCTAACCCACGTCCCAGAGCACCCCTAGTCAAACGCATGGGTACTTTTGTAATGAAAGGTGCACTCTCACATGAGCAGATAACTCAGGTTCTGCTGCCAAATGAGTGGGCTGCAAAAATCAGTGCTTTGGGGTTTTTGAATTCCAGATAAGGGGCTGCAGGTCTTCATACATCGTGGCATTTTTTTTTTTTTTTTGAAGACGGAGTTTCGCACTTTTTGCCCAGGCTGGAGTGCAATGGCGCAATCTTGGCTCACTGCAACCTCCACCTCCTGGGTTCAAGTGATTCTCCTGCCTCAGCCTCCCGAGGAGCTAGGATTACAGGTGCATGCCACCACGCCTGGCTAATTCTGTATTTTTAGTAGAGACGGGGTTTCACCATGTTGGCCAGGCTGGCCTCGAACTCCTGACCTCAGGTGATCCACCCACCTCCCAGAGTGCTGGGATTACAGGTGTGAGCCACTGCGCCTGGCCCATTGTTGCATTTCTGAAGGTAAGTTGGAGAGTGCTGAAAGAAATCTGAAAGTGGAGGAGAAGGAAATGGGAGAAAGTGAGCCGATTCAGCAGCACCAGCCTGCAGTGCATTTTACATGAGCGACACTACAGGAACAGGAGAGCAGTGTGGCGTGCAGGGCAGCCCTGTCACTACCAGTCCAAGGGAGACGAGACGCAGTCCACTGAGTGCTTGACTTAGCTCTCTGCCCTAGGACAGGAACAGCAGAGCAATCGTGCCATTTGTTTTCTTGCTTTAAAATGGACACAGCTATTTCTCACGACCCTGGGGCAGAAACAGCAGCCTGAGGCCAACCCTCTGTCCGCAGCTTGGCTAACAAATATTGTAGCTGTCACCGCTATACCTGCATTCTCATGAAATAATTCAGGAACCGTGTGCTAAACACAAACAGGCGTGGAATTTCACCGGGCTCTTTTCTGTTCAACGCACAGACACCAAGCATCTGCCTGTTGCCTCCATTACCAAGTTCACCCTGGCATTTGCAAATTCAGCTTCTCACGGGAGCAAGGGGAAATAAGACCAACCCCACAGTAGAAAGGACTCATGGCCGGGCATGGTGGCTCACGCCTGTAATCCCAGCACTGTGGGAGGCTGAGGAGGGCAGACCATTTGAGGTCAGGAGTTCGAGACCAGCCTGGCCAACATGGCAAAACCCCGTCTCTACTAAAATACAAAAATTAGTTGAGCGTGGTGGTATGTGCCTGTAATCCCAGTATTTTGGGAGGCCGAGGCAGGCAGATCACCAGAGGTCAGGAGTTTGAGACCAATCTGGCCAATATGGTGAAACCCCATCTTTACTAAAAATACAAAAATTAGCCAGGCGTGGTGGTGCATGTCTGTAATCCCAGCTACTCTGGAGGCTAAGGCAGGAGAATCGCTTGAACCCGGGAGGCAGAGGTTGCAGTGAGCCGAGATCGCACCACTGCACTCCAGTCTGGGTGACAGAGCGAGACTCCATCTCAGAAAAAAAAAAAAAAAAAAGTCAATGTAAGCAGCATATTACTGCCTGGAGTTTTATTCAGGTGATAGGAGGAAAGAGTAAAATTTAAAAAGAAGTAGAGACTTGCTAAAGAGATTTCTTAAAGCCTTCAAGAATCAGAAGAATAAAGTGTGTAACTCTGGACGTGGGCCTCAAGCAGCTAGGCCATCTCCTTGGAGTTGATGGTGTCCCAAAGCCACTGCCCGTCACCTCCCTGGTCTGTGTTGCAGCATAGAAAGCATCTCTCCACAGTGGGGTCTTACACCACGATCCTAAAAGCATGGGGAATTTTTCCCTGTTCAACAGTCAAAGGCTCCCAGATCTCTGTGGGGAAGCATCTTTCTGCTGAAGTGGTTCACCTCTGCACAGTTTTATGGCTGCCACAGCAGGTCCCTACGGGTGGAGAGCTGAATACGGCCAGTGAGCCGCCTGCTCAGTCAGCTTCCACAAACTGGTTTTCCTTAACCTTCTTTTAACATGCTTCAAGATGCACAGCAGCATCTAGATAAAAACCTTTTCATTTAGTCAAAGAAGAAACTAATGACTACCAAGGTAAAGTAACTTGCTAGCCAAGAAAGAGCACACTGAGAGGTCTCAGACTGACAGCTCCTTGTTCTGACCCACCCTGAGGTCATTCATGTGGTTCTGGACTCCAAACCGGCCGGTGAGAAGACAAGCCATCGCCATCACTCCCAATGATGCCCCCACACACCCGTCACCACGCCAGCCACGTCCCCACACTCACACCCTGACCGTCACCACTAGCTGCTAAGAAACCTGAACCCTGGATGGAAACCACCATTCACCTTGGAAGGGCCACAGCCTGGCTTCCCAGCAGAGATCTGTGACAGACATGCGGGTCCCAGGCACAGCTCTGGGGCCATAATTCCTTCTCTTGATAGGACGCCAGGAACCACCAAGAGTGTAACCTGGTTAACTTAAAACCTGGCTACTTCCAGACTACACTTCCACTTTTCTTGTCCCTTCTGCCTCTGAAAAAGACTTTTAAGCCATCTATTTCTCTTTGTGGGATATAATCAAGGACCTGAAAAGGCAGGATGGCCCCATCAGGTGGCACCCGAGGGCCTGCGGGCCTGCTGGACACTCAGACATGGGGTTCCTGCAGCTCTACCTTGGGCTCGGATGAACAACAGTCACACAAAATAAGAAATCAACTGAATTCTAGCAGAACAGCCCAGATTGGTGTGGCCTGCTTTGATGACAGCTGTCCCCCATCCTTGAATTTCTGACATCCCCTTCACAGACAGACTGTTCCAGTTCATTTGCAAAGCACACAGCACAGCTGGGCACAGATGAAACCTAACTCACTCCTCACAGAAGGCAAGGGCTGCTGAATCTTGAAGAATGAGGAGGGTCTGGCCAAGGTGCCTAGGGGCGAAGGGTGGGGTACCATCCAGACAGAGGGGACCCTCCCTGCCTTCATGCTCAGAAGTCAGTCACCCAAATACTCAGCAATGCCTACGATGCCTGGTGCTTCACCAGATATCGGAGGTGTGTGGATGGTGGTCCTGGGCCTGGGGAACTTTCAGCACCAGCAGAGCCAAGACAGAATCCAGCTCTGTCCAGCATAAAGCAACATCCCACAGGCTGGAAGAAGAATGCCACTGCAGGTGACAGGAGGGAAAGAGGACTCCAGCCAAGTAATCCGGGGGAGCACAGGGGCAATACGTGTTGATTTCCAGAGGCAGAATCTGCAGGGAGAGCCTCCAGGAAGGAACTCCACTAAGGGCAGTGACGCCCACGGGCCAGTGTCTTCAGAAAGAGCAAATGACTCTGGGAAACAGCAACGGAGTCGGAGTAAAACTAACAATGTGCTAAAGCAGAAAACCCCAGCTGCTACTACTTCCCCCGCAGGTGCAAGAGACCCAGAAAGGTTCTGGCTCAGTCTCAAACTTCCTATAAGTAAACCTCTAAGTAAGGGCTCACACGCCAGCCCTGCAGAACTGTGACTAGGAGGGAGGCACTGTTCTCCTGAACCTTCTAACCCTGCAATAATCATTCCTTCCTTTCCAGGGCTAAATACTCACACCTGTAGAGCTGAATTAAGCTGTGTTTCACCGATCACACTCTTGAACACTTAACGCTATTTTCAACATGAGAAGGGGGTGATGGCCCAAATGATTTTCCTCAATGGCACTATTATTAACAAGCCCTTTGAACCTAAGTGCCATTATTTAGAATAACTTGTAAGGTGCCCATATCATGGACCACATGGAGTCATATTTCCGCTAACAGACCATGATCTAAACAACAAAGTAGCAAGAACCAGGGTAAGGGATGGAAGGTTGGGACGGAAGGTTCAGAAAATTGTCTAATTCCACTATATAGAATGTAAAAGATTTATCAGTATGTCAAGTGACGCCTTACCCCGTTAGAATACTGCTAAACTCAAACCTAAATTTTAAAACTATTCAAATTTAACTCAAAAACTTCCCCACCACACCAAGAATACTCGAGTATTGAGAAGACAGCAACGTGACCCAACAGAAACAAAGCAAGTCTGAAATCTGAGATGAAAGGTCCCCTCAAGTCAACATTCCAGTAGGAAGACAGATTTTACATCAACTGGAAATTCGAGTTTGACAGTTGCAGTGTGGGAGAGCCTCAGGCGAAGGGCTTCCTGTGAGAGGCAGCATTGGTTTTGGGGGCCATCTACAATCCAGCAGGGGTACCCAGCAGGCCTCCCCACCTCTGCCCGGCCCAAGCTGCACTGTCCCACCTTGGTGGACCACTGATGGGATGACACCTGGATGACTTCGTGCATAATAGAGGAAGGGGCTCCGTGGTCGGCCCGGCTGGCTCCTCGCCTTGAGAAATGGATTTCCAGCGATGGAAGCCTCCTTCCAGCCACACGGACCACGGGAAGGTTCAGATGCTCAGCCTAAGGGGACCGCTGAGGCCCCAAAGAGTATCCTTTCCTTCTAAAACTTACATGGTAGGAAACTCCTACAGAGGAAGAAAGCCAGTCCCTGCGGGACTCAGAACCTCGTAAGCAACGGCAGGAGGCACAAACCTAGGTGGTGCGTTTCTTGCACAATTTTACCAAGAGGGAGTCTGCTGGCTCCGTTCCTGCCACACCGCCTGACCAGCCCTGGACCACTGGACAGGAAGAGACCCCTCCTGAAAACCAGGGAAAGTCATATCTGAGCAATCTGTCACCCCTCATAAAGACATGCTGCCATTCACAAATGAAATGCCTTTTAAGCATTTGAGCATATTCAACGTTAGCCTTATGAAACTGTCACCACGAATCGCTCTGCATTCAAACATGCTTGTTTAAAGTGGGGGCAGGGGGTGACTCAATAGCCAGCACATGAGGAATGGGGCACGGCCAGAGCCAACCCGATCTAGGCCACAGCAGTGGCCTGGGCACAGGCGGCAGAGAGAGAACTCTTCCTATCTGCCGCAAGCCCTTGACCAGATATTACCCTGGAACCATCCCGTGATTCCCTGACAGGTCTATGCTTTTAGAGGGCACGTGTTGCCCCTGGATACCCCAAAGTACAGCCCCTAGGGCCAGTGTGAGCTCAGATGGCTACCGCCCTGACACTACCACTCCAAGGAGCTCTCGTGCTGTTCCTACAGATGCACAGGCCCGAGGTGGTTTCAGCCCAGCCTCCTAGGCCTGCAGGGAAGAAGGGCTCCAGGAAACACAGATCCTTGGAGAGTGAGGTCAACCCCCCACCTGCCCTCACTGCTCTCCCAAGCACTGTAATCAGGCACCTGCGCCACAGCTCCAGGCTGGGGAGAGGCCGGGGAAACACCCCCGGCCAGCCACAGCCCTTGCTGCAGAGCTCAATCCAGCACGGTTCTTCCCAGCCAGGTAGACCAGGCCGAGCCCCAGCTTCTTCTCTGGATGCTCTGCCATGTCCTTCGTCCCCTGGTTAAGACTGAAACCAGCAGTTCTCCCCGTACACGGGGACACAGCCCATCAGCCAGAATTCCAGGCTCTGATTCAACTCTCTCCTGGAGTGGAAACCGAATGGCAGGGAAGCCACTAACTTCATCCTGAACAACGGGTACCTTCCGACTAGGCATTTCTCACTGATGCTGCCTGGCTCAGTCAAGCCCCCACTCAGAACCTGTGGGCGACACTGAGTCACTTTGGCTGTTGATGACTGTGATGATATGACTACTGCCTGCATCCCAGCCAGGAAAGAGAAGCCCTGGGCTACTCAACACCCAACACCCAACACCCAACACCCAACACCCAACGAGGGGCAGGGGGCGGGGGGGGGGGAGGGGGAGGAGGCGGGAGCAGGGTCGCACAATACCCAGGGAGGGAATGACTGTGGCTCCCGGCTCAACTCGACAAACAGGTCCCAAAGAAAAGTCCACCCTCAGCAAACAGGAAGTCAGGCTTCCAGGAGACCGTCCCCAGGTCAGGAAAACGAAGGACAAAAGCCCAATGCAACTGGACCCCTCCCCTTGGGTGGTGCAATTCACACAGGTGAAAGCGAGATTCAGAGCCTTTTACAGGAGGGGCCTCGGTCTGAGAAACACAGGGAGCAGTGCTGGAGGCTGAAGCACCATGGGGCCTGCAGGGCATCTCAAATGGCTTGGCACAAAAATACACATATATTACTTACATAGAGATTGACAAAGCAAATACAACAAACTAGTTTTTTAAAGTCTCCAAGAAAATCAACTTTTTATGATCATATTTGCAAACAATTCTCAGAACAGTCTATATTTTGAAATGATTGTACATGTAAAATATGTATCATTTTGTTAAGAATTTTTAATCTGAATGGACACATCAAAGGTATGTATCAGTATCACATGGGTCAGGAGGATGTACGGATTTGGGATTTTTCCTTTTTAACAATGAATAGGTATTATCAGACAGAGATGAGACTTTCTTTTTCGGTGATGGAGGCTGGGAGTTGATGAGCTCTTTTGATCCGGTAGAGATGGCGCTGTCTGAAGCTGCAGGAGCAAACAGCTCCATTGATTGCTTCCTTTTCATCTGAGGATTCAATCCCGCTTATCCACACAAGGGCGGGCTCCCTGAAGGCCAAGGCCAAGTCCCTGGCCCTGGCCCTTATGCTCAGGATGGGTCTCTGCTCACTAGGCTTCAAACACCTAACTCCGGGCTCTCTGACAACTGGCCCCCCCCCGGGACCCACTGTCTGAACTGCACTTTGCTTCCTAGGTCTTGCTCTGAAGTCCAGCTGCAAAAAATGAAAGTGAAAATACAAAGCACACAAACAGTTCTAGCCTTGAGAGCAATAACCCTGTTTGCACAAAGGATAACAACTTCCATCCTGGAACAACCTGATCATTCACAACTTAGGTCCTTACCCATTTAATATGTCAAGATAATATCCAGTGTGGGCAGAAAAAAATAAATAATGCAGCCGTTAGAAGAACCAATGGAGGTCATACCATGCAATTCATTAAGTAGAATATTATACAGCAGTGAAAATGGATGAACTATAGCGACGTGCATTATCATGACTCATTACCAGAAATCATGTTTAGCCAACAAAGCAAGTCACAGAACCACATACAGGTAAATTACATCTATATAAAGTTTATAGAAACAGGTAAAATTGAGCAATATATACTTTAGGGACATTATATACATAATGAGATAGAGATTCAGATATAGATACAAATATGTTAAGTGATAAAATTAAGAATGGAGGCCGGGCACGGTGGCTCACGCCTGTAATCTCAGCACTTTGGGAGGCGGAGGCGGGCAGATCACGAGGTCAGGAGATCGAGACCATCCTGGCTAACACAGTGAAACCCTGTCTCTACTAAAATAATACAAAAAATTAGCCGGGCACGGTGGCGGGCGCCTGTAGTCCCAGCTACTCAGGAGGCTGAGGCAGGAGAATGGTGTGAACCCGGGAGGTGGAGCTTGCAGTGAGCCGAGATCGCGCCACTGCACTCCAGCCTGGGCGAGAGAGTGAGACTTCGTCTCAAAAAAAAAAAAAAAAAAAAAAAAAAAAAGAATAAGAATGGAAAAAGGAAATAATGGACAGAAGATTTAGGAAGGGGGTTGGGAGTGGAAGCAAAGTAAATGGAGAAGAGGCCCACAAGATGCTTCAAAGGTTCTTGTAAAACGTCTCCTCAGCCAGATGGCAGCCAGGCTGGCATTTTTATTATCCCTTAATCTGTACATTCAAGTTCATTCTTGTTTGTGTGAGGCAAATCTATGTGTACTGATGAAAGTCCACGTGCCCAATGGTGATTATTAAATAGAGCTACTGCGTTTAACTGTTTTAGAGCTTATATAAGGATAGAAAATTTCTGGAATATTCCAAAATCATTCGCTAGAGTTACTTTTGATGGTTATACTCCCTTTTTTAAAACTATAAGCAAATATTACTTGTATTAAAAAAAAATTGTAAGTCTACCCAGACTTTGTTTAAGCAACTGAATGACCACATAGAGAGCCATGTTGGGTAAAAAGTGGCTGCAAACATCCCTCCAAATCTGCAACTTTTTGATTCCATGCCCCCAAAATACCAGAAGTCACGTATTTATCCAACATGAAGTTTACACACCAGCCCTGAAGTGTTTCTTCTCACTTTTTATACTGCCCGGCATGGAAAGTGAAGGGGGTGCACGTCCCGCCCCTATCCCCACCATCTTCACCTGCTTTCTCCCTTCATAAGGGTCTCTTCATCCCATTTTAATTCTACAAGGATTTGCTCACCATTACTCTCTCCCAGCACTGCAAGGGGAAGATTTTGTAGAGATTTTCTCCAGCATTCCCCTCCAAAGAGAAAGCACCCAGGGAGGGAGCACAGCTTTCTAGCATCTTTAAAATCATCATTTATTTTGCATCTCTGATAACCAGGCCCTTTTCTCTTTTTTGATTCTATTAATTTCTTTTCAAATTCTCTCAATTAGGATAAAGAAATGGATTGAGGTTGGGTACGATGGCTCACGCCTGTAATCCCAACATTTTGGGAGGCCGAGGCAGTTGGATCACCTGAGATCAGGAGTTTGAGACCAGCCTGGTCAACAATGGCAAAACCCCGTCTTGACTAAAAATACAAAAATTAGCCAGGCGTTGGTGGCGTGTGCCTGTAATCCCAGCTACTTGGGAAGCTGAGGCACGAGAATTGCCTGAACTCAGGAGGCAGAGGTTGCAGTGAGCTGAGACTGCACCACTGCACTCCAGCCTGGGCAACAGAGTAAGACTCTGTCTCAAAAAAAAAAAAAAAAAAAAGAGGAGAGAGGGAGGGAGAGAAAAAAACAAACGGATTGAGAGGAACAAAATGAGATGGAGGTGTCCCCACCTGCCACTGTCCATCTGTCCATCCTGCCTACCCCTTCCCCACCACCTTCCTGAGCAGGACATGGGACAGTTCCCTGGGAGGGATGGGGCGGTCCAGAGTCCTGTGGGCCTGAACGGAGACCAGGAGGACCGCGGTGGATGACCAGGTGGAGGCACTAGACACTTCCTTGCCCCAGACTAAAAGGGCTTGTTTTCCTATCCCGAAAACAAGTGCAAGAGAAATCTTCACATCCCTTAGTTGCTCTTCATTTTCATTCCTATCCTTTCTGTCTCTCGTGTCCCCCAGTGGCACCCAGAACTAACACCCGTGACCCCAGGACCCACAGCAACCCCTTACCGAAGCGTCTCTCCTCGAAGCCTCTCTTCTCAGAACAAATGGCTGATAAAAGAGAGGTGAGTTGATCTAGATTCCAGCTACCTCTACCCCACAGCTCAGTATCTCTGAGGACACTGCAGCCACCTGCACCACCTCACACCTGGGTCTCCTTCCTCCCACCCTAGAGGGGAAATATGGGAGAGGAGGTGAAAGAGAAAAAAATACCAAAATAGACACAACCCAAAAAATAATCGCACAACAAGGAAGGAGGCAGCATGGCTTCCTAAAAAGGAGCAAGAACTGGAGGTGACAGGCCAGCACCCCTCACAAGGCAGCGCTAGGCAGGGATGAGACCCATGGCCCATTCCCTTCCCTCAAAATGGGCGTGGGATTCAATCAGAAAGCTCCCTAAGAGATCCTCTACCTGAGATGCGTCAAGACAGCAAAGCACTGTTGCCACTCCATGCCCTGATGGTATATCTAAGGCCATGATAATCCAGTGCATCATAAAAGTCCAGCTGCAGAAGGTAACCTTCCTAGCACACATTTTCCTGGCAGCAGTTTCAGAAAAAGTCCTGATTAGATGCAATCACATGTGTGCAGAGCAATCTCTGCGAGGCTGCACAAGGTCTTGAGACCAACGCAGATCACCATTTCAAATCAGGAAAAGGCAGGTAGGCACGGGTTCTCTTTCTCACCCTGAAAGCTTGCAATTAGCAATGTAGCTGCCACCTGGCTGTGAACAAGAAGGTACAATATAAAACTCTCCCTTTAAGAAAGGAGTGAGTGAAACATGACCGAGTTTTTCCTTCTGCCTCCCACTAGGAAAAAAAAATGGCTTTAAAATGCTATAAGAAAGTAATAACAGGTTCAAAAATCCTTTTTCCACTTACTTTTAAAAACTTTTAAAATGCCATAATAAAGTAATAGTAAGTAAGCTTTCCCACACTAGAATTCCAAGCCTGGCTCCAGGATACTAAATCCTATCTTGGACAACACACTTCTCAAATCTCCTCAAAAAGGAAAGTTCAAGGAAAGTAGGAAACTCTGATGCGGAGATGGGAACGGGAGGCTCTACAAGATGAGTGAGGATGGTTCAGCCTGAACCAAAGAGGAAGAGGGTAAGCAGTCTCCGTGGCGGAGACTGGAGTTACCACCAGGTGATAATTTGCTCCATGCCTGCAACAAGGAGGAGACAGCAAGGCGTGCGGAAACCTATGCAGAGAACTGTGCAGAGAACAGGACCCTAGGACTTAGGTGCAAGCCCTCTTCCCACCCTCTGTGCACAGGCGTACAAGCATGCACACACACACACACACACACACACACACACACATAGTGGCTGAGGTTCTTCCTCCAGAGCCTAGGAGAGGAGCAAGCATATTCTCCGACAGTCTGAGTAGAATCCAATGCATTTTGTGATTGAATAATGCTAATCACATAAAAATAAGATGCTCTTTTTCCTTCAGCAGCCCCACAGACACAATATGCCTTAGCCAAAAACGAATCTTGTCCCTGCCCTGGAAATTCAGATTTTACATTATAAGTCAGTAACACCCAACTTGTACAACCATAAACAGTGAAAGGCTCCAAATAAGCCTATAACCCTATTTTCTTTTCAGCAACATCACAGTATGGATTAGACTTCATAGTGGTTCTCTGAATTTATCCTGGGAGAACAGGGTATAAGCTGAGATTTGGCTTTTATCTTGAACATGCAACAGTAATGGCTCTACCACGCATATTAGCAGCCTCAGAAAATATGAATTAACAGCTAACAAGAAGCCTCTTAGTACGGTTGGTACAAAATATCAGAAAAAGATGTCAAGCCTGCTATTCAGGGGAAAGCATGCCAGATATTCTGATGACAGAAGCACACAATCTAAAATGTGGCTGACTTAATGCCGTGCAGAAAAATGGAGGGCGAGAGACAGAGGAAAAAAAAACACAAAACACACAAGTGACTGCCAGCAGTGAGTCCTTCCGATCATTCAGTGACATTAGCCTGAAAACCTCCATGAACCTCAGCCAATGGTATCGCAATTGCTGAGATAATTATTAGACAAGACTGGGAACTCAACAATTTAAGTGTGAAAGCACTACAGGATCAATATTAATATTGATAGTAATAAGAAGAAACAAACAGATCATTTTCACATGGAGAGCTGCAAGCTTTAAGATTTCTCCTATTTTACACGTGCCCAGCAATGGGGCAGCCAAGACATGAACACAAGTGCATGTTACCATGGTGCTGTCCTCTCCCCACTGCCTGAGCAACCAGAGCTCCCCCATCCTCCCACATCCTCATGACTCCCCAGCCTCCATGAGGCCCCACACCACCTGGCCTCCCCGCCTGGCCTCCCTGCTTCCCTGAGCTGACGCCAGCCCTCTCCCTCAAGCTCTGTGCTTCCTCAGGGCCTCTGCCTTTCTCTTCCTTGGGCCTGGAAGCAGCACCCACCATCTCCCCACCTGGGCCTGCAGCGGATGCCACCTTCCCGGCCAGGCTCCCGAGGTGCCCCTGCACCCACACACATTCACACCACCCCCGCTCTCATTGTTTTCCTTGCCACCTTTGCTAGCTGTGGTACCGTATGTTTTACTAAATTGTGCTTATTGTTTATATCCTCCACTTGTCCACCAAAACATGAGCTCTGTGAAGATGCGTTTGAGTCTGTTTTGTTCACCACTGCATGCCCAACGCTGGACCTGGGCAGGCGCAGAGGAGCTGCTCATCAGGGACCTGCCTCACTAGGGAGGAATGAATAAATGCACGCACAGATAGATGGACTCACGGAGGAGTTGGTCAGGCTCCTGCACCTGCCCACAGCAGAGAACTGGGGAGCCATGGCCTGTCCAACTACAGAGGGAAGGGAGAGGTGGAAGGAAGCCGCAGTCCCTGGAAACTAAGAAAAGGTGACACACACTGTCCTCCAGCCACAGAGATTAAAAACACTGACGCGTGAAGAATCAAGTGAATGCTCCCTCTCTCTCTGGTTCACCGCTGCACTTGGGGATGCCAAACAGACTCAAAGACGTCTTCGCAGACCTCATGTTTTCAGGGACGGGTGGAGGACATAAGCAAGGGGTGTGTGTGTGTGTGTGTGTGTGTGTGTGTGTGTGTGTGTGTGTGTGTGTGAAGGATGCGACACACAAACCCAGGGGTCCTGCTGTGTATGTGTGTGTGTGCAGGATGCCACACACAAACCCGGGGGTCCTGCTGTATGTGTATGTGTGTAGGATGCCACACACAAACCCCAGAGTCCTGCTCTGTGTGTGTGTGTGTGTGTGTGTGTGTAGGATGCCACAAACAAACCCCAGGGTCCTGCTGTGTGTGTGTGTGTGTGTGTGTGTGTGTGTAGGATGCCACACACAAACCCCGGGGTCCTGCTGTGTGTGTGTGTGTGTGTGTGTAGGATGCCACACACAAACCCCAGGGTCCTGCTGTGTGTGTGTGTAGGATGCCACACACAAACCCCGGGGTCCTGCTGTGTGTGTGTGTGTGTGTGTGTAGGATGCCACACACAAACCCCAGGGTCCTGCTGTGTGTGTGTGTAGGATGCCACACACAAACCCCGGGGTCCTGCTGTGTGTGTGTGTGTGTGTGTGTGTGTGTGTGTGTGTAGGATGCCACACACAAACCCCGGGGTCCTGCTGTGTGTACTGTGAGGAAATCGTGAGAAAGCCGCAAAGAAGGCAGCCCCCTCCATCTCCTCAGGGGTCTAGAGGAGGCACCACCAGGGGAACTGAAAGACAACTTAGTAGCATGAGTCTCGAAGGTGAGGCCGGCTCTGGGAGAGCAGGAAGCAGATGGGGCGAGGGGCCTTACGTCCACCAGCCAAGGAGGGCAGGAAAGCCACTGTGGCCAGAGCCTGGAGAGCTTCAAAGGCCAGGCTACCTGCGCGTGGACTCCTAATGTGTGTCTGCCACTCCCAGAAGGTTCTGGAAAGCAGAGCCGCTGCCTGCCGGGCTATGCAGAGACTGAGCCCACTGCATGTCACACGCTCACTTATTAGGCATGAAAATACAAGTTTTGTGAAAGGCGGCAGAAAGGCTTTTCTATAGAAAATGAAAGTGAGTGGCTTGAATGGCAAAGAGCATTAAAGGGCTGGAGCTGGAGCGCGACGCGGGTGCCTGGCACAGCCCCGCCCGGCCCCCAGGGTCTTTGAGGAAACCTTTGGCCCCGCCACCGTTCCTTGCTACCTGCCGCGCAGAACAGAGAGAGGGGAGGATAAAGAGGACACGGATTTCATTTCATGTTTTTTTTTTTTTTAAATCCAAAATACTACCCTAAGATCAATTCCTCCTGCACCTCGATGGGAAAAAGAAAAAGGGCAGTGAAGTTCTAATTTCATTTAGTAGTAACTGACATAATGAGGGTCAGGCGCCGCGACCTCACACCCTCTTCAATAAACTTGCTCGTCGCATGCAGTACTTCATTTTCTTGAACTCGGCTCTACCTGGAAGTTCGCACGCCCGCATTGAAAGAGACGTGCAGATGAAACGGGAGGCAGCAGCGAGGGCACTGTGAAACCTGCTCCATCGGGTCTTCCGCTCCTGCAAACGATGGGAGGCAACCTGGTGCGGGTGGCCCGGTGGAGGGAGGCTGACCTGGGCTGCCTGGCACACACCCCTGCGGATAAGTATTGGCCCTGGCGAGAATCCATTCACCTGGGGGAGCAGGTCGTTTTACATCTGCAGACATGTGTGCTCCAACTCCAGCGAGTATCTGGGAATAGGTGAGAGGCATTTGGAGGAAAAAAGCATCCTGGGCTGCTCCCTAAGGGCTGGTGTCTGCTTCCCACTGTCACTCGCTTGAGTGACACTATTTACAGAAAATGTCAATACTACAACTGATAACTCATCCAAGGACCCCTAAAGAGGGCAGGATGAGGCTACAACGAGATACCCTGACAGCTAAAGATGTAGACTGCTACTATTCCCCAGGCGCTGACGCCTGCACGGGCTGCCGTTGGCTCTTCCACGGATGGCTGCCTTTGAATTTCCCCATGTCGTGCTGAAGACACACTACCACTATCCCCGTGTCCCTGAATGAGGAAACGGTGGCACCGTGTATCCCTGAGGCTTTAATGAAATGATTTGCACTGGGCATATATTATGATCAGACTGAGTAATATAATTTATACATGAACATGTATATAAACAAACCGCTAAGCTTGAAGCACTGATCAAAGGTAAATGACCTTGAGGCTGAAACAGGTTATGGAGACAAATACCAACCCAACAATGAACTACCAAATGTGCACCTCCAAAAAACACCAGATCTAGTAAAACAGCACACCCATCCTCGGGCACTGCATGCAGGTGCCACTGTATTTTTTTTAGGTGTACATTTAATCCAATGAGTCCTCAGATGGATGCTGCTTTTTAAACAGTGGACATGTCTGGCCGACCCCCTATCATCACAGCAGCGACCTCTTATTAAACATGGACTGTGTGAAGGTGACGTGGCAGCAGGCACTGTATTTACTTCCCTAGTCCTCCCCTCATCCCCACCATGCGCACGCTATCGGTCCCATTTGGCAAAGAACACCGACCATCTGGCAAGCCCTTTGCCTGAGCCACCGGGGTCGGCAGGAGGGCACAATCCGAACACGCCACGCTGCTTCTCAGAGACAGAAGGGCATGGAGAACACACAGTGAGTACTCCTTCTGCGGCCCACAGGACTGCTGTAGCATCGACAGCGACGGTGTTTGGAGGCTCCAATCAAGTGCTACAGAAATGTTGGTTAGGGGGCTTCCCATGTGGCTCCCCTGAAGCCCACTCCCTCCCTGGAGAAGTTCTTTGGATGAAGTATTGGTTTGGTTCAGCAGTTAAGCCACAATCAACATGGTTTAAGCAGCAAGCGCTTGTCCAGCCCACAGCCCAAACCAACCAACTCTCTTGACCATTATCCCCAAGCCCAAAATGGATGCTTGCAGCACAGAGGGGCCAGCGGGGAGGGGTCCAGCTCCTGGGAGCAGAACCGAGGGGTGAAACCAGGCGACAGGAGCAGTAACAGCTCCTCACACATGAGAAAATCCCAACACTGATTTCTTGCTGGCCTCCCAGTGCTATTTTCTAAGCATTCCTTTTCATTAGAGGAAAACATGAAAGAACAAAGACCCAAAAAAATAGAATAAAGCCTGCCTGATGATTTTAAATACTGGAGTAGGATGCTTGCCATGTGTTTAATCTCAGCCAGAGTATAATTTTGCTCAACATTCCAAGCAAAATCTTTGTTTTGATCCTTAGCATAAAATGCCACCCAGTTCCTAATTATCTGACATGCTTCTTCCTATACAACAGTAATTATAATACAGCAAACTAATGAGTAATGGATGTACACATTTCCCTAAGACCGTTCTCCACTTGTCTGATCCAGAAAAATTAGTCATTAAGCTTTCTTACATAATTTCCCATTAAAATCCGCTTGATTTCCTGCCTGCCACAAATATTTGGATGTATCTTCATTAATTTTTTAAAAAAGAAAGTCAAAACCTCTTTCATCAGAATGTGGCTGATGACGGTTTCTAGTGAGCTTGACCATTTCTGGTTTTTAATGAACCATTATTAGATTTTTAAAAGATGTTTTCTTAAAACAAAAACATCCACAGCAGAGCTGTAACTCCACATCCGCGATGCTCCTAACTCAACGCGGTCATGACTGATTCCACATCAACTCACTCCCCACCATACATGTGGTGGGGTTTTTTCCTTTATAAAAATCTATAGCAAGTTACTGATATTGATTGATTGATTTTTTTTTCCCTTCAAACAAAAGCATGACTAGTCTGAAGCATCAATGACAGAATCAAACCAAGGAAAGCGAAAGCCCCATTTGCCAACATACAAAAGCAGCACTGGGTGGGTAACAAAGTAGCCCACGGCTGTTCACAGTCACTGCTAAGGACCATGGCCAGCCATGCACCGGCTGCCAGGAGGGAATGGCACGGCTCACTGCCCACTGCACCCACGCACCAAACAAAGGGTAAGCTGAGGCAGGTAGGAGCTCTTGGTTTTCTTTTCACTTCTCTTACAACATTAACTTTTGCCATTTTTTATTTAAAGCATCCAGAGTGTTTTTAATATAGTTTGAGATGAGTCCATCTCAATACATCCATGATTAAATATCAAGCAAACATTTAAAAAGACAGTTTATGAAAAGGCGAGGACAAAGAAAAATGTCACTGTAGGAGAAAAGCTGGACAAACCACTGCATATGTGATACATATACAACCCTCGTAAAACACAAAGGTAGGGCAGGTGCAGTGGCTCACACCTGTAATCCTAGCATTCTGGGAGCCCGAGGCAGGAGGATCGCTTAAACCCAAGTCTGACACCATTCTGGGTGAAACCCCATCTCTACAAAAATACAAAAATTAGCTAGGTGTGATGGCGTGGGCCTGCAGTCCCAGGTATTTGGGAGGTGGAGGTGAGAGGATCACTTGAGCTGGGCAGGCAGAGGTTGCAGTGAGCTGAGATCACACCGTTGCACTGCAGCCTGGGCAAGAGAGAGACTTTGTCTTAGAAAAAAACTAAAAAGCTACAAAGGTAGAAAAACAAAAAGCATCCCCAAGAGTAACAGCAGGTACCTCCAGCTAGAAGAATTATAGGCAACTGTTTTCTTCTTCTTTATAGTTTTCCATATTTGCATATAACACATTGATAACTTTTTTAAAAGTTAAACTATTTCCTGCAAAATCTACTTTTTGTGATCAACTCTACTTTTTCTCCTGTATTTTCCTTTTTAAAATTCTAAAACTTAAACAAGTGTCTGCCAGGTGTCCGATCTAATGCGGACAGCCACTTCACAGGGCTGGAGTCCCAGCTTGCAATTTAAAAGCAAAGCTAGGCCGGGTGCAGGGGTTCACGTCTGTAATCCCAGCATTTTGGGAGGCCAAGGCACATGGATCAACGAAGGTCAGGAGTTCGAGACCAGCCTGACCAACACAGTGAAACCCCCGTCTCTACTAAAAATACAAAAAAATTAGCTGGGCGTGGTGGCAGGCACCTGTAATCCCAGCTACTCTGGGAGGCTGAGACGGGAGAATTGCTTGAACCCGGGAGGCGGAGGTTGCATTGAGCCGAGATCGCGCCACTGCACTCCAGCCTGGGTGCCACAGCAAGACTCTGTCTCAAAAAAAAAAAAAAAAAGGCAAAGCTACCAGAGAACCAAAGGTGTCCCAATTCCCTTGTCCCACTGGATATGGCACAAGCGAGGACACATGTATGAATCATTACCAAATTTCAAGGCCAAAATGGCAGGTGACATGGGAGCGGGTCACTCATGAGCTACAGGACATGAAAAGAGAAGACCGATGCAGAGATGAGGACAGGCAGCCACAGAGCAGGGCAGAAAGGATGGGCAGTGAACATTCAACACTACAGTTGAGGGGGAGAATACAGGAACCAGAGTCTGCCCAGCTAGAAAAGCCATAGGAAGGAGTGAGATGAGACCTCTTCCATGCACATAACCAGCAGTGTGAGGCCGGCTGCAAAAGTGCCAGTCATCTCATGAACTGCAAGATGAAGCACTGCCTCCCAGCAAAAAGGAGAGCTCCAGCCAATGAACAAGAGCCCAGAGGTATCACTGGACCAGGAGAATCAGTTGTGATCCCAAACTAAGACTCCTTGTGCTGAGTCTAGATTTGCGGACACGTGCATTAGCAGATCTGTGCCAAATACCCTAAATCTTTATTCAGCTACTGGTTTTCTCACTGTACTTTCTAAACTGAAGTGGAAGTCTGTGGAGACCGCCAAGAGCCTTTGGGTTGGCCAGTGTCCCCCTACCCTCAACCGGTGTTGACTGGCTCAGCCCCAATGACAGCAGGTGTGCAGGGTCTCCCACAGTGAGGGAAGAGTCAGCCCTCAGGAGAAACACAGAGGAAGGACACTGAGGTGGGCAGACACCACCCTCCCCAAAGATGCCCAAGTCCTAATCCCCAGAACCTGCAACTGTGACTTTACATGATAAAGAGGCACTGTCGCTGTGATTAAGTCAAGGATTTTAAGACAGGGAAATCATTCAAGATTATCCAGATGGGTCCAACGTAATCACAAGGGTCCTTATCAAATGAAAAAAGAAAGCAGAGGAGCCGGAGAAGGGGACGTCAGGATGGAGTGGAATGGAAGAAGAGATCGGAAGATGCTACACAGCTGGTTTTGAAGACAGAGGAAGGGGCCATGAGCCAAGGAGTGTGGGCAGCCTCTAGAAGCTGGAAAAAGCAAGGAAACAAATTCTTCCCTAGAGCCTGCAGAAGGAACGCGGCCCTGCCAACACCTTGATATTAGGATCTGACCTCCAGAACTATAACAGAATAAATGTGTGTTGTTTGAAGCCACTGCATCTGGGGTAACCTTGTACAGCTGCAATGGGAAACGGACACAGGGACTAAGGCACAAGGGCTCCCGTGAAAGCCCTTGTAACTACTACCTATCTAAAGCGGAAGCACAGTCTAACGGGATATCACATTAGGCATATGGCAAGTCGACTGTACATCAAAATCTTTCAATCATGAGTTCAGATACACCAAGACTGCGAATGAGCTCAGCCTCTGCAGCAGCTGGCTCTGGTCAGTTCGTGAACCTGCATTTGAGGCCAACTGCAGCTCCAAGACCCACGTCTTGTAGTCCTACGGGGAGTTTTACTGTCAGAGGTACGAGACTTGTCAGTTTTGGGACAGCAGGGGATGGATGGTGGCCTGTCCTGTGCCTTCTCTTCTTAGTGTCTGGGGGCTCATTTTTGCCTCCCCAAACCTACTTTGACCCCAAAACCATACAGAAGCTTCAGATGGCAAAGGCTCCAACAAGCCTTATTTTAACCTTTCAATCTCCAGAGGACAGGTAGTTGTTGAATCCCATCCTCATCACCCAACAAGGTGGACACTGCCTTTGCCCAGCCCAATTCTCGTACAACCCCAGCTCCAAGCTCTCCTCCCAACCACTCAGGCTGATGGGCCTGGGGCCTCGATTTCTGCCCACCCAGCTTCACTTCTTTCCTCGGCTGCCCAGCCACTACTTCCAAAATTCCCAACAGTCCAGAGCTGAGGATTCACATGTAGACAAATGTGTGCACCTCACATGGGAGGTCATCAGTGGGGGTCAGGTGAATACAGTCATGAAATAACCTCAATGTGGGTGCTCACTGCTCCCTTCCAGGTCCTGGATTTTGTGATGTGGGGAGCGTGAGCTGTCAAGCATTCTGTATTAACTGGAGTCTGATGCTGACTGCACAGCTGTCCCCTGTCCCACAGACACCCCACCTGCTTGAGAGATCTGCACCTCCTGCCAGTTCAATCCCCACACACAGGCTCTAAGATCAGGCACCCCTGGACACCAAACCTGGATTCACTATTTGCCACTTTAATCCTTACAATGGCAATGACAGCATGGATTTTGTAAATTATTATAAGAGGTCACCAATGTACATAAGATACTTGGCAACAGTGGCTGTCCACTAAATTGTGGCTATTACAACCATCAGCACAAAGTAGCCTCCAGCATATACTGTAAGACTAGTTCCCTGGAAGGACTGAGATCAACTTTCCACCATATTCACAGAAAGGACCAGCGCCAAGGCAACACTTGCCTGGCCACAGGGGCTCTGTCACAACGCAGCAAGGAAAGTTACCAGGCAGCAGAGGTGTGGCCTAGGGGCCACAGAGCTAGCTAGAGACTCAGGCAAGGGGACGTGGTGTTTTGTGGCTCTCAGAAAGAGAGAAGACACACAGCAGGAGAATCAAGTAATAATCAACAGCCAGACAATGATCACAAAAATTAACCCCACTGGCTGGGCGCAGTGGCTCATGCATGTAATCCCAGCACTTTGGGAAGCCGAGGTGAGCTGATCACCTGAGGTCAGGAGTTTGAGACCAGCTGACCAACACAGTAAAATCCCATCTGTACTAAAAATACAAGATTAGCCGGGCATGGTGGCACATGACTGTAATCCCAGCTACTAGGGAGGCTGAGGCAGGAGAATTGCTTGCAACCCGGGAGGCGGAGGTTTCAGTGAGCCAAGATCACGCCACTGCACTCCAGCCTGGGCGACAGAGCGAAACTCCGTCTTCTCAAAACAAACAAAAAATTAACCCCACATACAAATGCACACAAGAGAAGGCTGGAGAGGTATGGTCTCCTACAGCTACTATATGAAACAAGCGGAGCAAACATCATTTATTGAGAAGACAATCTTTCACTGACTTAAGGAAAATGACAATCTCTCGAGCATCTCGCCATATGCAACTCCCACACACTGTGCTTCGACTTTTCCCTGCATTTCTGTCATTTTTCCATCTCACTCTGTAATTCTAGATCTGAAATCAGCCAAAAGTCCATAATCAATATCCTTATAAAGCCTAAGAAATAAAAATGAAACCGCCAGTGGGAGGGGAGGGGGCGGGGGAGGGGGAGGGGGCCTGAGTGCACAGATGGTGGATGGAGCCGGGCTTGCTGGGGTGAAAGAATTTGTGCGCTCCAGCAGCCTGGCATGGCTCAGGAATGCCAACCACGTGGCCAGGTTCCCCCTCAGATGCAAAGTCCTGAATGTGGGGGGGATGGGGAAGGAGGTCTATTCTCCTTAGAGGGTAAATTGGTAAAACTTTCTGGAGTTAATGCAACAATATAGCTATTATTGTTAAAAACAAATTTCTGACAGACCAATTTTTGACAGATCCAGGACAACATCACAAAGAGCCTAATGAGGTTATCATGAAAATATCCTCACTGCATTGCTGAGAATAGTGAAAACTGAGAAGCGACTTACATGTCCAAAGAAGTGTGGCTAGTTATGACACATCTGTGTACTCAAGATGATACAGACAGAATTTGGTGAAGATGCTCTACTTATGATATTGCTAGATGTGAAATGCAGGGCATGAGGCTTTACGGATACCTTTATACACAGGAGCCTCTCTGTTCTAAGGTGTGAATGGGAGCAGGTAAAGCACATCTGTAATGACAGACACAAGAACTAAAACACTGCACCTTGAAATGCTAGGCTGTGGGCATTTTTTTCCACCCTGTTTCTACCGTGAATAATCCTACAACGAACACAAATTATAGATGTTTAAAGTAGGCCAGGAGCGGCAGCTCACTACGGTAATTCCAGCACTTCGGGACGCTAAGATAGGCAGATGGTTTGGGCAAAAGAGTTCAAAACCAGCCTGACAACAGAGCGAGACCTCGTCTCTACAAAAAAACGCAAAAAATAAAATAAAATAAAAATTGGCCAGGCATGATGGTGCACACCTGTAGTCCCAGCTATTCAGGAGGCTATGGTGGGGGGATCACCTGAACCTAGGAGGTCGAGGCTACAGAGAGCCATGATCGTGCCACTGCACTCTAGCCTAAGCAACAGAGTGAGACCCTGTCTCAATCAATAAGGTAAGTAAGTAAAGTCTGTTTCCAAATAATAGAACAGCCCTGACAGGCACAGGAATGGAGTGCAATTTTTCCGGTGTTTTGCCCACTTATTAATAACTGCTTGATTTAGGTCAATTTAAATGTCTAAGCAGCCCCACCTCCACACTGAGATGCTTGCCTGGCCAATGTCTTCATTCTGCTCCCTGAATCCTCCTCCTCTCATCAGATGTCACCCACCGTTTCTCATCTCCAGGGGATTTTCCAATATCCCATCCTTTATCTATTTCTACTGATTGCTACATGTCATGGACAAAATACTAACTTGTCACACAGCAACTACTGTTTCACTTTTGCTTGATACAGTTTTGCAGAAGACTCCAAGTTTGCCAGTGTTTCCATCTCAGAAGAAAAACAAGACTAGAATGCCTCCACCCCAAAACTTTGGAGACAAATCCTTTCCAAAACAAAACCACCATATCTGTTCCACTATTTCATTCCATCTGTGGAAGCTTTCCTATTTGTTTCTGGACACAACCCACCCACATACGATTTGAGAGAAAACTGTGGTACTTTTAATTTTTAGGTTTATCATAAATCATAACTATTCTGAACCCAAAGTAGCAACGAGCACCTCAAATTTCCAAACTCAGGGTGGCAATGACCTTTTACCCATCACCCATGTTGTTCAGGTCCTCATCAGTATCTCCCTTTGATATTAATACACACAATAATTTTGTAAAGTTCTTATTACTTGTAAAAACTTTTTTTAATTTTTAAGGTTTTTTTACTTCTCCAAATAATTCATTCCTTGTCACCCTAACTTATTCACAAGAGGCTTGTTAAATCTTTTTATGTAATGAGATTTCAAGAGGGATAGTCTATAATTTCAAATGATTTTCCTGCTGCAAAACTAAAAATCTAATTCACAGTCTCCAAGTAAACAGGTGTGAGTTATAAGCAAAGGGAAGTCATCGGAAGAGACAGGCCAAGACATCTGTGGTGCACCAAAGCCCTTCCCATACCCTCTCCCATGGAAGGCCACAGGACCAAGAGCACAGCTGGTCTGCAGGTTCCTGTCAATCAAGAGAACCTAGATATGCCTCTGGATTCATCTGGCTGAGTGGCCTTGACTTTGAAAAATAGCCATCCAGATCCAACTGCCTCTCAGTCCTCCACATTATAAATCAGTCCTCTACTTTATAAATCAGTCCTCCACATTATGTGTCAGTCCTCTACTTTATAAATCAGTCCTCTACTTTATAAATCAGTCCTCCACATTATGTGTCAGTCCTCTACTTTATAAATCAGTCCTCTACTTTATAAATCAGTCCTCCACATTATGTATCAGTCCTCCACATTATGTATCAGTCCTCCACATTATGTATCAGTCCTCCACATTATGCATCAGTCCTCTACTTTATAAATCAGTCCTCCACATTATGTGTCAGTCCTCTACTTTATAAATCAGTCCTCTACTTTATAAATCAGTCCTCCACATTATGTATCAGTCCTCCACATTATGTATCAGTCCTCCACATTATGCATCAGTCCTCTACTTTATAAATCAGTCCTCCACATTATGTGTCAGTCCTCTACTTTATAAATCAGTCCTCTACTTTATAAATCAGTCCTCCACATTATGTATCAGTCCTCCACATTATGTATCAGTCCTCCACATTATGTATCAGTCCTCCACATTATGCATCAGTCCTCTACTTTATAAATCAGTCCTCCACATTATGTGTCAGTCCTCTACTTTATAAATCAGTCCTCTACTTTATAAATCAGTCCTCCACATTATGTGTCAGTCCTCTACTTTATAAATCAGTCCTCTACTTTATAAATCAGTCCTCTACTTTATAAATCAGTCCTCCACATTATGTATCAGTCCTCCACATTATGTATCAGTCCTCCACGTTATGTATCAGTCCTCCACGTTATGTATCAGTCCTCCACATTATGTATCAGTCCTCTACTTTATAAATCAGTCCTCCACATTATGTGTCAGTCCTCTACTTTATAAATCAGTCCTCCACATTATGTATCAGTCCTCCACATTATGTATTAGTCCTCCACATTATGTATCAGTCCTCCACATTATGTATCAGTCCTCCACATTATGTATCAGTCCTCCACATTATGTGTCAGTCCTCCACTTTATAAATCAGTCCTCTTTTTCTCGTATTGGAGACATTTGCTTAAGATCATATCAATATCTCCAGTTTCAAAAGAGGCACCGACATACAATACAAATTTAACATTAAACAGTTACTGCCCCAAAAAAGAGAAAGTAAATGAAAGTAATCAATCTCAATTTTCTGTTGTAAATTTCACGCCTGCCTCATGTACTAACCGTAAGAAATTTAACCCTGACATTTTAAGGTGACATTCAGATTCTGCAGACTAAGGAGGAACACATGATATATTTTAAAGCTTTTCTTAATTGAAAAATCCTATTTTGCAACAGAGACATTTTACCTAGAATCTGCACAAAGAATTAGTTTTTCTAGAATTTAATAACTAGCTGGTGAGCAATATCCAACAATCGGCCCAAGAAGACATCTGTTCACTGAAGAGTTTCTCTCCTCACCCCTACCCCCACTAATTATGTTTGGGTCCAAGACAAGCCAATGAGTTCCCTAAAAGAAAGGGACGAGGTCCCTAAAAGAGAGGGGTGATGTGTTACCTGCCATCAGGTTTTCTCTTGGACACAGGGTCCCTTCCTCGCTGGGCAGCAGGAGCTGTTGTTAGGCATCCTCTCCAGCGGTAAGCATGTTTTCCTACTTTATAGGAGGGAGCAACTCATCCATGTGGGGAAGGCATGGTGGGCGGGCAGTAGTGGGGTGGGGGTTATACTTACCCATGGGGGCTGGGTGCAGCCCCGTGGCCTGTCTTCTCACAGCAAGGACAAGCAACTGCCCATCGCATCCACTGCTCTCTCCAGATTCTCAGCTCAAAGGCTCTAAACTTGCCCCCACTGTCAGGCTGTGCAAAAATATCACACAGGACAGTACACTTTCACTCCCACCACACTGTGGCCTGCTAACCACCCTGTCCTGTTCCTGCCAAACCGGATAAGAAGGCAGGACTAAAAGTTACATCTGGGCCACAGTGGACCATGCTGTCCCCAGCCTCACTCTGGCGTGACCCTACTCGCTCTGGGCAGGACTTCTGATCACAGCCCAAGTCCCTGGGTGTTGCTGGGTTCCAAGGACAGCCAGATGCCAGGAGACAATGGTGGCCCACGGACGCCCGTGGTAAGAATACACATCAGCATTTCCGATGGAGCGTCTACAGTGACACAGCCCTTTCCACAGTCCCATGGAACTCAGCAAATGCCTGTCGTCATCCCCACTGGAAGGATGGGGAAGCCGGGCACAATCCCACACCCTGGCCAGGTCACAGGGTGGTGAGTGGGCCATTCAACCCAAGGCCACCGCCCCCGGCCTCATCCGTGCAGGGTCATCCCTACTGGAGGGATGAGGAGGCACGCTGCAATCCCATACCCTGGTCAGGTCACAGGGTGGTGAGTGAGCCATTCAATCCAAGACCACCGTCCCCCTGCTACGTCCAAGCAGGGTCACTCCCACTGGAAGGGCAGGGAAGCAGATGCAATCCCACACCCTGGCCAGGTCACACGGTGGTCAGTCGGCCTTTCGACCCAAGGCCACCTGACCACTGGCCACCACCCCCCGCCATGTCTGTGCAGCCTCCCCTGCAGACACCCATTCCCACCCCACTCCCTGACTGGTAACACCTGCCATTTCATCCCTGGGTGGGATAAAGCCTTACTCAAAATCAGCTTTTCACAGTGAGGACCACTAAGGGCTGGGAGGGAGCTTAGCGGACAGCACGTACCATGACATGGGCACAGGAACCTGCACCAAGCAGCTGACCCTGCCAGGCACCATCCATCAAGTCCTAGGCCTTGACTCAGGCACCGATGGGAAGCAGTCCCTTTCAAAATTCACAACAATCACCATGCAGCACAGGTGAGCAAAGCCTAGATCCCCACAGGGAAGGAAACATTTTCTCCCCAAGAGCCTCCTGGGGCTCCAGCTGAAGAACTGCACCCTCACCCTGTTATGGGCTGAATGCATGTGTCCCCCTGAATCTGTATGCTGAAGCCCTAAACCCCACTGTGATGTCATGAGGAAGTGGGGCCTCTGGGAGGTGATCAGGTTTAGATGAGGTCATGGCCGTGAGGAGCATGATGGGATCAGTGTCCTTACAGGAAGAGGAAGAGACCAGCCTTTCTCTCTCTCTCTCCACCATGAGAGGCCACAGCGAGAAGGCAGCCGTGTGTAAGCCAGGAAGAGAGCCCTCACCGGAGCCTGCCCTCACTGGCTCCCTCATCTTGGACTCCCAACCGCCAGAACTGCGAGACATAAACGACTATTGTTGAAGCCACTCAGTCTTAGGTGTTTTGCTACAGTAGCCCCAGCTAAGACATCCTGGTGGCATGTCACCCACATGACATCCACCATGCCAACTGCCAAACCCAGGAGATATCAGAAGGATCTATCCTTCTCCTCTTCTGCCCACAGGTTGCCCAGAAATGCAGGACAAATCGCTCTAACAGTACCAAACAGATATCACCATAAAGGTCAGCTTTCCAGCCTTGCAGAGAAAACAGGCTCAGGCACAAAGGCCAAGACATCCTCCCTTACTCCCATCTTGCTTGTCTTTCCCACTCAGCCATCTTCACACAACTTTCAGCCTCCCCTCTGCCTTGTGGCCAGCCTCTTCATCGGCATCACCCCGTCCCTGCAATCGCTCCCTCATCAGGGCCAGTATTGTCCAAACACTCATCAAGCTCAAGTCTCTCCCAACCAAAAACCTGGCCTTCCTCATGAGCCGTCTTCCTTCCCTCCCCAGCTTGGCTTCTCCAGGGTGTCTCCCATTCTCTTGCGTCCTCTCCTTCCTCACTTCCACCATCACCACCATCACGCCTCCTATGAACCATGAGATTGGTATTATCAAGACCCCACAGATACAGAGAGGCTGAGCGTCTTACGGAGGAGAGGTACCTCAGAGCTGGTACAGACAGAAGCCCAGGAGGTCTAAGTCCAATGTGCCCACTCCTTACCACCTTTTTACCAAAACCAGTGGCCTATTCAAATCCTCAACCGACGTGACATTCTCACCAGTCCATCTGGACTCCCTGTCCACAGCTCCAGCTTCTAACAGAGCCTGGCCCAGGTCGGGCACACGAACAATGTTTACTGACGTTTAAGGAACTGCCAGGAAGCCTCATCACCCCTAAACAGACTCTAAGCCTCTTGAGGAAATGTTCTATGCTTCTCAGAGCCCAGTCAGCCTCTAGGAACCAAAAAGACTGCACATCCTGATTACATCCGATGTATTCAAAAACCAAGCTGTGCCTCTCTGGCAAACATCCAATAGTTTGACAGCACCCTGTTGGGAAAGAGGCACTCACGTATATTGCTGGTGGCACACTTATTATGGATGGGAATTTGGCAACCTTTAGCGAAACTACATGCACATTACCCTTTTGACTTAGCAATCCTCCTTTCTAGGCATCTATCCCAAAAATACATTGACAAGAAATAAGAAAAAGATAGACGTAGACTATACAGCACTATTTTTCAATAGCAACACACACACACACACACACACACACACACACACACACATATATATAACAAACAAAAACAAGAAACTGGATCGATCCCAACGTCTATTAATAAGAGACCTGTTAATAAATTGGGAACAGTTTCACAATGAGGCCTGTTCTGGAGCCCACACTATGGAGTGGTTTCCAGAACATGTTCCTAAGTTAAAAAGGCAAACGAAAAACAGTGCATGGGAAGCTACCTGTATCCAAGCAGGAGGTTATATAAGTACCCATTCGCATGTATTTGCTTATATTTAAAAGAGACAAGTATAAACAATACTTATTAAAAAATAGTTATAGGTGAAGAGAAGACGACAAGGTGAAAAAGTGACAAAGAGAGAGTCTTTGAATTTATCTTTAAGAATCAAAGCCAGGACTCTTAGAATTTATTTTGATGATGTGACATTGGTTCCACACAAATATGTTAACTAGTTATATAACTATTTCCCTAAAAATTGAAAATAAAGAAATGTATCTAAGTACACCTCCACCAGGATAGAAGAGTCACAGAGAAGACCAATTCCATGTGATTTAAAACACAATAACTGGAGTTTATCACCGAAAGTGAGATACACCCTAAAGAGGAAAAGCAATTTGCAGCACGTTGAACTCATTCTGGTGGTCACACTGTTGGAAGCTCTGCTGGAGCTGTCTTCTGAGAATTGTATGGGGAAGCCCAAAGCAAATGAGGAATTATGTTCGTGTCCCTGAGAACCGTGACTGCTAGAGAGATGACCAATGTACCACATGAGCCTGGGGCATCTGTCCATCTTTATCTTTCCTGTGACATCAGAAATCCAGGAAGTGGTCAATGTCATGTCAAGAGAACACAGAAGGCTTCCTGAAATGCTTCCACACGCAGAAGATGGGATCACTGGAGCATCCATAACAGCTTTCACCGCAATGCACCATGTACATTTAATCCAGAGAGTTCACAATGATCTAAAACTAATTAGTCAATTTTAAACGGAGTCTACTAAACCAAAACTTGTTATTTTTACGATTAGTAAATAAAGAGGGTTATCTTGCCTTTCCTACATGACCCGAAAGGTACTCTTCATAGAATTATCTCATCTTAAACAAATAACAGCAAAAAAAATAATGAGAGAATTATAAAATCATCATTTTGCAACCTCTGACGAGCTAACTGGTCCCGACTGCTAACGTGGGCAAAAGGACAAATAGAAGGTGGGATCCTCCTGATGAACCACACAGACCCGCCCAGAAAGGAGTCCAACCAAACCAAACAAAAGCTAAAAACCTAAACAAGCCTCCAAACACCCACTAATTTATAGGAAAATACAGGAGACAAAGGAGCACGCTGACTGACTCCAAGGGGAGGCATTCGAAACAAACACAGGCCCCGGGAAGGAGAGAAAGACGGTCATGGAACCTACTCATTGGAGGAGTTTCAGAAGAAGTCTCCACCAACTGCAACGTGCACACAGTATTTGATCCTGATTCCAACAGGCAAACTGAAGGGAAAAGTTATGGTAATCATGAGACAACTGGAAATGTGGGCACAGACTGGATATTTGACCATATTAAGGAACTGTTCATTTTCTAAAGTGTGGTAATGTGGTCATGTGTGCTTTAAGTTTTCATCTTTTAGAGATAGATACTGAAGTATTTACGGATGAAATGGCAGGGTGTCTGGAATTCACTTCAAAATAATATTGAGGCCGGGCCTGGTGGCTCATGCCTATAATCCCAGCACATTGGGAGGCCGAGGCAGGCGAATCACCTGAGGTCAGTAGTTCGAAACCAGCCTGGACATGGTGAAACCCCATCCCTATTAAAAATACAAAAAAATTAGCCAGGTGTGGTGGTGGGCACCTGTAATCCCAGCTACTCAGGAGGCTGAGGCAGGAGAATCGCTTGAACCCAGGAGGTGGAGGTTGCAGTGAACTGAGATCATGCCATTGCACTCGAGCCTGGGCCACAAGAGCAAGACTCCGTCTCAAAAAAATAAATAATGATAATAATAATATTGGTAGGTGGCAGGGTATATACAGGATGAACTAATTACTGAAGCTGGTTGAGGGTACACAGGAGATCATTACGCTTATTCTACATACATATATGTGTGTTTGGATTTTTTGGTAAGCTCTAGAAAATAATACTTAGCTCAAAAAATTCAAGCCTAAATGTTTCTTCTGCCTTTGTTCACTATGCACACACAACACATATACACATACACACAAGAAAATATGTGTTATATCAGTATATAGAAAATTCTGTATTTTCTATGCTTATTACACCTTCTTCCAGAGAGGTGAGAAATGAATTATCACTCAATACTCTTAGTCTCAAATTCTGACACCTATATATCAGGAATTATATCTTCAAATTCCTGGGAGGATTAAACCAATTAATAAATATAAACTAGGGCCATGTGCGGTGGCTCATGACTGTAACCCCAGCAACTCGGGAGGCCATAGTGGGAGGATCACTTGAGGCATTCAAGACCAGCCTGGGCAACACAGCAAGACCCTGCCTGTCTCTACAAAAATAATAAAGAATTAGCCAGGTGTGGTGGTGTGCGCCTGTAGTCCTAGCTACCTGGGAGGCTGAGGTGGGAGGATTGCTTGAGCCCAGGAGTTTGAGGTTATGGTGAGCTACGATTGTGGCACTGTACTCCACCCTGGGCAACAGAGTGAGACCCTGTCTCATAAATAAACACATACACACACACCAAATGATATGATTCTTGTCACATAACCTGCAAATTGCTGTTGTGAATAGTACTCGTTTCAGATAATGTTGAGGTCTGCTCTGACCCTTCTGCTGTTCCCAAACAGTGTGAAGCCAACTGGCCGCAGCCTCCTGTTGCTGCCCCTGCCACTGAGGCCCAAGGACAGGAGACTCTTCCGCTGCAGGAGCAGCGGGCATTCACGAAGTGCACCCGCGAGGCAAGCCTGCCAGTCAAGATGTGAAGTTTAACCTGAGGACATGCAGCTGCTGTTAGCTATGCCACCATCCCTCTGGCTTATGAGATAGAAAGTTATTATTACTTTGAGGATTAAAAAAGTTATATCCAAGCATTAATTTTTTTTGTTTGTGTGCAGGTGGAGACTGTTTTCTTACTAAAATATTCAAAACACCATGTCACTCTCCTTTCTCTTTGTCCTATGGCAGAAAACACCAGCTGAAGAGACATTTGCAAAGCTCCGTGCCCCTCCCAAGGCTGACGGTGGGAAACAGCTGGCACCCAGTGACCTGCAGCTTCCGCCCTGGCTCTTTGTCAGAAACAGAGGAAATCCAAGGAATTTCTATGAAACCAATTGCAGGGTGGGGCACACGCATCATCACAAAAAGTCTCAGAAGAGGCAATTTGAGAGGTAAGGAATTTGGTTGATTGCCAATTTTATTTCTGTCACTTTTTATATTCTTTATGAAAAACCTTTATAAAAGCATTCAGAGATCACTGTCAGTGGAGGAGAAAGAGAAGTCAAAGGCATCTGGTTGCCCAAAGCTGGGTTTTGAGATTCCTGATAAGCATCCAATCAATCAAACAGTGTAAACAGCTCCACTGTCTTCACGTGGATTAAACACCAGAGTTACAGAAACAACACAGTGAAACCAATGCAGCAGAACAGTCGTCTTCGGGCAAAGGAGAGATGGGCACAGCCCTTATGCACTTTCTCTAAGAAAGCATTTCCAGCTCTCAGGTTAGGGTCCCTGCGCTGCACCTTCGGAGGCTGGGCCTGCCTGAGCTTCCACCTCTCACCTGCAAATGGGGGCAAGAACCCCAACTGAGGCAAGCCGGGACTCAGACCTCAATGGCAACTATGAGTTCTACCTTTTTTTTTTCTTTTTTTTTTTTTTTGAAACGGAGTCTCACTCTGTCACCCAGGCTGGAGTGCAGAGGCACAATCTTGGCTCACTCCAACACTTCCCGGGTTCAAGAGATTCTCCTGCCTCAGCCTCCCGTGTAGCTGGGGTTACAGGCACACGCCACCATGTCTGACTAATTTTTGTATTTTTAGTAGAAACGGGGTTTCACCATGTTGGCCAGGCTGGTCTCGAACTCCTGACCTCAAGTGATCTGTCTGCCTCGGCCTCCCAGAGTGCTGGGATTACAGGTGTGAGCCACTGCATCTGGCCCAGGCTTCTTTTTAAATCAAGTTTTAATTTTTTTCATAATCTAGTTTATATTTTAAAAACATGACTTTGATCTAAACAAGTTCTTTTACATTTTTTTACAAAGTAAAGAGGATCTCCTGCCTCATGGCTGCTACTTCTTTCCAGTAAAAATTAGTCCCTGCGACCTCAATTAAAATAAAATTACCATAAAGATCTACGTTGGGCACAGCTATGTCGTCAAAGCCCTGCTCTGGGTTAAGTGACGAAACACTCGTGATGCTACTACATCAGTGACAAATCCTCAGAAACCACCAGGGAGGGAGGGATGCTGTACGGACTGCGCAGTATCCCCCAAATTCCTCTGCAGAGGCTCACACCCCAAGGTGACTGTCGCTGGAGATAAGGTCTTTAAGGAGGCAATCATGGTAATATGGCAGCTTAAGGGTGGGACCCTCATCCAACAAGACTGGTGTCCTCCTGAGAACGGAAAAACACTGAAGACCACACACACGGAAAAGACCAGGTGAGGCACAGAATGGGAAGAAGCCAAACCTGCCAGTGCCTTGATCATGGACTCTCAACCTCCAGAACTGTGAGAAAATACGTTTGGGCCTCCCAGTCTGTGGTATTTTGTCGTGGCAGCCCGAGCTGACTAACGTAGGCGCCAAGCCCCTCCAGAGCCACGTGGCACCCGTGGCTGATCAGCCTGCCATGCTGGCAGATCTACCCTGTAGGGCCAAAAATGCTTCTACCTGCAACTGCCCATCAATAACATCTGCATGGCTGTTTGCAGAGGGCAACCAAAGAAGAAAGTTCAGTCCCACTGCACCAACCCAGCTGATGGAACAGAGTCCCACATGGCACTCTCCTAAACTGGGCAGCGACGCCACTTACTTCCAGAATACAGGGAAGATTCTGAAGCCTGCCGGGGAGCTGAGTGGACCCGCATGCACTCACTCATCCACTCCACAGGCATTTGTCCCAGGGTCTCCAGGTATGATGGGAAGCCAGGGTGCACAGGGCCAGAGGCGACAAACACATTCCTGCCGGGTCCCAGAGAACGGAGGCTGGCCAGGAATACGGGCGGCATGAACTACGCTCAGGCTGCAGGTGCCAAGCACTTACACTTGTTTCCTTTGGAGTAAAGCTAGAGGAAACAGAGGCTCCAAATTCAAAAGGCTTTCCTGAAAGCACACAGCTAGAAAGAAGCTGCACCAGACTTCACTTGAGGACTCTTCTTAGACATGACATATACTGCCTCTCAACAAGCAGCTGTACTGTGGAGGAGAAAGTAGAAAAGTGCCACAAGAGATTTAAAAAAAATAATAATAATGCTCCTGGGCCTGAGACAGGGAAGGAGTACAGCATTTCTGTTTTATTTCTGGGGGCTGGGGAGCAGAGCAGAACATTCAGGAAAGACATTCATTCTGCAAGCATTTACTGGGGATATACTATTCGCCAGGCATGCATGTAAAAGAGGAGCCACGTGCCCAGAGGGATGGGAAGACAGCACGTTCCAACCATGAAGTCGGGGAGCAGAAGGAAGCACAGGTGAGGGAGAGTCCATGGGAACTGGCGGGCCAGCAGCAGCAGCAGCAGCAGCAGCAGCAGCAGCAGCAGAGGAGCCCATGCGGCAGGAACAGGAGCCCATACCTGAGCACTGAGGCACCCAGCCACCTGTCACGATACTCGGAGGACTGGGCTACAGAGGCCGCACACCCCAGCAACCAACTTCTCCCCGCTCCTAGCAGGCCCTTAAGTCGCTGTTGCTGAGCTCCCCTCACCCCCTTAAATATCTCTTTCCCACCAAGATGCAAAAGGCAACACCATCCTCTAGCATTTGCCCAGCTCTGTGCGTGTTTAATTTCCTTACTATTTGCAAGAAGTCATTCAAAATGTTGACAGCATCTTAACAGTTTGCACATGATATATCTGCACATCTTACAGGTTAGCATCCGTGTCAAAAGTCACCAATGAACACATTACAATCTCTCCATTTCCATTCTCTTTTAAAGGCTGCAGAATGTCTGGTTCAACACTAAGCAGACTTTTTTCCGCAAAATTACAAGGAAACACTGAACAAGGGCAGATGCACAAAATGATACCCATGACGCCTGACAAACAACTCCGTGTTGACAGAACAGCTCGAGGCCCTTCCCCATTCCAGTGGATCAGCGCTGTTATTGCCAGCTCAGTATCTACGCCCCTGTCTTTCAGAGAACCTTTTCAGTGTTCCTTTGAGGACCTGCCCTGCTCTTCTCTCTGCTGCCACTCTGATGAGGCTGTCCATGAAAGGCCTCCCCTGGCCAAGAAGTGGCAGAATCTGGGCCAATAAACCACTCTCCAGGCAACCCAAGCAGTGCCCTAAATACACAGGCAGCCTGTGCCTGTCCCCTGGGCCCATGGTTCAGTCCATCCCAACGCCTCTATGCTCAAAGCCACCCCCACATCCTTCGAATAAAATCCATGTCTGCTTGAGTCAGCCAGAATGGGATTCTCATGTTTCCAACCAAGGACCCAAAGAGTCAACTTACCACAGTGCCCAGCTTGAAGGGTAAACAAGTTCTGACAGTTCTAAAAGGCAAAGACCATCTGCTTAAGGCAAACATTACCTAAATTTAAGGACTTTTTTAATGCCCTAAATTCTGATGGCAACTCCCAAAGAAAAGATTCCCAAAATGGTGGCCATGGCAACCTCAATGGCCTGAGTATACAAGCTCCCCAACTGACCAATACGGCTGCAGGCCCCTTCTCTGGGACATGAGTCATTGAACATCTGATCTAAACACCAGGTATGTTCCTTGTTGCTACACAGACTGTGCCCTACAAGCCAGAGTCCATCCCGCCTCCCTCATGCAGTTAAGCTCCATGGAGCTCTCACCACGTGTCCAGTCCTGGATGAGACACCGGGGTTTGGTTCCTGAGCACCTTGAGCCCATGCTGGGGAGAGACGTGCAGCCCACGTCACAGCAAAGTGCACAGGCCACCAGGTGGCAGGCCCTGGAATCGCCAGCAGGAGCCATCGGAATGGCCTTGGGGAAGCAGGACTCCTGAGCTGGGTTGTGAAGGCATCAGGTGGGTTAAAAGAGGCTTGCCAAGGGGCAGGACTCAGGTGATCCAAACCCCCAGGCAGGGCCCCAGACAGAGGAAGTGGCCTGCCAGGAACTGTGAGCCTGGCTGACGGTATCCTCCACAGCGAAGGTGCCACAGGTGGGGTGAGACCAGGCTGGAGAGCAGGCAGGGCCACGGCAAAGGGCCTGGGAGCCCAGCGAGGCAACTCCATTTCCATTTCTTTACTTCCTCCATGACTCCTTCTAAAAAGGCTTAAGGGTGAGGCCAAGGAATTTCAACTTCATTCTAAAAGCCCTAGTGAGCTATTTAAAGGCTTAAGCAGGTTGAGGTCTGGGTAAATTTATATTTTGGGATCTATTTATGGGTTAACCCAGCTGTCAAACATGAATTGCCACATCAACATTCTCTGAGAGGAGGTATGTGTGTGTGTGTGTGTGTGTGCGCGCGCGCACGCGCATGCACTGGCACACACCAAGGTGAGACTCGGGGAAATCGCCTGTGCTCAGTCACGTAAATACAGATACATGTGTTCTGTACACATAAACACCCACAGGAAAGATACAGGGGAACGCACAACCTCATCACAAAGCATCTCAACAGGAGCCTGGGAGTTATCAAACTGTTAAAACTTGAAAAGCTACAAAATCGCCCTTTATTTGGAAGAGCTCAATCATTCTCGGGAGGGTTCAGCGTGGGGGTGCTGTGTGTTGTTGGGTCTTCAGATTTTTTAACTAAGAAAGGACTCCAACCTCATGGACATCATAACGGCAAACCAGTTTCAATGCTTCTAGACCCCATCAAGCACAGCTGGGTGGTCCTCTATCTGCCAGCCAGAAATGCACCCAATGGAACAGTCCAGGCTCCAGGATTTGGTTCACCCACTGCTCCCCATGCCATGGCACCTGGATTGGGAGTGCCCAAAGCCATAGTACCCAAAGTGTGGCACCAAAATGGCAGCAGCAGCCTTGCCAGGGGGCTCGTCATGAAGTTCCCAGGCCTCACCCGCCACCCACTGAATCAGAACTTCTGGGGGTGGAGCCCAGTGATCTGCATTTCTTTTTTTTTTTTTTTTTTTTTTTTTCTGAGACGGAGTCTTGCTCTGCCGCCCAGGCTGGAGTACAGTGGCGCGATCTCAGTTCGCTGCGACCTCTGCCTCCTGGGTTCAAGGGATTCTCCTGCCTCAACCTCCCAAATAGCTGGGATTATAGGCGCCTGCCACCACTACTGGCTAATTTTTGTATTTTTAGTAGAGACGGGGTTTCACCATGTTGGCCATGCTGGTCTCTAACTCCTGACTTCAAGCAATCTGCCCGCCTCAGCCTCCCAAAGTGTTGGGATTACAGGCATGAGCCACCCGCGCCCGGCACAGTGATCTGCATTTTAACCCACCCTCAGTTAAAACGTGACCTGAGGTGATCCTGACGCAGGCTAAAGTCTGAGACACTGATCTCAAACCTTTAAGACCATTTAGCAGCAAGAAAAAGCTAGAGAAGCCACATCTGAACTAGAAAACACAAAGGGGCCCAATGAAAGTGCAAACTAGATTTTCTCAAAAATGACCAGAACTGCCATGAAATGAACTGGTCAGGATAAACTTGACCAGAACCAGGAGTGCCCAGTTCTAAACAGATGCTGCCAGAGGAATCTCAAGTGCAGAGGGCCTAGGCCGGCCGGGAGCCCTGCACGAGCATTAATGGCACAGTGTATTTTTTATAACATCCAAAGCACTTAAAAGAATAATATTTTCACTCATGTATCTCAACAACTTCCTGGAGAGGAAGGCAAAGGGCAGATTCTCTGGCTGGCGCAAAGGTTACATGGTCAGGAGGGACCCAGGAGCCACTGAGCAGAGGCAGGCAGGGTGGGAGGCCCAGGGAGCTTATCACCTACCTCCAGCTCAGATGCCTTTGCCCAGCTGCCCACCCCATGGCAAATCCTAACAGGGAAATCAAGGCAGGAATGGGGGAGGACGCGCATGGATTGACTGATTGATTGATTGACTGATTTTTAATGATAGGGTCTCACTCTGTTGCCCAGGTTGGAGGGTAGTGGTGCAATCATGGCTCACTGCAGCCTCAACCTCCTAGGCTCAAGCAATCCTCTCACCTCAGCCTCCTGAGCAGCTGGGACCATAGGCAGCACCAACACACCTGGGTGTTTTGTTTTTTCGTAGAGATGGGGGTCTCCCTATGTTACCCAGGCTGGTCTTGAACTCCTAGCTTCAAGCAATCCTCCCACTTCGGTCTCCCAAAGTGTTGGGATCACAGGTGTGAGCCAATGCACCTGGCCAATTTTCTTATTCTTATGTCAGCAAAACCAGTGTTTCCCAACCTTGGTATTCTCCCCTGAAAGTTAAAAAACAGATACTCAAAGAAAACTCCCAAACTCCCAAACAAGATGCAGCCATCTGCCCAGCATTCTGCTGATGCAGCAACAGATCAAGAAGTGAGTGACAAGACCACCAATGTGGACAATGACCATCACCACACACACACACATTCACACACACACACATTCACACACGCATTCACATTCACACATACGCATTCACACACACATCCATTCACACACATTCACACCTCACACATTCACACAGTCACACACGCATTCACACACGCATTCACACACTCACAATCACCTTTACACACACATTCACACCCACACATACACATTCACACATTCACACACATCCACATACTCATTCACACTCACATTCACACACATTCACATACACACACACATTCACACACATCCACACTCATACATTCACACACACATTCACACACACTCACACAAATACGCACACTGAATCTCACAAGCATGTTCTATAGGAACAAAATCCACAGTTTGGGGAAATTACATGGGTTTTTCTCCCCACCCTACAAATAGAAGAACTGCCAGGGGAACTCTCTTGAATGCGGAATTGTCAAAAAGATTTATATATAGAAGTTTCCAGGAGATTTTCTCTTGGCCAGAAAACAAGTGAGTAATTTCCCTGGGCCCAGCATAGGTTAATAATCAAAGAAGTTCGTTAGGAACTGCCCTGAGCTCAGGCTGCCAGGCAGTTAGTCATAAAGAGCTAGGTGGAATTTGCCTACTCAGGCAATGGGAGGAGTGAGGGAGAGTCACATCCCCACAGAGAAGCCGGTTTCCTAGAACACTTGAGGGCCAGGAGCTGGCTGAGCCCCCTGCGGCTCCTGGCTGCCCCCCTCCCTGAGGGCCTGGCTCAGACCCCAGGGAACCAGGTGTCCTTGCTCACCGAGAGGGCGGGCCCCTCTGGGCACACAGGTAGACACACCTCTAGATAATTACACCAGCTCCCACCGAAACAGAATCGTGCACCAGAGTAATCCTTGGTGAGTGTGGATCAGAGGCTGAGGGGGTCACAGAGCTCATCTGACCTGGGGCTCTCAGTCTCGGGATGACGAAGACTCAGGGCTGCCCCAGGCATTGCGGGATCTTGGGCAGCATCCCTCACCTCCACCTGCCACGTGCCAGTAACAACCATGACACCCCAAAGTTGTAACAAACCGAAAATTGCCCCAGACATGGCCAAATGTCCTCTTGGGGGCTACAATGCTTGCACGCCATACACCGCCGCCCCCCGCCCCCCCACCCAGCACCTTGTTGAAAACTGATCTTGGCCAAACATCCGGATTTACAGACAGGGAAACTGAGGCCAGAGGTCACAAGGAGAGGCACACTGGCTCTGCTCCCTTGGATTTTGCGACCTTCTAAGGTGGTCTTCAGTCTGCACCTCTTTCTGAGGCTTCTCCTTTCCCTCCTCAGCCTCACTCCTATAGCCTCCCACCCCCCTCATCAGTACAAGACACTTCACAGCCCAAGAGACACAGAGGGCAAATGCTCTTTCTTAAGGACAGCTGCTATCCCATCACTGCCAGAAGCCTGCTGAACTTAAGCCCAAAGTGGACACTCTCACACTGCCGGCGGGAGAGTAAAATCAACCAATTTGGAAAACAGCAGGCAGTTTACATAAAAGTTAATTATATACCCAGCACATCTCCCAGCCACTCCACTCCTAGGTATCTACCCAAGAGAAATGAAAGCACGTGCCCATATGAAGACTTGCACGTGAATGTTCACAGCACCTCTATTTGTAAAAGCCAAGAACTGGAAACAACTCCATCAATATCCATCCACAGGATAAAAACACTGTAGTAAATCCATACAATGGAACATTACTCAGCAATGAAAAAGAAAAAGCTATGGATATATGTAACAACTTGAATGACCCTAAAAATCATCATGCTGACTGAATGAAGCCAGTCAAAGAAGGGGTCCTTTACTGCAGTGGTCCCTAACCTTCTTGGCATCAGGGACCGGTTTCGTGGAAGACAATTTTCCCACTGAAGGGAGGCAGGGGGATGGTTTCATGATGATTCAAATGCATTACATTTATTGTGCACCTTATTTCTATCATTACTGCATTGTAATATATAATGAAAAAAATTCTACAACTCACCATAACGTAGAATCAGTGGGAGCCCTGAGCTTGTTTTCCTGCAACTAGAGGGTCCCAGCTGGGGGGGACAGGAGACAGTGACAGATCATCAGGCATCAGAGTCTCATAAGGAGCGCCAAATCTAGATCCCTCATATGTGCTGTTCACAGCAGGGTTTGTGCGCTTATGAGAATCTAATGCCGCCGCTGATCTGACAGGAAGTGGAGCTCAGGGGGTAACACAAGGCAAAGGGAGTGGCTGTAAATACAGATGAAGCTTCACTTGCTGGCCCGTCACTCACCTCCTGCTGTGTGGCCTGGTTCCTAATAGGCCCAGTACTGGTCCATGGCCCAGAGGCTGGGGACCCCCTTTTTAATGCATGATCTTATTTCTATTTTATTCTGGAAAATGCAAACTAATCCACAGTGACAGACAGCAGATGGGTGCAAGCAGACGGACAGAGGTGATGCAGGTTGCAAACGGGCATGAGGAAGTGTTGGGGTCGGGGAATGGTTGCCTTCCATACCTCAGTTGTAGCTACAGGGGTCAAAACTCATCAAATGGTAAACTTTCAAGAGTTGGAGTTTACTTTATGTAAACCACACCTCTGGCCGGGCGTGGTGGCTCACACCTGTAATCCCAACATTTTGGGAGGCTGAGGAGGGTGGATCACTTGAGGTCAGGAGTTCGAGACCAGCCTGGCCAACATGGTGAAACCGTCTCTACTAAAAATACAAAAATTAGCCGGGCGTGGTTGTGGATGTCTGTAATCCCAGTTACTCAAGAGGCTGAGGAAGGAGAATTGCTTGAACCCAGGAACCTGGGAGGCAGAGGTTACAGTGAGCAGAGATCGCACCACTGCACTCCAGCCTGGGTGACAGAGCCAGACTCCATCTCAAGTTTAAAAAACAACAACAACAGAAAAAACACTTCTCTAAACAGATAGACAAAAATCAAGTAAGTGTAGAAAAAGCATTCCAACTATAAAACCCACCATTAATTTTCACGGTAACTATAAGTAATCGTTCACATCACATGAGTTCACACCACCCTCTAGGTAAATCTGGTTCAAGCAGGTGAGGGTGGCTGCAGGTGAGCACACACCCCACACGGCTAGGATGCCAGTGAGTGGGAAGCAGATAGCGCAGCCACCACCACGCCCCCGACTAAAGTGGTGGAGTTTGGCGACACACTCGGCATCCCGCCCGTGCACTGGATTCTGCCACTTCCGGCTCTGCCACCTTCCTCTGTGTAACCCTGGGCAAATCGCTTTGATGCACAGAGCATCCCTTTCTCCCTCTTTTGCTAATTACAGCACAGGGGGAAAGTAACTTCTATTTACATGTATAAAAAGTTAACTGCCCACTAACATCTCCATTATTAAAATGTCACAGAATTTGTGTGGCTTAAATGTAAGCTGTATTTTCAGCTAGCCAGGATTAAAGGTGCTGCAGATTTCCTAAACGCAGGTGAATTTTCAAAGGCATGCCGTTTGGAAATCCTCCCTCCTCCCGGACTTCGGGACCTGTAATCGCAGGCAGTCAGCTTGCCTCCGTGCCTCCTCCTCATGTAATCAAAACCGTCAGTCAGCATCCCAGCCGCCACCAACTCTCAGCGAGGGAATAAAAGTGAACCAACAGCTGTTATTTTCTTTATAACCTTGATGAGTAAAAAACCGAGCGTGAATGTGAGTTTCAAATCACAAACCGAGATCTGCAGGAGAGCTGCGAACTGCGGAGAGAATTCCCCAAGTACTTCTGCAGACTTATGGGCTGATTTCTGAAGTTTCCTTTTCTACTTTACTAAAACATCAAAACTGTAGGTGGCATTACTTGGTACACACCTGAAGGAATATAATTGTTCTATTGTGTCTATATAAAGACACACGCAGTTAGTTGTGTGTTCACTGTGGCACTATTCACAATAGCAAAGACATGGAATCAACCAAAATGCCCATCGATGGGCTGAATAAAGAAAATGTGGTACATGTACACTGTGGAGTACTATGCAGCCATAATAAAAAGAATGAGATCACGCCCTGTGCAGCAAAATGGATGGAGCTGGAGGCCAATATCATAAGCGAACCAGCGGAGGAACAGAAAACCAAATATCTCATGGTCTCACTTGAGCTCAACATTGACACAAAGAATGGAACAACGGCCACCAAGGCCTGCTTGAGGGTGGAGGGTGGGAGGGAAAGGACTGAAAAACTACCTATCAGGTACTGTACTTACTATGCGTTGTAATAATCTGTACACCAGACCACCATGACACCCAACTTACCTATATAACACACCTGCATGTGTACCCCTGAAACTAAAAGTTTTTAAAAATATAAAAATAAAGGCCCATAGGTGGCTGGTGTCCACGGGTCCCGAGTTCGAATCCTGACTCTGCCACCTTCAGAAGTGGGTGGATTCAGGCAAGGCTTTAAACTCTCCAGGCTGCAGGCTCCTGACCTGACAAATGAGGGTCCTACCACCTCTGTCTGGCAGTGACCAGGATAACAAAATGACACAAAGGGCACCCAGCCCTGAACACGGCGTCCTGCAGAGACAAACACTCAAGCGGCAGGTGCTATTACGGATTTTATTCAGTGAGGGGAAGGGAAGAAACCAGGAGGATGGTTCAGGAAATGTTCCATAGAAATTTCTGGAATCTGGAGCAGGAGCAGCTGTCAGAGATGCCTGCAGGCAACGGTGTCACTTACAAGGCAAAACCGCACCGGCTGCTGCTGCAGAGCTGTGCCCCAGTCCAGCGGGACGCCCCCGACTCCTCCACCAGCGCTCCCCCGCCATCACCATCCAGACTCTTGCTAGCTTCTCACTTATCCTCCTCACTGTTTACATCTTCTCATCCTAAACACGGATTCATAACTAACGTCTTCATAAAACCACAGGGGACAGGGTGACAGAGACAAAAACTCCTTAGTCAGTCGGCACGCAGGACACTCGGCAACTGTCCATCTATCGATGACAAGACAGATTCTGGGCAGCTGCTCCATTCAGGGCTGTGCAGGTACTGATGCTCAGCATTAAAGAGACGACTCACGACTACAGAGCAGTCACCCAGAGAAACGGCAGGAGGTCCTAAGTCAGGGTCGCCCCAGCGCGAGGTAACCAGCTGCCCACGAGCTCCAGGGAGAAAGACTCAGCAAGCGGCCACTCCAGCTCCCTCCAAGCTCAAGTCCTGTGAGAGACGATAATGTACACAAGACTGGAAGAAAAAGTCACCAAAACAAACCTTGCCCATACCCTGTGGGCAGACGGCTGAGGTGTCTATGCCACCTGCTCTGCCATTCACTTCCCGAGGCCCCGCCCTCATTCTCTCCCAGCTTTGCAAACCGTCAGCACAGGAAAGAGGATGAACATGGATGTGAGTGAGGAAAACAAGAGTGTGTGCTTAGCTTTCGTGTGTGGCTTTGCATCTCACTGGCCCTGCCCATACAGACCCGGCTTCCGGTGGCTCCTAACCAAGAATGTTCCCAGTGGCATCCTATTTTCAAAACAAGAAACTCTTGGACAAATAAATTCAAGTTTCTATGTAAAATTCTGAATTTTATGTCCAGAAAACCCCCCAAAAGACAATATCATAGTCATCACAGTTCAATTTTTTTTTTTTTTGAGACAAGATCTCACTCTGGCACCCAGGGTGGAGCGCAGTGATGCAATCATAGCTCACTGCAGCCTGCAACTCCTTGGCTCAAGTGATCCTCCTGCCTCAGCCACTCAAGTAGCTAGGACTAAAGGCACTTGCCACTGTGCCTAGGCTGGTCTCAAACTCCTGGCCTCAAGCAATCCTCCCACTTCGGCCTCCCGAAGCGCTGAGATTACAAGCATTAGCCACCGCACCTGGCTTCAAATTTTTTAAAATATTGAAACCCGAGCTAAATAAATAAATAAATAAAACAGGGCCGGGCACAGTGGCTCATGCCTGTAATCCCAGCACTTTGGGAGGCCAAGGCGGGTAGATCACCTGAGGTCAGGAGTTTGAGACCGGCCTGGCCAACGTGGTGAAACCCTATCTCTACTAAAAACATAAAAATTAGTTGGGTGTGGTGGTGCATGCCTGTAGTCCCCGCTACTCAGGAGGCTGAGGCAGGCGAATCACTTGAACCTGGGAGGCAAAGGCTGCAGTGAGCTGAGATCACACCACTGCACTCCAGCCTGGGCGACAGAGCAAGATTCCGTCTTAAAAAAAAAAAAAAAAAAAGAAAAGAATTTTAAAAAAAGCACTCCCCTCTCCAAGCAGGATCCATAATCAGTAGTAGACCGTCCAACAAAAGGTCTCCCAGCCTGCTCTCGGGGGCTGTCAAGGATCACTTATCATTCGGCCGCCTACCCCGCTCTTCCCAGGCTGAAGTGACTCTGTTCTGGATGCTCCAATCCTAGTACCCACTAGCCTGGAAAGCCCTCCTGACTGCTACCTGGCTTCCAGGATCTCTCCCTGGACTCCGCCCCATCTCCCAGGCCCCTCCCACACAGCCTTGTGTGGCTGCGATCTCTACCTGTATCAGTGGCTCCTGGGGGAGATCTGAAGGGCCCTGAGTGTCCCACACATCTGCCTGTTCTCCCAGCTTCAAAAACTGCGCTCTGCCCAGTGCAGAGGCTTGATAAAATCTTGTCTATTGATTCTCACATTAGCCACTTCCCCTACTAAACAAAGTGAGTATAAACTTGGTCCTCCCACCACCATCCCTCAAAATAAATATTTGCCATTGCAAAGCCACCAGAGAAATCCACACACGCACACACTGCCCTCACTCAATCCATGGCCCCGCGTGTCCTTCCTGGCTCTGGCCTTGTTTAGCACTGGCCTTTGTGGAGGGGGATGGGCAGCTCCCAGGACACAGCGCTGGAACAAAGAAAATTACTCCTTGAGTTGGCAACACTTAGCTTTTTTTCTTCTTTTGTGTCTTCAGCATAATTGCTACAAACAACAAAAACTGAATAATGCTAATACGTAACTATGAAGGCCATAACACAGTTTAGGCCAAACATACAGAGTGAATTCCCTTTCAAAGACCAACACAGATCCAGTGGGTTATCTAAAACCCAGCACAGGGATGGATTGAGGCTGCTTGGGGCTCAGCCAGAAAGAGTCCCCCAGTTGACAACTGACTTCTGCCAGGAGCCAAGGAGAGCCAAAGGGGCCCCTGTTCCAGTCCCAGAGGAACTGCGCCCTCTTCCTGGTGAGGGATTTCGCTCACACAGCTCCATGCACACAGCCGTCATTATTCAACTAACAAGGAATTAATAGCCTGCAGACAATCCAAAAGTTTAAAAACCTAATCTCTAAGTGCTGGAAATGCATTAGCCATGCAAACATTTGTTTATGAACAAACAACTGAAAGAATGAAAATCAGCAAAAGGAGACAAACGGCCATCCTGAGTGTCATAAAATGAACCTTGAAAGCACTGAAAGGTTTCCCAGATAGGGGCTGCTGGGCTGCAGGAGCGGCTTCACGAGCAGCTACGTCCAACCCACAGAGAGAAAGACACAGCCCAGCACACACCCGACAGAAATGAGGCCATATGGGCACCAAAAGGCAAGTGAGAATCTGCACAGTGGTGCTATTCATGACAGCCCCAAAACAGGCAGCCACTCAAACACTGACAGCCCCCGAAACAGGCAGCCACTCAAACACTGACAGCCCCCGAAACAGGCAACCACTCACACACTGACAGCCCCCGAAACAGGCAGCCACTCAAACACTGACAGCCCCCGAAACAGGCAGCCACTCAAACACTGACAGCCCCCGAAACAGGCAGCCACTCAAACACTGACAGCCCCCGAAACAGGCAACCACTCAAGCACATATCACAGGCAGAAGAGACCAATAAATGGGGGCTACAATTTCTAACGACCCTCACGACAGATGAGTCTGTGCTGGCCACTGAACTGGATGCTGGTCCCACATGTGATCAGTTTGTGAAAACTTTCTCCTTTATGACTTGGGCACCTTTCTCTGTTATGTGTCAAAAAAAAAAGAGAGTTCGAGGCTGGGCGTGGTGGCTCAAGCCTGTAAACCTAAGACTTAGGGAGGCCAAGGCAACATAGCGAGACCCCATCTCTACAAAAAAAATTAAAAAATTAGTCGGGCATGGTGGTGCGTGCCTGTGGTCCCAGCTATTTGGGAGGCCAAGGCAGGAGGATCGCTTCAGGAAAGCAAGGCTTCAGTGAGCCACGATCGTGCCACTGTACTTCAGCCTGATTGACAGAGACTGTCTCAAAAATTAAAAACTAGGCCAGGCACAGTGGCTCATGCCTGTAATCCCAGCACTCTGGGAGGCTGAGGCAGGTGGATTGCTTGAGTCCAGAATGTCAAGACCAGCCCAGGCAACATGGTGAAACCCCGTCTCTACTGAAAATCCAATGAATTAGCCAGGCATGGTGCACATCTGGAGTCCCAGCTACTTGGCGGGGGCTGAGGTGGGAGGATTACTTGAGTCTGGGAGGTTGAGGCTACAAATGAGCCCCAATAGTGCCACTGCACTTCAGCCTAAGCAACAGAGTGAGACCCTGTCTCAAAAAATAAATAAATAAATACTAACAAGTTCCAAGAAATAAAAGAGTTTGAAGTGGTCTCAATCCCACCAATTCCAAACCCAAACTTCAAGTACTACATGGACACTCAGAGACCCAGGCTTGATTGTTGAAGCTAAAATTAACACAATGCTGTTCCCCGCCAATCACACCATCCCCTCCCAAATCAGGTTCACCAGGCTGAACTTCCAGCAGGAGCAGTCTCGTCAGAACAGGAGCAGATACGCGATCCCGGCTCACAGCAGCACCCCAGACCTTCGAAAACAACAACAAAGGGGGTGCAGACAGGCTTCCGGAAACGCCCTCCCTGGAAAATATGCTGGATTCTCCCCCACTGAAAAGGGCAGCTCAACGCACAAACAGGATGGAAATTCAGGGCAATCAGCTCTTTCCAAATCAATTTCTTTTTCATTACATAAGCTAGCCAGCACTTCCGACAATACCAATCCTGCTGAAGGGTACCATCACACAGTGGGCATGCCCCCAAGGTGACATTTAAGAAGTGAAAACTCTTTCCTGAAAAAAGGGTAGGTCTTGTGGCTATTTGTTGCAGGTGTTCATAAATTTTTTAAAAAATGTTTAACTTCTTTCTTTCAAGTATCCTCCATACTACAAGTCACTATTGGCTAAAACTAAAACTTATTGAATTGAAGCTAAATGTACTTTCTAAAGGTACGGTTCTGCCTTTCAGACTATTATCTGAGTGAGAACAGGGTAACAGTAGCTTCGTCCTAAGCTGGAAATCAACATGGTTGTATTTACTAGAGCCTGTTGAATGCTGACATTTCTCCAAGACCAAACATAAATCATTTGTGAACATGGACATTATTTGAAATTCTTCTCCCAGAACCATGAAAAGTGTTTTCCCACCCTTAAAAAAAAAAAAAAAAAAAAAGGCAAATAAAAAGCTTCTAACCATGATGCTAATGACAACCAGACGGCATGAGCAGTTTTAAAGATTAGACAGTTGCTTGTGTAGAAACACTGTACAAATACTCCAACACTGCAGCCCAAAAAAAGACAATCCCCATCAAACAGCGGGAGAAGTGTGAAATTTGCAAATGAGCCCCTGGTTAAACAAAAACACCAATCTGTTCCCAGAGAGCTCAGGGTGGCCACCTGTTTGGGACTGGTGGCAAGTTCTGGTTACCAATGGAAGAAACAATACTGGAGCAAGCAGTGGCAGCCCCCTCTCGGGCCCTGGTCCCCACCCTCGAGCCTATATTTAGTCTGCTCTTTACGGAAAATGTCCCAACCTCGCACACAAACAAGCTATCTGGCTGGTTACTCAAAGAATCCATTAACGATCTCTTCTGCAGGGGGTGGTATTTGTTTTCCTTCCCTCCCCAGGCCCCAGACACAAGCACGATACCCACTTCTGGCCATGGTCTCTTGTGACCAGAAAAGCCCTGGAAGATAGAGGGACTGGACCCCACGGACAATACCAACCCTGCCTCTGATGGGTCATCACTGCATCTTGGGAAAGACAGCCCACACTATGAAAAGGGACCCCCAAATCCCCCTCAGCCCCTCAGAAGCACAGAGCTTCCAGAAGGCCAGGGCTCACCGCAGCACACACAAAGCACTTGTACCCCTGAATAAAAATAACAGATGCTGCAAAGATTAGAGATTAACATCTGTAGAGTGCATTTTGTTTCTCGGAGAAAGGTACTTAACAAAGGGAAGGAATTATGTAGCTAAGCACCAGATCAGAACCTCAAACCCTGGATTTTAAAAATAGCTAAGCCTCATCCGCTTTGCCAGACTCAATCACTTAAGCTAAGGACGTGAAGGCTGGAGGATTGGGATGGGGGCGGGGAGGGGGACACAGGTTTGCTAGAGTGTAGAGAAACATAAGACGAAACGAAATCAGTGGTTAAAACAAGCCAGAGTGAGACTCACAAACTATAAACACCTGCAGGGTATACAGGGGGAAAAACGGATGCAAAATAAGGGATTTTCGTCTTAACAAAATAAAACGCCTGGTTTAGGCAAAAAACAAGAGGTGGTAGCAACAGGGCTGCAGGTTTTGTTTTGAAGGTTCCTGCAGCTGCCCCCACTGCTTCTCTCCCTTATGAGTCACTTCCTTCAGGCTCCTCCAACAGCTCTTTTAAGCTACTAGTAACATCTAGCTCCTGTCTTTTACAGAAACGCGCTTTCAGCTTGGAAATATTGGTAACAAAATGTGTCATCTGCCAAATTATCATATAATAAGTGAATACTGAAGAACCCAATCTAAATATACATAAGACTACATTAAAAAGCAACAATCTCCGAAAGACAAGAAGGAAAATCCGCAAAACCACAGAATGAGTCTAGAAGGAAATGGACATCAGCTGCCTCTACCTCCTAACCAGATTCTCTTGGCAATGTCCATCCGACATGCCACCGTGTCGCAGAAACGCAGCCCACTGACAGATGCCCCTGACAGCAATAACTGAGAATGGCCCCACATGGCAGGTGCACCTGAATGTATGTTCGGGGTTCTGAGCTAAGGAATCCGGGAGTGGCCAACCCAGAGATTCATTCCTTATCTATGAGGAACATCTAAACCCCCAGCCTGTCCCATGGAAAGCAGGCCATACAGGGTATTGAGGCTCTTTGATTGGTGTTAAGGTTGCTGGGTGGTGGTTGTTTGGGGGAGGGTGTTAAGCGAAAATGCTATATAAACTGCACGCTTTCTGAAAGCAAGCAGCAGCGCTTCTCCTGCCCAGGCCGCCATGGGACCACTCTGTAAATAAATTCCCCTAATAAACCCTCTGTCTTTTGTTTGCTGGCTCTAGGTCTCCTCTCCAGTCTCTTGAACCCGGTGCCATCCCTAATGAAATTTAAAGGGGTCTGGCACGACAGGCCCCTCACCCAGCATTCAGCTGCTTTTCAAACAGCATCATGAAGATCACATGAACACCAGCTTGAAACCATTCAGATCTGGTTTAAGTCCCTCGTCCACCACACTTAGCCTGCGTGACCACAAGCAACTCCCTGAGCAGCTGGCCTTAGGTGTCTTCACCTGAAACCTGCAGGGCAGGCTGATAGGAAACCTTCTCAGCTGGCTACAAGCACAGCAAGGAAGAAGAAACAACGGCCCAGAGATGATACCAAGTCAACTGGAGCTGCCTTTCCTTTACAGCTATGCTTCCAGAAGTGCGGTCCCTGGACCAGGGCATCCGCATCCTCAGGACACTTCTTAGAGAGGCACATTCGTGCGTCCTGCTCCAAACCCACAGAACTAGAAACTCGGGAGGTATGGGAGGGGCCGGCAATCTGTTTCCATCAGCCCTCAATGTGACCTGACACACACTCACGTTTGCTCTCGGTGTGACGCCAAAGATACTATATCATGGCAGTGACACAGGCTGTCACCCATTTGTCCTCTTAATATTGATTCTATGTCTGAAATTCACTTACACCCAACATAAACACCAACCTGTTGTAGACAGCTGATCTGAAAAAGCTGCCAAGATTTAGCAAGCAAATCTTTTGCTTCCCCTACCTACAGTAAAGAAAATTTCACTTCCATCCCAAACACCACATGACACTGAGTTCCCACCAAGCCAGCCCACCAAATCCAAAAGGTGTCTAACCCTAACTTCTGTGCTCTGGGGACGTTTCAAATTGTCCTCACTTCTGCAGCGTATAAACATTGTTTATCCTACCAAGAAGGAGCTTTGGAAAGGACCCTCTGGCAAGTCAGCCAGCCAACAAACCCCTGGGCATCCTTCAAGGGCCAGACGTGATCTATCAAACCACTGAGGATACAGCAATAAACAAGCCCTGATTTCTGCCCTCAACCAGCTTCCAGACCTCCCAGCTGATTAAGTAGATGAGCCAAACACGGTGGGCAGAGACCAGGAGGGCCTTAATTCTGGCGAGGCAAGGCTGGTCATGAGTGACACCAACAGAGACCGAGCCTCGCAGGGTGAGCAACAGGCAGAGAAGGCGGCATCTCAAAGAGCACCTGCACCACAACTGAGAAGCATGAGTAAGCTGGACTCACAAGGAACGCCCGCATTGTGGAGGTCCCGGGTGCCGGCAAGGTACGAGAGCTCACCTGGAAGCAACTAAAAGCCAACTGAGTGTTATTTTTAAGGAGGGGACTGCAAACCTGCCACCTTTCATTCAACTTGAAGGATTATGAACATGGCCAATGGTGACAAAGAAACATGACACTTATCCACAGCAGGAAGAAAATGTTTGTTTCCCTAAACATGCACACCTGCATCAACCGGACTAAATACATTTCCACATGAAAACAAATGCTTCTGGAAGTTTTGCCACAGTCAGCTGCTTTACAGAGAACAGAATACTTTAGGTTCTTTGGGGCCTTCTCAAACCCTCTTGCCTTGGGTGGCGGAAACAAGCTTGGGATGCTTTGCACACACGGCCTATGGGAAGTATGAATAACAGGGGCTCCGCAATCTCACACGGCGACAGAGGGCCAGAGGTGAGGTCGGACGGGCCCAGCTCACCGCTCTCGCACAAGTGTCCTAAGCTTTCTGGCCTCAGCAGTGCGTCTGTGTACAAGATCGCTGCAGGACGAACTGAGATGATGCACCTCAGACACTCCGCACTCTGTGGGACACACATGCTCAACAGAGCAGCTGTATCATGGGACAAAGTGGGGAACCCTGACCCATCTTCCCAGGTCCCCCAAACACTGGGGCTGAGATACTACTAAGGGGTCCTGGAATCTCCCTGTGGAAATGCCCTTAAGAAGTGCAGGGCAGGGTTCTCCTGCCAAGTGCCAGGCCAGTGGAGAGCCTGGGTTTCCTCTCATCGGCCACCTGGTGGGGATGGAGGCTTGTGGGCTGGATGAGGGCTCAACCTCAGAGGAAGGCCAACCTTCCCGGCGATGCGTGGGAACCTGGGAATCGGGCCGCCTGGCTGAATGAGCTGGCTGGGCTATCACTCACATCACGGTCCTGCTGCTGGCAAGCTGAATTACGATGTGTGACTGCTAAGAGAGGCTTTATCCTTGAAAGAAGAACAAGCTTTATTGAACAAGAAAGGCAGTTAATTCATCTACCTCAATGCCATCAACCCCCGATGGACTTTTCTAAGGAGAACCAGAGGGGAAACTAACACACGCTGTTCAGACTGGAGGCGAGATGGCTCTCAGGCTCATTTCTGGGCATGGTGGCTGCGGAGGCTCCAGAGACGACACAGCTGTGTGGCTACATTTCACAGCATGCCATGCCCCATAGGACATCCCAGAAACCTGATCAGATAAATCTGGAACAATCAGCAATGCTTCCTTAAACTCTAGTGATTTGGGGGTGAAGGGAGGGGGGAATAAACCTCTCAATGTACAAAACAAAAATTGGGGGAAAAAAACTGTTCTCTTCTGACAAGCTAGTGTTTTAAAACAAGACTGAGGGCAAAATCACCTGTATCCCATGCCTACAAACAGGATTACGGATGTGTTTTTATTTGGGAGCCTTGGTGGGCCTTTCAACTAAAATATGTTTAGTCCATCGTTAAGAGATTTTACAACCCAGACCCACCTCCACGCGCTCTGAAATAAGCATTAGCCAAAACATCCTTCCCCTGGACAAGGCTGCACCTCACTCCAACAGCAAAAATTCCTGAAGATGCCAGAAAACAGTGAAGTTTTGAGTAGGGTGCAGCCAAATGTGGGAATTTTGTGCCAACAAGAGAAACCCTATCTTCAAAAGCTCTTCATAACGTTAAGAAGTGCCCGGCCGGGCACGGTGGCTCACACCTGTAATCCCAGCACTTTGGGAGGCCAAGGTGGGTGGATCACGAGGTTAGGAGACGGAGACCATACCGGCTAACACAATGAAACCCCGTCTCTACTAAAAAAACAGAAAAAATTAGCCAGGCGAGGTGGTGGGCGCCTGTAGTCCCAGCTACTCGGGAGGCTGAGGCAGGAGAATGGCGTGAACCCGGGGCGGAGCCTGCAGTGAGCCGAGATTGCGCCGCTGCACTCCAGCCTGGGCGACAGAGCGAGACTCCGTCTCAAAACAAAAAAAGAAGTGCCCACATCACGGTAGTCCAGAAGCTTGGGAAGTCAGACCCCAATTCTGTGTATGCACATACAGAGGAAGGGGAAAAAATCCCTAGCTGGAAATCTTCTAAAATGTGGCCAGCTTTCTATTTGGTGGGACAAGTGACTTTTTGAGCCATTTGTTATGATGTGCACCTGCTGTCCTGATTGGAAACAGTTAGACTTTAAAACCTCCAAGGTGCACGCACAGGCAGGGGCAGCTCTCTGCCCCTGCAGGGAGCCCTCTGCAGTTACTGTGATGTTCCAGCGCAGGCTTAGTTGCCAGCACTGGGTTCCTGCCATCCACATGCAGTGTGGAGACAGAAACTCCATTCAAATGATCCCTTGGTTCAGATCAGACTTCAAACCACCTCAGTCAAATGTTAAGGAGGTCATTATCCCTCCCTGAACCTCCACCCGCTCCTCCATAAAATGAGGATGAGGAAGCTACCCACCCACCCTCACAGGGTTGGTGAAGCCACACAATGAGACTATACATGCAAAAATATTTCTGTTAAAGTTCTACAGAAATGAAAAGTGGTATCATTATTGATAACAGAAGAACATGCAAAGAACAGCAGCATGTCTGAGTGGTTCTTAAGCCTCACTAAATTAACTACAGCTCCACATAATGTAGACATCCCTATTTCTAAGAGAAAAATAACAGCATCACCCCAGTCCCAAACAGGATTCACCCAATGATTCTAAGCCTTATTAAAAATGACAAGGATCCCGGCCAAGAAGGGGCCTAAAATCTCAAATCGCAAAGGTAGGCATCGTGCTGTCAAAAAAAACCATCATCTAGGAACGACGCATTTTTTTTTTCTTTTAAGGGAGAAAGGAAAATGCAACCACATCCTCTTGCTAGAAAGTCAAACTGCTTTGCTGGAAGTGCTTGAGCCCCAGAGCTCAGCTTCAAGAATGGGAAATAAAAACGAGGTGTTGTGAACCCCACTCAGCCAGAGGTCTTCATGCAGCAAAAGAGGCTCTCAGCCAGGTGCCTTCAATACCTGACGCCGGCTTTCACAGTGTTTCATCAGACTTCTGTGGATGCAGCCAGAGAGCCAGGAAGAACCATCTGAAATGAGCACCGTGCAGCCTTCACAGCTCCCGTAACAGACGCAGAGCTGGAGCTCTGGAGGAACCTTGCTGCAACACCACCTGATCATCAGCAGATGGGTCCAGGTCCCACCGCCACTCATCACGAGTCATGCAGAGGCAGACAGAGCCCATCTCTTGAGGAATCCACAGAGCATCTTAAGTCACCAACAAGGCAGCCAGGTGACCTCATGGGAGACAGATACACACAAAGGGCTAGGACCCCATAAGGCTGGAGCTCCACCCGGATCCTCCCCTGGAATTAACAAGTCCCCCAAGGGTATAGTCTGCCAGTCATCCAGCCTGGCTGGGACATGGTTCAAGTCTACAGGGCTGCCAAATGCCAAGGGCTCAGCAACACAACATCCACTTTCTCCACCTAACTGGCCAAGTTTCAAACCAAAGCACTTCGGGGTTAGTAGTTCAGACTACATAGTGCCAAGGCAAAGCCTCTCTGTGGGCTGATACCCTCTCCCTCACAGAGGGAGGAGGCTGGGCAACGCCAGCACCAGGCTTTCAGGCACATTCCTGCCGGCTTTGGGCCATTCTCAATGTTCCTCAATAGAGGTCTTACCGGCCAGTCTGTATTATGGACAAGCCACTCTGCAGGCTTTTTACCATCACTGGCCAACAGCGCTGAGAAGGGAGAAAGTGCTGATCAACTGTGGCTAAGATATGACTCCACACTGTCCACGCACATGCCACCTGGTGCCCCAGGTGAGTCTTGGCCGGACCAAAGGGATGAAGCAAGAAAATAAATCAGCAGCCTGGAAACAGAGAAATGAGAGCCACCAGAAATCCAGAGGGCACAGCCCCGGAAGGCAGACTGCTGCTGTAGCTCTCCTGGAAGGCCATGGCCCTGCCTGACATGCAGAGGGAAGCGGGTGGGGATTCTGCCCAAGCATCCTGCCCCTCTTAAAACCACAGCACCCTCCACTTCAGTGGCCTCCAACTGCAGACATATGAAAGCGAGACCCTTCCGCTGGAGGACGCCCTGCCCTCCTGGTAGGGTTCTTCCTCTAATCCAACCCCGGACTTTTGGTTGGTACAAAGCACACTACCGGTTCCAGCGTTTGCACAGGGGCACCTGGACACGATGCTCCCGCGGCTAGGGCTGGCTCTCGGCATCCACTAAGTTCAACTGCACCCCTGAATTAAGCAAACACACTAAGGAGGGCAGCCCTGCACCGCCCAAACACGCCGGCCCGGGCCTCGCCCCCAGCGGCAGCACTTCTCAGAACACGTCTTCAACGTCCAGCAAGACGCCCAGGCCTGGCCTGGTAACCTGTCAGGGGTCGGGTGGCGCCGACCCCGCCGGCTGCCCCCAGGCGTCTGCTGGGCCGGGACGCTCCGGCAGCCCAGGACGCGGAGGCACCGAGCCACTTTCCCGCAGGAGAGACTCTATTGTCCACGATCAAATTAACGCTGACGATCTATCTTCCTGGCGGAGCTCGCGGCGCGGCGGGGCGCAGGCGACGCTCGCCCGGCCTTGCAAGACAAGCAGCGCCGCAGTGCTCCCTCGGCGGAGCAGCCGCGTGCCCCGGCCGGCGTGTGTGGACACCCGCACGCACACAGCGCACACCCCCGCCGCGCCGCGGGCGTCCGTGCCTTCCCGAGGCCCCAAGGCGGCCCGGCCCTCACCTTCGATGGCGATGACGTGCTCCCGGATCTGGTTCTGCAGCACCGGCTCCTCCACGCGCTCCAGCAGCTCGTAGATGGAGTAGATGTTGGGGTGGACCGACTCGAAGCGCTGGATCTCGGCCCGGATGGCAGCCGAGTTGGCCAGCTGCTGCTGGTAGTTCATGGTGCAGGCGCCGCGCCCGGAGCCGCGCGCCCCCCGCCGCCGCCGCCCCGCGCCCCGGGGCCCGCGGGCCGCCGAGCCCGGGGCGCCGCAGCCCCCGGGGAGCCGGGCCCGCCGGCGGCGGGCGGAGGAGGCGCGAGAAGAAAGGCGCGGGCGGAGCAGGCGCGGGGCTGGCCCGCGGGCTCAGTTCATGGCCGGGACGCGCGGCCGGCGAGCGAGCGGGCCCCGGCGTCCCGGGTCAGCGGGCCGCCCGGGGGGAGCGCGCCCCCATGGAGCGCGCCGCGGCGGGTGCGGCCGGCCCCGAAGGAGGCTTGCTCGGGTGACTTCCTGAGCCGCAGCCGCCTTCCAGCCCTAGGCGCTGCTCCGCGGAGCAGCCATTAAAGCCCAGGCAGCCGCCGCGCTCCGAGCGCCGGGGCCGAGGGCCGACCCCTGGGCAGTGTGGCCGCGCTGCTCTGGGCTCCTGGCCGTGGCGTGGGTCCGCGCGCTGCGTACTGCGCCGCCCGGCGCGCCGGGGCCCCCGCGCGAGCCCGCCGTGCGCCGCCCGCCGACCTGGGACCGAGTCGCAGGCGCCTTGCAAGCCGCGGAGCCCGCTCCGAGCGCCGCCCGCCGCCTGCCCGGCCGGCCCCCTCCCTGGCACGCAGGGCTCCGGCCCACGTCGGCCCCGCCCCCGCCTTCGCCCTCGCCCGCGCCCGCGCCCGCGCCCCGCCTGCCCGCGCGCTTGCCGCCCTCCGGCCGCCGGCGCTGCGTCCTCCTCGGCGCTTCCCAGCGCGCCGGATCCCGGGGAATTGCGCCAGGCCCCGCCCCGCGCCTGCCTCTGGGCTTCCTGGGACTTGTAGTCCGCGCCCCCGGCGGGCCGGGCCAGGGGGGTGCGCGGGGTGTTCACACTGGGCCGGGGTGCGGGACCCTCCCGCCGGCCAGGCCCCGCGCCTGCCAGCTCCTGCCCGGGTTCTCGCGGCGGCCCCCGCGCCCCGGCACGGGGGAGGCTGCCCGGGAGTTCGCCCGCCGCGTTGTTGTTTGTTTCCAAGCGGCTGGCTCCAGGAGCCTCTGCGACTCGCCAGTGTCCCACGGCCTCGCTTGGTTGGCGAGCCTCCCCTTCCCGCGTTTGGTAACTTTCTGCCTCCTTTCTCAAAGTAGCACACGTGCTTTCCCTTAATACATGCGATTTCTTTCCAAAGGCGAAGCGCCTCCTGAGCCCATGCGGCGTGGGGGTCCACACTCCACGAGTGGACTGAAGTTTAGACAGGGGTGCGAGATGCGACAAAATACCACAGAGGCTTTCGAGGCATCCTTCTCCCTTACAATTTTTAAAAATCGAGCCGTGGATCTCAAGCTGCTGCCTCCTGAGCGCCGCTGCCTGCTCCACGGGGTTCCTTAGCCCCTGGACCGTCTGTCCCACCGCAATCCCCGATTTAGGTCATCCCCGGGGACCCCCCGCGGAGCTGGGACCGCACTGCAGCAGCGCTTGGAAGGCTCGTCTCGCCGCTTTGAGGCAAATGGGACCCTTCAGATTTGCGGAAGCACTGGCTGCCGGGCGGTCCCACAAGGTCCTGGATTGAGGACACTGGCTGAGTCCCTGCCCCCAGCCATCGGCGTGGTCTTTCTGAAACTCAGCCAGCCGGGCCGGCATCCCCGTTTAAAGCCTGCTGAGCCTTCACCGGCTCACATGCAGTTTGCTATGGCCTAAGCACCCTGGTATCCAGCCGTGTTGGCTTACTGGCTGGGCTCCACAACTTCCCAAAGATGTGCTGACATTTTTACCATTCCGGACCTGCTTGTCTTCTCCTTGACACTTAGGCACAGGTCATCACTCCATGCCTCGGGCTGTCCACGCATAAGTAACTCTAGTAACCAAGAGGCAGGCATGTGGCCTCACCAAACCTGACCTATCAGCAGCAGCTGATCACTTGCGCTCCTGGAAACCCCTTCTCCCAGTGCTCACCAGGGCTTCCTGCTGTGTTTCTGGCTTCACTGTCCCTTTTGTGGTTTTCTTCTACTCCCCTAACCTCTAAATATGGAGGGCCCCAGGGCTTATGGTTAGGCCTCTTTTCTTTGCTATTTGCTGTGATCGCCCCTGTCTTATGGCTTTGAATATCATACACAGGTTAATGAAGCTCATATGTATCTCCAGCTGTGACCTCACCCCTGAATAACAAATTCACATCCACCTGCATCCTCAACATTTCCTGAAGCCTAGCTGGTGTTTAAGTCCAGCATGTCGCCAGCTGAACTCCTGCCATCCCTTCCGGCTACATCTCCTAAAAATCTTCTCCATCCCAGTCATCGGCAACTCCAGGCCACCATTTGCTTAGGCGAAAAATTCAGTGCTGTCCTTTTTGCTTATCATTCTCTCATATCCCAAATGGTGTCAGCTCCACCTTCAGAGGATCCAGAATCCCACGACTTCTCACCACTCGGCTGAAGTCAGGATCATCTAGCTGGACCATCACTAGATCTAACAATTGTAATAGCTCACTGCTTCCTACCTGGTGAAACTTACAAAACCTACGTCCGGACTTGTCATGCCTTTTCTCAAAACCCTCCAATGACTCCCATCTGGCCTCGCCCCACAGGCATGAGCTCTTATCAAGAGCTGCTCAGGGGCTGAGCTATTCCCCTACTTGTAAGCTAACAAGTTAGCCTGCCACAATTCATGGATGCTGGCAGAAGACATGAGACTCCCAGATCAGAAACAAAGGACTTTGTTATTCATAATAGTAGCATTAGCTGGAATATCAGCATTTTCATGCACCAGTTTACTGAGACCCAATTCCCACGGGCAACATGAGGCCCAGGTGAAGCCTGTACTTGGAGTCAGCTGCCCTATACGAGTTTTATAAGTTTTTAACCCTTAGCTTAGAGAGCTCAGATCTTTCATACGGGCAGTAAGTGTGTCTGCCCTTCACTCCAGAGGGAGACACTGTTTTTATCATGGACAGTAAGCATGTCTACCCTTGACTGTGGCAGAAAACATTATCTCTGTCTTCCAAGGCTGTTTGCTCTGCAAACATCCTTGAGAATATAGTCCAGAGCAAAGGCGCCTGGTGTCTCTACCTGTGTACCTGTGTTACCCAGCAAGGGCTGCCATAAAAACCTTCCACAGGCCTGGCATGATGCCTCATGCCTATAATCCAACACTTTGGGAGGATTGCTTGAGCCCAGGAGTTCGAGACCAGCCTGGGCAACATGGTGAAACCCCATCTCTACAAAAAATACAACAATTAGCCAGGCACAGTGGTGTGAGCCTCTAGTCCCAGCTACTCCGGAGGCTGTGCAGGGAGGATGGCTTGAGCCCAGGAGGTCAAGGTTGCAGTAAGCTGTGATCATACCACGGCACTCTAGCCTGGAGGACAGAGCAAGACCATCTCAAAAAAAAAAAGGCCGGGCGTGGTGTCTTACGCCTGTAATCCCAGCACTTCGGGAGGCCGAGGCAGGCGGATCACGAGGTCAGGAGATCGAGATCATCCTGGCTAACATGGTGAAACCCCGTCTCTACTAAAAATACAAAAAAATCAGCCGGGTGCAGTGGCGGGTGCCTGTAGTCCCAGCTACTCGGTAGGCTGAGGCAGGAGAATGGCGTGAACCCGAGAGGTGGAGGTGGAGCTTGCAGTGAGCCAAGATCGTGCCACTGCACTCCAGCCTGGGTGACAGAGGGAGACTCCTTCTCAAAAAAACAAAACAAAACAAACACACAAAAAAAACTTCCACAGGCTGCATGGCTTTAACAGAAATCCATTTTCTCAAAATGCAGGAGGCTCAAAGAGCCAAGATCAAGCTGTTGCAGGGTTGGTTTCCCCTTGGCTTGTGGATGCTGCCTTCTCACTGTGTTCTCACAGGGTCTTTCCTCTGTGTGTCTGTGTCCCCATCTCCCCTTCTTAGAAGAACTCCATTCATATTGGATTAGACCCCTTCCTAATGACATCGTCTTAGCTTAGTCATCTCTTTCAAGGTCCAATTTCTGAATATAGTCATATTCTGGGGTACTGGGAGTTAGGACTTTAATATATGAATTTTGGGGACATAATTCAGCCTATGACTGTCTCTCTCGCCACAGCATCTCTACTTCTAGCCTGTTCTCTCCTCTTCGGCCACACTGGCCTCCTTGTTGCCCCCTAAATATACCCATCACACCCCCACCCTTGTCATCTGCTTCTCTGTCTCCCTGACCCCTTCACCAGGACTTTTGTTTCCTTATGTATTTGCTCCAAAGCCACCTTCTCAATGCGACTTTCCCTAACATCTTCTCTAAAATGGCATCCCTGTTCCCCAACACTTCATGTCCCCCTTCCTTGCCACAGTAGAAAGAATAATGGTCCCCTAAGATGCCCACATCCTAATCCCTGAAACAAGTAGATATGTTAGTCTAAGTGGCAAAGGACTTTACAGGTCTGATTAAATTAAGGACCTTGAGATGAAGATATTATCCCAGATTATCTGAGTGGGCCCAGTGTAATCACAGGAGGCCTTATACGAGGAAGGCAGGAGGGTCAGAATCAGAGGAGATATGATGACAGGTGTAAGAGAGAGAGAGAGGAGAGGAAGGCAAGGGAGAGAGAGAGATTGGAAGATGCCGCTGGGCTGACTTTGAAGATGCAGGAGGGGGCCACCAGCCAGGGAATGTGGGCTGCCTCTACAAACTGGAAAATGGAAGAAAACAGATTCTCTCCTAGAGATTCCAGAAGGATCACATCCCTATTGACCCATTTTTGGACTTCTGACCTCCAGAACTATAAGATAATAAATTTTTGTCATTTAAGCCACTAAATCTGTGCTAATTTGTTATAGCAGCAATGGGAGATTAATGCACTTGCTTTATGTTTTTCTTAGCACTTATTCCCGTCTAACTCACCATATACTTTAGTTATTTATCTTGTGTATGGTTTGTGTCCCCCATTAAAACATAAGCTCCACAAGGGCCAGGATTAATTTTTGTCTGTTTTGCTCCCCATTCTATTCCAGTGTCTATAACAGTAGCTGACACATAGTAGCTACCCAATAAATGTTTGGCAAACAAACAGCTTCCCCATTAAATTATAATTGTCATGAAGACAAGGACCATATTTCTCTTGCACAGGGCTTGGAGCATTATAATGCAACAAACGTTCAATAAATTAATTAATCAACAATATCTCTCCTATGGTAAGAGCTGTTCTCTCATCATGCCAGGCACATAGTAGGTGCCTAATAAAGATTTGCTGAATTAAAATGGAAGTTTCTCCAGCAACATGGGACCCAGTGACATTTACCAGGAATGTGCTGCAGATTTATCTTCTGTGAATAGAGCCAAGAATTCTAGCCGTGTGTGTGTGTGTGTGTGTGTGTGTGTGTGTGTGTGTGTGTGTGTGTGAGACGGTCCTTCCAGGCACTTATAAGCTCTGAGTGAAAACTCCACTGTGAGAGCAAGCCAAGCCTTAAAGTAGTGAACGTCTTCTGTCCCAGAAATATCAAAGATGGTTTGAATGATCAGCCCATTCATTTGTTCATTTATTCTGTCACTTATTTATTCATTCAACAAATCTGTATTGATCATCTACTGTATCCTAGGCAGGGTGATATGTTCTAGGGATACAGAGGTGAAAGATGAAGCTTGCCTTTAGTGAGCTTGCATTCCAGGGGATTATCTCTTGAAGAAACACTGCTTCTAGCGTTCAATTTCTGAATCCAATCTGAGACTGCAAACAAAGAATAAGTGAGAGGCCAGGCACGGTGGCTCGCACCTATAATCCCAGCACTTTGGGAGGGCGAGGTGGGTGGATCGTCTGAGGTCAGGAGTTCAAGACCAGCCTGGCCAACGTGGTGAAACCCTGTCTCTACTAAAAATACAAAAATCAGGCCGGGCGCGGTGGCTCACGCCTGTAATCCCAGCACTTTGGGAGGCCGAGGCGGGCGGATCACGAGGTCAGGAGATCGAGACCATCCCGGCTGAAACGGTGAAACCCCGTCTCTACTAAAAATACAAAAAATTAGCCGGGCGTAGTGGCGGGCGCCTGTAGTCCCAGCTACTTGGGAGGCTGAGGCAGGAGAATGGCGTGAACCCGAGAGGCGGAGCTTGCAGTGAGCCGAGATCCCGCCACTGCACTCCAGCCTGAGCGACAGAGCGAGACTCCGTCTCAAAAAAAAAAAAAAAAAAAAAAAAAAATCAGCTGGGCATGGTTGTGCATGCCTGTAGTCCCAGCTACTCAGGAAGCTGAGGCAGGAGAATCACTTGAACCCAGGAGGTGGAGGTTGCAGTGAGCCAAGATTGCACCACTGCTCTCCAGCCTGGGTGGCAGAGTGAGATTCTGTCTTAAAAAAGAAGGACACTTTGGGAGGCCGAGGCGGGCGGATCACGAGGTCAGGAGATCGAGACCATCCCAGCTGAAACGGTGAAACCCCGTCTCTACTAAAAATACAAAAAATTAGCCGGGCGTAGTGGCGGGCGCCTGTAGTCCCAGCTACTTGGGAGGCTGAGGCAGGAGAATGGCGTGAACCCGAGAGGCGGAGCTTGCAGTGAGCCGAGATCCCGCCACTGCACTCCAGCCTGGGCGACAGAGCGAGACTCCGTCTCAAAAAAAAAAAAAAAAGAAGGAAAGACAGACAGACAGACAACAGACAGAAAGAAAGAAAGAAAGAAAGAAAGAAAGAGAAAGAAAAAAGAATAAGTGAGAATATCTGTGGATGAAGGCAGCCATGATGATTCATACACATGAACACAGAGCTCACACACATGAACATTCACTGGCTGAGCAAGAGCTGGATGAACAATTCTGGTAATGCCTAATTAAAAGTGTGAATTAAAGACAGTTCTGCCAGTGACCAGCATAGTCCTGTACTCCTAATGCACAGCAGTAGGAGTTGTGAGCTTCATAGGAATAACTTTACAGTGATCACTTGATTTTATTTATTTATTTATTTTAGACAGGTTCTCACTCTGTTGCCCAGGCTGGAGTGCAGTGGTACGAACACAGCTCACTGCAGTCTCAACTTTCTGGGCTCAATTGACCCTTCTGCCTCAGCCTTCTGAGTAACTGGGACTACAGGCACATGCCACCTTGCTGGGCTATTTTTTGTATTTTTTGTAGAGATGGGATTTTGCCATGTTGCCCAAGCTGGTCTTGAACTCCTGGGCTCAAGTAATCTGCCCACCTCAGCCTCCAAAAGCGCTGGGACTACAGGCGTAAGGCACTGTACCCGGGCACAGCCATCACTTTAAACATCAAAATGCTCCTCAACCCCCCATGGCTGCAGACCTTACGCACAGCTACAAAGCTCTTCCACTTCAACTAGCTCTAAGAAGTGTTTTAGGAAATGTATGAAACATTATGTGTCTCTAGACTTTTGTGTGCTTTATCCATTTGCCTGAACTTGAAACAATTTCATTAGTATCCTTCCCATACTTGGATAAAGAGCTTCATGAGATTTTTATTTGATATGCTTGTGGACTGTAATATGACAGAGCTTGATTCATATAGCATGGGATCAGCAGCAGGTCTTTGTGAAGCCAGCAGTGGGAGCTTTGGTTAATCAGTGCCTCATAAAGGCTTTGGGCTCCTAGGTGAGGGTCGGAGGGGTATATGGGGGAGGAGAGGAGGGCAAGAACAAGGAGAAATAATCCAGAAATGCCACAGATCAAATTTCCTTTTCTTGCTTTTTGCCCTTCTTTGGTGAAATAACTCTGCAGTGAAGACCAGATATACCCAGATTGTGTTTGTAGTTTGTAGTTTGGCCATTCGACTATGTATTGGTCTTACCAGCAATCTGTATCAGTTAGCTTTGCCCACAAAAATGCTGCATAACAAACACTCACAAAATCTCAGCAGCACACAACTTCAAGCATTCACTTTGCTCACCCTTTTAGGGCCAGCTGTGAGCCAGCAAATCTAGGGTGGGCTCTGCTGGGCTTTTCAGCTCTACCCTATGGAGCTCTCATTCTCCTACTGGCACCACCAGGCTAGACCAGGCATCTTAGTGATGGCAGAAGTGCAAGAAAAGAAACCCCAGTGTGCAAGTGTGCAAGCACATTCCAAGCGGCTGCACCCTTCATGTCCACTGATATCCCCTTGGACAAGGCAAGTCACAAGACTGAGCCCAGAGTCAGGAAGGGACACACACACCACCACAGCAGAGGGCCCTGCAAAGTTATGTGGCAAAATTGTAGGTGTATAATCCCATTTCTGGGAGGTAGTGCAGAGCCAGCTACTAGTTCAGTCTGTCACACCATCTTTGGCCATGTAAGTCATTAGGCTGAAATTGAGTGCCTCATTCAGTTCTTTGGCTCACTGAAGACAGCAATGATGTCTCACAGGGTGGCAGTGAACATCAATAAGATATGCATGCTATGCTTTGTCAGCTGAAGATGTTATTCCAGCAGGGAGCCAAGAAGCTCTTTAAGCCTCCATTTTATTATGTGCAAAAGATAAATTATTACACCTAAAACATTCTATTATTACTGTTCAAAGAGCTCTAGTCAACTTTCCTAATTCACACAGCAAAGAAATGACTGAGCTAGGATTTGAATCCAGATCAGTTTTACTCCTTTTTTTTTTTTTTATGGGAAGCAATAGAAAGGTGGTGTCCATGTTTTCTATATGTGTAATTTCTCCAACCACAGAATGCAGCAAAAGTAATGAGGCAGGATTTCTGAGGCTGGCTCATAAAAAGCTCTACAGCTTCTACTTGTTTCTTCTCCCCTACGCCCACCCACTTGCCCTAGGCCACCATGTTGTGAGGAAGCCCAAGCCACATGGAAAGCCTGTATGTAAATAAAAGATCCTTCAGATGATTCCATCTCTTATGCTTAGGGTCTCCCAGCTGATACCCTAGATACGGTGGAATGAAACAAGCTGGCCCCTCTGAGCCTTGTCAGTATTCCTGACCCACAGAAACTCTGAGAAGTAATAAATGATTGTCATTGTTTTAAGCCACTAAATGTTGGAGTAATTCATTCTACTGTTATAGATACTTATAGCATTCCTGGAACCCTGTGAGAATACATGAGAATTCTGGCATGTGTGTGAGAGAGCTTACAAATGCACGACATCTTTATTCCTTGAGTCGTCATTTACCAAGTATCGTATGTTGAAAGGGCCACATGTTTATCTTGAATAAGGGACCCCTTGAGAGAGAGTCCAGTCCCCATGCTGGTTCTGCTTGTCATCTCCAGGCAGCCCTTATCTGATGGCCATGACTCATCTTCTAAAATATTATGAGTTTTCTATTGCTGCCGAGTGGCTTAGACACACAGGCATTATCTTACAATTCTGTAGGTCAGAACTCTGATGCAGAGCTCACCAGGCCAAACCCAAGGTGCTGGCAGGGCTGCGTTCATTTCTGTGGGCTCTGGGAGGATCTGTTTCCTTGCCTTGCCCAGATTCTACAGGCCACCTGCATTCCTTGGTGGTGGCCCCTCCCTCCCTCTATTTCAAAGCCAGCAAAGGTGAGTTGTTTTCGCATCACATCACTCTCCTTTGCCTCCCTCTCCCACTTTTCAGGACCCCTGTGATGATACAGAGCCCACCTAAATAATCCAGGGTGATCTTCCCATCTCAAGGCCATCTGCAACCTGAATTCCCCTTTGTTATGTACGGTCACATACCCATAGGTTCTAGATATGAGGACATGGACATCTTGGGTGGGGAATGCCATTCTGCCTGTGACACGTTGATAAAATCTTGCCACTGTCCCACATGCATTTCCTGTTGACTATTTGGGGTTGTCAGGTGTAATAGTAATTGTCTTTTGTTTTTGTTTTTTAACAATGGGGTGTCACTTTGTTGCCCAGGCTGGAGTGCAGTGGCATGATCATGGCTCACTAGAGCCTCAAACTCCTGGGTTCAAGAAGCCCTCCCACCTCAGCCTTCCAAGTAGCTGGAACTACAGGTGTGCCACCATGCCTGGCTAATTTTTGTATTTTTTGTAGAGACAGGGTCTCACTATCTTTCCCAGGCTGAGCTTGAACTCCTGGGCTCAAGTGATCCCCCTGTTTCGGCCTCCTAAAGTGTTGGGATTACAGGGGTGAGCCACCACATCCAGCCAGTTATTGTATCTCAATCCACATCTACATATAACTAGAAGAATACTCAATACTTTTTAGGTTAGTCTGTGCTTATTTCTAGGCTTAAAAGAATATCTTTCTGGCCAGATGTGGTGGCTCATGCCTATAATCCCAGCACTTTGGGAGGCCAAGGTGGGAGGACCACTTGAGCCCAGGAGTTCAAGACCAGTCTAGGTGACATAGTGAGACCACGTCTCTATTAAAAACAAAACAAAAAAAATAAGCTGGGCATGGTAGCACGTGCCTGTAGTCCCAGCTACTCAGGAAGCTGAGGTGGGAAGATCTCTTGAGCCCAGGAGTTAGAGCAAGCTTGTCCAACCCCCGGCCTGAGGGCCACATGAGGCCCAAAACAGCTTTGAATGCGATCCAATACAAATCAGTAAACTTTCTTAAAACATTATGAGATTCTTTTTGTGTGATTTTCTTTTTTACCTCATCAGCTATTGTTAGTGTTAGTGTGTTTTATGTGTGGCCCAAGACAATTCTTCTTCTAACGTGGCCCAGGGAAGCCAAAAGATTGGACACCCCTGAGTTAGAGGTTTCAGTGAGCTGATTTTGCCACTGCACTCCAGCCTGTCCAGCCTGGGCGACAGAGCAAGATCCTGTCTAAAAAAAGAGAATATTTTTCCTGATGTGCAAAGTAAACAAAATGTGCAGCAGTACTGTTTGCTTAAAGTCACTTTTAAAAAGATTTTCACATTTATTGGATATCCTTAAAATTAATTTAATAGAGCCCATAGCTTTCATCACAATTTTCAAAATCTCATTCAAAATGCAGCCTTTACCTCCTGGGCTCCAGCAATCCTTCAATTCTCCTGCCTCAGCCCCCCAAGTAGCTAGTTTTTTTCTATTTTTTGTAGTGATGGGGTTCACCATGTTGCCCAGGCTGGTCTCATACTCCTGAGGTCAAGTGATCCACCTGCCTTGGCCTCCCAAAATGCTGGGATTACAGGTGTGAGCCACTATGCACAGCCAAGGCTGTGTTTCTTAAAGGCTCTTAGAAAGCTTTAGGGCAACAAAAGGTGGGACAGGAGCTAATGAAATCTCAACACTGGATACCGCTTTTCCTGAAAGTTCCTTAGTCACAACCATCTCTTCCTGGCCACCTTGCCTCACCTTTGTCCTCAAGGACCCAACGTCTACCCTCTGACCTGTTCCCTCCCTTCTTCTGGGGGCAGTCGCTCCTTTCCTCACAGTTGCCACCCTCTTGAATTGCCAAGAAGGAATTTTCCCTAAGCCATAATATTTTATGATACTCACATATTTTCCTAAATTATGGAGTGTTACTCAGAGATGACCTCTATGGGTCAGGATTTTTTAATAGGTTGAGAAATCAACTCGATCAATCCCTAGGCTAGGCTAGACTAAGATAGCGGCGCACCACAGATAATAAGGTTTATCCACAGGTACTATCCATAGGTAACAATTGTTCTGTGAAACTTTTGTAATTGAAGACAGAGAAGAAGCACTATTTCCCAGAGGACAAACACATAAGCAAAATCTGCATCCTGCCTTCTACCTCGGTGTCTTTGCTGAGCATAACTATTCTGGAGTTCCCATGTTGTACTGGTTCCCCGTGGCTGGTGTAACAAGTTACCAAAAACTTGGTGGCTTAAAACAATACATATTTCTTGTCTTACAGATCTGGAAGAACTGTAATGGTCTGGAATGATCTGTCTTAAAGACCTAGAAGTCAGAATTGGGTTTTGCTGAGCTAAAATCAAGGCATTGGGCAGGGCTGCATTCCTTTCTGGAGGCTCTAGGAGAGGGTCTGTTTCCTTGCCTTTTCTGGCTTTTAGAGTCTGCCCACATTCCTTACTCCCTGGCCCTTTACTCCATCTTTAAAGCATCGTAGCATCTTCAAATCTCTGACCCTCCTGCTTCCTTCTTTGGCTTTAAGGACCCTTGTGCTTGTGATAAACCCTCTTGGATAATTCAGAATAACCCCCCTTCTTAAGATCCCTAATTTAAGCACATATGCAGAGTTCCTTTTGCCATATAAGGTGCATTTTCACAGGTTCTGGGCTTGAGGACACGGGCATTTTGGGGGAGCCAAACCACTGAGTGCCTACCACTCATGCTGAGAATGCACGGAAATAGATACAGGCTTTGCATATTTCACCGAAATACATCATGGGATGTTCCTTGGATATATTCACACCAAAAAATATTTCATCTCACACACACACACACACACACACACACACACACACACACACACAAACCAGCTGTCAGTGCCAAATTCAAGCACTGTTGGCTTTCTTCATTTTCATTTAAAACAGGGAATTAATTAAAGAAAAATTTTTTTTTGAGACAGAGTCTTGCTTTGTCACCCAGGCTGGAGTGGAGTGGTGTGATCCACGGCTCACTGCAGCCTTGACCTCTCAGACTCAATTGATCCTCCCACCTCAGCCTCCCAAGTAGCTGGGACTACAGTCATGTGCCACCATATCCGGCTATTTTTTTTTACTTTTTGTAGAGATAGGGTTTTGCCATTTTGCCAAGGCTTGTCTTGAACTCCTGGGCTCAAGCAATCTGCTTGCCTTGGCCTCCCAAAGTGCTGGGATTACAGGCCTGAGCCACCACACTTGGCCTAATTTAATGTTTTTAAATGTATTCAATGTAATACATAGAGTACAGAGAAAATTAGTTATATTAAAATGCAGTTATCAAGATATTTAACCATGATATATTCCTATATCACAATATAGGAATATACATGCTTCTTTGTTAACAAAGTAATTAACAAGGTGCAGCGCTGTTCTTTTTCTTTTTTCTTTTTTCTTTTTTTTTGAGACGGAGTCTCACTCTGTCGCCCAGGCTGGAGTGCAGTGGCACGATCGTCACTGCAAGCTCCGCCTCCTGGCTTCATGCCATTCTCCTGCCTCAGCCTCCCGAGTAGCTGGGACTACAGGCGCCCACCACCATGCCTGGCTAATTTTTTTCTATTTTTCAGTAGAGACGAGGTTTCACCGTGTTAGCCAGGATGATCACCGTCTCCTGACCTCGTGATCCACCCACCTCGGCCTCCCAAAGTGCTGGGATTACAGGCGTGAGCCACCACGCCCAGCCAGCGCTGTTCTAACGACCATAACTCTGGATTATTGATGAACTTAAGCAATATTTAAATATATTTGTAATATTTGAATGTAATAGGAGAATATCTAATTCCTTTTGGTGACAAAGTCACAGATATTCCTACTTCTGTGATTTGTTGTCTACATTCATGATGAAAGGAAATGCTACATTTCAATTCGAGTTAAGTGAAATTAGAGAAGTCAATGTGTTCTTATTCAAGTTCATAGAATGTTTCCTTTAAAGCCAGGACAGAGAAGACAGTGCCCGGCCTGGGCAGAGGGTTAGGGTCTTCCAAGGCAAGTCCTTTGTTTTTTTTTTTTTTGCTTTTTTTTTTTGTGATGGAGTCTCACTCTGTCACCAGGCTGGAGTGCAGTGGCGCCATCTCGGTTCACTGCAACCTCTGCCTCCTGGGTTCAAGCGATTCTCCTGCCTCGGCCTCCTGAGTAGCTGGGACTACAGGCGTGCACCACCACACCCAGCTAATTTTTGTATTTTTAGTAGAAATGGGGTTTCATCATGTTGGCCAGGATGGTCTCGATCTCCTGACCTCATGATCTGCCCATCTTGGCCTGGCAAAGTGCTGGGATTACAGGCACAAGCCACTGTGCCCGGCCTGATCCTTTCTTTTAAATTGTAAAATACACATAACACAGCATTTCCCACCTTAGTTATTTCCAGGTGCGCAGTTCAGCAGTGTGAAGTGTTAAGTATATTCACGTTGTGGTGCAGCCAGCTCCAGCTCTCTTCTCACCTTGCAAAACTGAAACTCCCTATGCTTGAAAAAAACAACTATCATTTCTTGCTCCCCTAGGTCCCTGGCAATCACCATTCTACTTTCTGTTTCTGTGAATCTATGTTAGGTACCTCATACAGTGTTTGCCCTTTTGTGACTAGTTTATTTCATGTATCATAATGTCCTCGAGATTCATCCATGGTATAGCCCATGTCAGAGCTTCCTTCCTGGATCATATTTTATTGTATGTCTAGGCCACATTTCGTCCATCCATTCATCTGTCAATGGACACTTGGGCTGTTTCCAGCTTTTAGCTGTGGCGAATAATGCTGCTATGAACATGAGGGTACCGACATCTCTTCCATAACCTGCTTTTGATTCTTCTGGGTACATGTCCCGAAGCAGCACTGCTGGATGAGGCAGGTCCTTTTTTTTTTTTTTTTTTTTTTTTTGAGATGGAGTTTCACTCTTGTCGCCCAGTCTGGAGTGCAGTGGCATGATCTCAGCTCACTGCAACCTCCGCCTCACGGGTTCAAGAGATTCTCCTGCCTGATCCTCCCCAGTAGCTAGGATTATAGGTACGTGCCACCACGCCCCGCTAATTTTTGTATTTTTAGTAGAGGCGGGGGTTTCACCATGTTGACCAGGCTGGTCTCGAACTCCTGACCTCAGGTGATCTGCCCGCCTCGGCCTTCCAAAGTGCTGGGATTACAGGAGTAAGCCACAGCACCCAGCCAGGCAGGTCCTTTTAATGTCACATAAGAGCTCAGCTCAGCTTCGTGGAGTTCACTGTGCATTCAGGCCAGGGTTACAGCTCCTAAGCTTTGTGTCTGAGGGAAGTAGAAGGATGCATTGTTTAAGTGTGTCACAGAATCGATGATGAAAGGGACCTCGGAGCTCCTTTTCCACACCGATGAGAAAACTGAGGCTCCACAGGTGAAGTGACTTACCCAACCTCACACAGCTCCTTAGAAACAGACCCAGGAGCGGACCTCAGCCCCTGAAGCTACCAACTGCAGAACCAGCATGGGGGTGGACCTCAACCGGCTGCAGCCCCCAAGACTGGTGGCGTCAGGTAACAGAGCAGAGGGTGGTGCCGCCCCCTGGGATGAGGAAGAGGAAGAGGCGATGCAGAAATTTTACCGCTGGGTGGAAATGCCCCAGCCCCCTTCTCTGATGGGAACATGCAAGGACTGCTTTCCTACAAGGTTTCCGCAGAGGCGGTAGCTGCTGCTTTTTCCCTTTTCAAATAAGGGTAATGTGAAAAGAGGCCTCATTCTTCAAACAACCTCCTCAAGCCACCTTCTGCATGTGCCACGGAAACACCAGTCCACGTTGACACCAGCTATGGGGACGGGGGGAGGGGGACTTACAATCCATCTGTAACTTGCACACCCACTTGGCTTTCAGCAGTGTTTCAAGTGGAAGTTTATAGAGACACATGCTAACACAATTGTGCAAATCATTTCTTCCGTGCATCCAGTGCAAAACACAGGATAATTCTGAGTGTATGAATTCTTCTCTCATAAAATGGAAGATTAATTTGCTTATACACATTCTGTGAGCTGATTAAAAAGCTGGTTTTATACACATAGTTTTGGCTGATGCACAAATTAGACATTGAGAAATCAGATGCAAATGAGTAGTTTACAGACACTTTTGAAATTATATAATCATTTCCCAGATCATGTGAATACCAAGAAACTGATTTAGAATAGATCTATTGAGGCAGCTAAAAGGAAGGCTTCTGTAATGTTTACCAACTTCATTCTTCTCATCACATTTATCATTTATTTTTGTAAGCATCTTTGCACTTTGGCTGTTGTTTGCTCATTTGTTTTGTATATATTCTGCTACAATATCTTTGGGGTTATTGTTAAACTTTAGGATTTAATACATTTGGTAAACTCTTCTTTTTAATGCAGCCGCTCAGCAGAGTATACACAAAATGACAACCACTGAAAGGACTGCTTTTCTGTTCTTCAATTTTCACGTGGTTTCCAAAAATAGATTCAGTTTAAATATTTACTGAACTGGCGCTAAGCACATGCGAGGCACCTTTCAACATTATCTCATTTAACCTTCTAAGACCTTGCAAGGAAGCCAAAACTGTCCAAACATGAAACCCTGAAGGTTGAGGAAGCGGTGACTTGCCCACGGCTCAGTTTTCTGAGTGTAAATCCACAAGTTTTCCATTATTACCACAGTGCCTTTCCTAATTTTAAAAACACAGTGGGATATTTCATCTGTGTGATCACAGGGACATTTTTCTGCGATTTAGAAGACGATCCCATTATAAATCATATGTTGATCAATGTGCATGGTGACTACATGACTTCCTGTAGCATTGGAGAACATTTTTACTGACCATTTTGCTCATTCAGGCTGGAGGGCAGTGGTGCGATCTCAGCTCACTGCAACCTCTACCTCCTGGGTTCAAGTGATTCTCCTGCTACAGCCTCCCAAATAGCTGCGATTACAGGCAGCCACCACCACGCCCAGCTAATTTTTGTATTTGTAGTAGAGACAGGGTTTCACCATGTTGGTCAGGCTGGTCTCAAACTCCTGGCCTCAGGTGATCCACCCACCTTGGCCTCCCAAAGTGTTGGTATTACAGGTGTGAGCCACCACGCCCAGCCTCTCAATGCTTTTTGGCTGTGTAGTATGACCCACCCAGTTGACTTCCTAGCTCACCATAATCCCTTCTGGTCAAACTGTGAGTGTGCACGGCAGACACCCACCAGCACGTGCCCCACCCGGATCCATGGCCACACTTGTCATGCAGCAGGCTGGCCGACGTTTTGGATATATCCCAAGAACGTAAGAGGGCCTTTGGAAGAGGAACATCAACAATTTGTTTGGACTTGTCACCTCCTTTCCTTAGAACAATGGCAATCAGACTGTGTTCTGTGGAGCCTGCCACCCCAGAAAGCCTGAACTAAATGAGGCTAAGGGCTCTATATACTCTCTCCCATCGACAACTAGGTTAAGTGATAATAGTCCGTTCCTGCTTCATCCTGTCTGATCAGAGATTTGGGTGGACTGGTACCTACAGCCTGGCTACTCAACTGGCTGTAGCCCCCAAGCCCTGACCCCCTTTGTATAAAAGCTCCACTTTGATCTTTTTAATATATGAGGTTCCCCATTAGACTCACTTGGTGGGGGAAGTTAAGAACCACTGGTACTGAGTGTCAAAATATTTTGTAGATATTAATACTTTCCAAGGTCGAGAGTGGTGGTTCACGCCTGTAATCCCAGCACTTTGGAAGGCTGAGGTGAGCAGATCATTTGAGGTCAGGAGTTCAAGACCAGCCTGGCCAACATGGTGAAACCCTATCTCTACTAAAAATAAAAAAAAAATGAGCTGAGCGTGGTGGTGGGTACCTGTAATCCCAGTTACCTGGGAGGCTAAGGAATGAGACTCACTTGAACTCAGGAGGCAGAGGTTGCAGTGAAAAAAAAACAAACACAAAACTTTCCAGTGCCATGACACTTCTTCATTATTACCTGGGCATCAACCACTCGGGTGTCTTTGCTCTACTGGTTACATAAGGAGAAGGTGAAGGAATGATATGGGCAAATGAGGAATTAGTGAAGAAGACTCCCCTTTGACACCTCCCTCCAGTTCTATTTTCCTTTTCTCCACTGAGCGCCCTCTGCACCCTGCAGCCTCCTGGCCAGGCCGAGCATCTTCCTTCTGGCCTCTGTCCAGCTTTTCCTCAAGCCCAAGTGACAGGAGTGTTTTGTGTCCCTTGCAGGGCGCTGCTCTAGGAGGCTGCCCAGCCATCCCATCCTCCGTCCATCTCCTGGGCTGCAGGCAGGAGAAGGGAGTCCATAGCTGTAGAGGAGGTGCAGGAGCAGTGGAAGGAGCAGGAGGCTTGCCTTGGCTGGAGCATGGTGGATGCAGGACTCTCCTGGCTCAGCCACCAGCTTCCTGTCACGTGGAGTAAATGACTTTCTCTCCTGGGCCTCAGGGTCCTCCCTTGAAAAACGTCAGCTGGACCAGAGGACCTGGAGGCCACATGCCTTGGACTTTAAAGTGCACACACATCACCCGACATCTTCCTTACAATGTATATTCTGATGCAGTGGGTCTTAAGGAAGAAATAATTCTGCACTTATTTTTATATTTTAGAACTTAAGATATTTAATTTTGTTTCATTAATAATGGCTAATATTTATTTTTTTAATTTCAACTTGTATTTTAGATACAGGGATTACATGTGCAGGCTTGTTACGTGGGTATGTTGTGTGATGCTGAGGTTTGGGATTCAGATCCTGTCACCCTGGTAGTAAGCATAGTACCCAACAAGTAGCTTGTCAATCCATGCTGCCTCCCTCCCCCTTCTAGTAGCCACAGTGTCTACTGTTCCCATGTTTATGTGCATGTGCGCTCACTGTTTAGCTCCCACTTATAAGTGAGAACATGCAGTATTTGGTTTTCTGTTCCTATGTTATTTCACTTAAGATTATGGCCGCCAACTACATCTATGTTCCTGCAAAGGACATAATTTTATGGTTTTTTAATGGCTGCATATTATTCCATGGTATATGTGTACCACATTTTCTTTATCCAGTCCCCCATTTATGGGCACCAAGGTTAATTCCATGCCTTAGCTACTGCGAATAACACGACAATGATCATATGAATGCATGTGTCATTCTGGTAGAATGATTTACTTTCCTTTGGGTATATACCCAGTAATGGGATTGTTGGGTGGAGTGGTAGTTCTGTTTCAAGTTCTTTCAGAAATCTCCAAACTGCTTTCCACAGTGGCAGAACTAATGTACATTCCCACCAACAGTGATTACTCTTCTCTTTTCTCCCCAGACTTGCCAGCATCTGTTGTTTTTTGACTTTTTAAAAATAGCTATTCTGACCAGTGTGAGATGGCATCTCATTGTGGTTTTGATTTGCATTTCTCTGATGATTAGTGATGATAAGCATTTTTTTCATATGTTTAGTTGGCTTCTTGTGTGTCTTCTTTTGAGAAGTGTCTGTTCATGTCCTTTGCTCATTTTTTAATGGGGCTATTTGTTTTCTGCTTGTTGATTTGTTTAAGCTCCCACTCTCACCATTCCTATTCAACATAGTACTAGAAGTTGTAGCCAAAGCAATCAGGCAAGAGAAAGAAATAAAAGGCATCCAAATAGAAAAAGAAGAAGGCAGATTATCTGTCTTCATTGATCATACCATTCTATATATAAAAAACTCTAAAGGCTCTGCCAAAAGGCTTCTTGAAAAGATATAAAATCAATACACAAAAATCAGTAGCATTTTTGTACACCAATAACATCTAGGCTGAGAGTCAAATCAAGAACACAATTCCATTTACAACAGCCACAAAGAAAATGAAATATCTAGGAATATAGCTCGCCACGGAGGTGTAATATTTCTGCAAGGAGAACTACAAAACACTGCTGAAGGAAATCAGAGATGGTACAAATAAATGAAAAAACATTCCATGCTCATGGATTGGAAGAATCAATATCATTAAAGTGCCCATACTGCCCAAAGCAATTTATAGATTTAATGCTACTCCTATCAAACTACCAATGTCATTTTTCACAGAATTAGAAAAAACTATTATAAAATTCATATAGAACCAAAAAAGAGCTCAAATAGCCAAAGCAATGCTAAGTAGAAAGAGCAAAATTGGAGGCATCACATTATCCAACTTCAAACTATACTATAAGGCTACAGTAACCAAAACAGCAGGTACTGGTACGAAACAGACACACAGACCAACAGAATAGAATGGAAAACTCAGAAATAAAGCTTCACACCTCCAACCATCTTATCTTCGGCAAGGGTGACAAAAACAAGCAATGGGGAAAGGAATCCCTATTCAATAAATGATGTTGGGATAACTGGCTAGCCTTATGCAGAAGAACGCAACTAGACCCCTACCTTTCACCATACACAAAAGTTAACTCAAGATGGATTAAAGATTTAAATGTAAGGTCTCAAACTATAAAAATCCTAGAAGAAAACCTAGGAAGGCCAGGCGCGGTGGCTCACGCCTGTAATCCTAGCACTTTGGGAAGCCAAGGTGGGTGGATCACCTGAGGTCAGGAGTTCGTGACCAGCCTGGCCAACATGGTGAAACCCCATCTCTACTAAAAATACAAAAATTAGCTGGGTGTGGTGGCAGGTGCCTATAATCCCAGCTACTTGGGAGGCTGAGGCAGGAGAATCGCTTGAACCCGGGAGGCAGAGGTTGCAGTGAGCCGAGACCACACCATTGCACTCCAGCCTGGGCAACAAGAGCAAAACTCCGACAAAAAGAAAGAAAGGAAGAAAGGAAGGAAGGAAGGAAGGAAGGAAGGAAGGAAGGAAGGAAGGAAGGAAGGAAGGACGGACCTAGGAAATACCCTTCTCAACATCAGTTTTGACAAAGAATTTTTGATTAAGTCCCCAAAAGAAATTGCAACAAGGCCGGGCGCAGTGGCTCACGCCTGTAATCCCAGCACTTTGGGAGGCTGAGACAGGCAGATCACGAGGTCAGGAGATCGAGACCATTCTGGCTAACACGGTGAAACTCCGTCTCTACTAAAAATACAAAAAATTAGCCGGGCGTGGTGGCAGGCGCCTGTAGTCCCAGCTACTCGGGGGGCTGAGGCAGGAGAGAATGGCGTGAACCCGGGAGGCGGAGCTTGCAGTGAGCCGAGATCGCGCCACTGCACTCCAGCCTGGGGGACAGAGCAAGACTCCGTCTAAAGAAAAAAAAAAAAAGAGAGAAATTGCAACAAAAACAGTAATTGACAATTGGGATCTAATTAAACTAAGAGCTTCTGCATAGCAAAAGAAACTATCGACAGAGTAAATAGAGAACCCACAGAACGGGAGAAAATATCCGCAAACTATGCATCTGAGGAAAGACCAATATTCAGAATCCATAGGGAGATTCTGCACTTCCATCAGGTTCCAGGAACAGGTCCGCTGCTCTTGCATGGAGAAGCCAGCCTGGAGGCACCAGCCTGCCTAAATCTCTGATCAGGCAGGATGATGTGGGAATGGGCTCTTGTAACTTACACAGCTGTCATTGGAAAGGTTTTTTTGTGTGTGTTCTAATCGTTGCTATTAAATTTCTCTCTAAACTATTTTAGACCATAGCCCTGTTTGAGGAAGCCTACCGTATTTGTGAAAACCAAAGTAGCTCCCAGAAATTTCGTAGAAATGAACACAATCCTTGCTTCTTTCCCTCTGAAATCCAAAGGCCCTGGTTGTACATTTCACCACACTGCCTGCCTGGTTATAAGAAGCAGAAAGTCATTCCCAGGTTTATAGAGTAAAATGTCCTCACTGGGGTGTGGTGGGTGTCTCGCCAGTTATCTTTCCTCAGACCTGGGGTAGAGCCTCGCGGTCCATGACTGCTGGAAGCTCACCCATCTTCTGCCTTGCCAGCAGCCTGGGCTCAGCCTGGGCTCGTGCTTCCTGAAAGTGATGTTAGGCCCAATGGGCCTCATGCCTGATGAGTTTGATGAGGTCCTGTGTGGGAAGACCTGGGTGCAGCACCTGCTGATGGCTCTTTTTTATGGATGAGGAAACAGAGGCTCACAGCTAGCCTCAAGTCACCCCAAAGTCAATGGCAGAGGTAAGAGGAGGACAAGATGTCAGCTCCATCACCCTCTCCAGAGAACCCCTAAACCTAACACAAAGAGAAGGTTGCATACACCAGTCCACTGGATTCAAATTCTGGCTCTGCCATCGTTAGCTCTGTGATTTGGGGTAAATTCATTCTCTTATTCAGTCCTTGGTCTCCTCATCTGTAAAATGGAGCCACTAAAACATCTCCTGCCTACAGAATTATGATGATGTTTCTAGGAATTTGCCCCATCTGCAATCTTATTAGCGACATTAATAACTTTAATTTACACACATGCAAGTATAATGTTTAATGTCTTTTTACACTTGCCTTCGAACTCAAAGTACGTCTAACTGAATTTAAATATGCCCTCTGCAATCTTATTTTTCGAGATATATGCATTTATAGGGTGGGTTGGGGTTAGCATAAAAACGGGTCCAGTCAACCAATCAACACATGTTTGTTGAGTCCTGCTCTGTGTCAGGTGGTATTTGGGGAGCATGGAGCTAGAGATTCAGGGTGCCATGGTAAAGGAAGCAGAAAGAGTTACTTCCTTCTCAGAGCTGCCGGGGCAGGCAGAGAGTAAGTGAATACTTTCTCATCACTTATTAACTAACTTCAAGGATGCCCTCCAGTGCACATGAGGTAAGTCACACTTGACGTTGGCTTTAGTGCCTGCACCCCAAGGGTCTGGAGCCAGATTTCCATTTTCCTTTCTCTCAGGTTCATGTGTTTATTACTCCGTGGCACCTGAGCTTCCCTTTGACTCTGAGCTTCATGGGCATGATGAGCTGGAGTTGCAGGGACAGGTCTGAAGAGCAGAAGCTGGTCAAGTTTTGGCAAGTCATAGGAGTTTTTGTTTGTTTAAGTGTTTTTTAGAGTCTGGGTCTTGCTCTGTCACCCAGGCTGGAATGCAGCGGTATGATCATGGCTCACTGCAACTTTGAATTCCGGGGCTCAAGCGATCCTCCTGCCTCAACCTCCCGAGTGGCTAGGAATACAGGCGTACAATGCCACGCCCTGCTAATTTTAAAAAAGGAAATTTTGTAGAGATGGGGGAGTCTCACTACATTGCCCAGGCTGGTCTCAAACTCCTGACCTTAAGCGAACTTCCCTCCTTGGCCTCCAAAAGGGCTGGGAATACAGGCATGAGCCACTGCACCCAGCCCTGTTTGTTTGTCTTGAAGAGAGGGAATAAATGTTTGTAGAATAATAAAGTTAAAACTCTTAGGTGATTAAAGGTAGGGTTTCAAGGCTCTCTGGGAAGAAATGGGAGGAGGAGAGGATACCCGGTAATGGGTAGTCAGGTCTAAAACCTAGAGACAGAAACAATATGACTAATGGGAAGCTTCATTAAATTTTACTATATGGCACGTGGTCTTTTTTAAACCACTATATGGCATTCTTTTCTTTCTATAGGAAATGCATAAAATCTACATGACTTGCACATGCACTGGACCTGGATGTGGACCTTTTAGTTTGGATGGAAGGAGTGCTGGGGCTGAGTGGGAGAGTGAGGGCCAATGCTCCCCGGCTCCAGCCTCCCAGGGTACAAGTGTGCAGGTTGGGTCAGAGCAGGGTTCCTAGTCTTGCCCTGCTTGTTCAAGCAGCTTCACCCACCAGTTCTGGTCTCATGGGTACCATTTTTGCTCCCTGGAGGAATCCCTATGGCCAAAGTGTACACCCACTGGGAACTGTCCAGCACTGCAGAGCATAAGACGTGGGTGAGGGGCATATTGGCAGGGAGACCATCTTTTTTCCATCTTGCCTCAAAACAGAGAGCCCCTGGCCAGTCGTGGACTGTTTGGTCATGGCGATAGAAGGGGATGAGGACTGACCTGGGGGCAGTTTGGAACAGGTGATGCAATGGAAGCCAAACTTTGTGAAGCTTGCTCCAATGCTCAGCTATTGCATCACCTGTCTCCAAGGTGCTGGCAACGTCAGGAGGCCAATGATGCTCTTAGAGATTCTCTAAAGCAAACAAGCCCATCCTCATTATGCTGCTCCAGGATCCTGGGGAAGCTGGCAAGGTCCTGGTGGTGGTGTCAGGTCACCCTAAGATCTGAGCAGACTGGAGGTGCAGGAACCTGACAGGTGATTGTTAAGTGGCAGATTTAGGTCTAGAATGCCACCGCCTCATTCTCAGTGTGCTTCAGCTGAGCTCATATCCAGTGATTGTCAATTACAAACAAACAAGGTTGGAATCAGTCTGCTGGTCTCAACATGGAAATCAAACTTGCCCACCTCTCTGTTTTAATGACTTCCCCCAAAACTCTGTTAAAGGTGTAGAGCTCGTGTTCCCTCTTCTCACATCATATAGGCTTTTCTGCAGAGAAGAGGCTGGTGGAGTGGTATGTCCATGGACAAGCTGGGCTCAGATGGTCCAAGAGCTTCCCTGGTGGGCAGGGCTACTGCTATGGACTGAATTGTGTTCCACCACCCCAATGCATATGTTGAAATGCTAACCCCCAATCTGATTGTATTTGGAGATAAGGCTTTCAGGAAGTACTTAAGGTTAAATGTCGTTCTAAGAATGTGGTCCTAATCTGATAGGGTTGGTGGCCTTATGGAAGATCTTGTTCTCTCTGTCTTTCTGAGTGCACCAACCAAGAAAATGCCATGCGAAGACATAGCAAGAAAGTGGTCATCTGCAAACTAAGAACACAGCCCTCAGCAGAACCCAATCATGCTGGCACCCTGATCTTGGACTTCCAGCCTCCAGAACTGTGAGAAATAAATTTCAGTTTCTTAAGTCTATAGTATTTTGTTATAGCAGCCCCAACTGACCAAAATAGCTACTGTCTTCCTGGCTTCCTGGCTCTATTCTTGTCTGAGCAATTCCTCCCAGCAACTCATAGGCACAGAACACCATTATAACCCAGCTGGAAAGCAATGTGGCAACATGTTGCAAAAATGGTTATGCCTTTGGCCTTGTCGTTCCAGTCCTGAGTATTTTTAGGAAGCAATTTAACAGGAGGAAAAAACTGCGTACATTGAAAATGCTCCCTGGAATGATATCTTGTAGGTCATCAAATCAAAAGTATTTAACAATATATAACTATCCAACAATAGGGAACTGTGTGTCAACTTGGTAAAATGTGGTACAGTAAGACCGCAAGTAGTAAGGTTATACAGAGATATGGAAAATATATATATATATATATATATATATATATATATATATATATATATATATATATTAGATGCAGTTTCGCTCTTGTCATCCAGGCTGGAGTGCAATGGCATGATCTCCACTCACTGCAACCTCTATCTCCAGGTTCAAGTGATTCTCCTGCCTCAGCCTCCCGATTAGCTGAGATTACAGGCACCCGCCACCACGCCCAGCTAAATTTTGTATTTTTAGTATAGATGGGGTTTCACCACGTTGGCCAGGCTGGTCTCGAACTCCCAGCCTCAAGTGATCCACCTGCCTTGGCCTCCCAAAGTGCTGGGATTACAAGCGTGAGCCACCACACCCTGCTGAAAATAGATTTTATAGTATATAGTTTAAAAAGGCAAAATGCTACAACTTGTGAGTATTTTAATTAGAAATATGAAAAACATGCACCCATGCATAGGAAGATAGGAAGAAAATATGCCAATTAATTAACTTAGGGTGGTGGGATGTTAGGAATTTAAGCAATTTTTCCTTATGCTTGAAGTTTCATTGTTTCTACAGAGAACAAAACAAGGCTTATGCTTGTCAGCCTGCATCCTGAGCAGAGCCTGTTTTTCTCCTCCAGCTAAGAGTTTCCAGACCCACAAGAGGCCTTTGATGCCACAGTCCCATGGGGCTGTATTTTATAATAGAAGAGAATATCCACTTGTTACAGGAACTGCATCCTACACAGCAGTGTAAACCGTCACCGCAGTCCCCCGACAGCCTTCTCTGCACCTTTCCATTAACCTCGCACCTGAGCTCACCTCTGGTTAATAGAAAAACCTCCATAAAGCCTGGAGCCAAGACTAACTTCAATTTTCCACAGCTTTACACTGGCCAGCCATTTCTCACACTGGGGTGTCACATGATTTGCTTCTCATGACAAAATTCCCTGGAACCAGATCCTTCTCTGAGTCAGAGCTGAGTCCTCAAGCTGAGCTGAGTATCGGGTAGCAGGAGGGAGGTTATGCTCAGCCTGGCCATTTTTGACATTGAGACATCAGGAACGGGACTGCCTCCACTTCCCTTCCCAGTGACGGGCAGGAGCATCTCCTGCTTCCGTGTGTGCCGGGGCAGAGTCCATCTGACAGCCCCTAGACTCACAGGGTCTTTTTATCTACATTACTCAGGTGCACGCTGTCCTTCGGAATTAAATTTACACAGGAAGTGGTGAATATTCTCCATTGATACAGCACCTTTATTTACTTTTGAGTCTGTTTTATTTTCAATGTAAACAAATGAATATATGGCAAAAAAAACACCCCAAAAAACACAAAATGATCTAAAGAAAGAAACAAAACTATATCCCCACCCACCAGTTCTACTCACTGGGAGTAATTATTGGCAAATTCCTACGTATCCTCGGGTCTATCTTGTTTGCATATGAGCAAAATCTGTATGAATATTCTGTATACCTTAAAAACAAAACAGGACCAAGTTAGGATCATACTGCGCTTTGTTCTAGCCCTACGCTTTTCACTTAATTATATATCTTGGGGATCTTATCAGCACATATATACTTTAAATTTTTTATTTTTGTGGGTACATGGTAGGTGTATATATTTATGGGGTACATGGGATGTTTAGATACAGGCATGTAATGTGTAATAATCACATTCTGGAGAATGACGTATCCATCCCCTCAAGCATTTATCCTCTGTATCATAAATAATCCAATTATACTCTTATTCTAAAATATACAACGAAATTATTATTGACTATAGTCACCTCATTGCAACACTTTTTTTTTTTTTTTTTTTTTTGAGATGGAGTCTTACTCTGTCACCAAGCTGGAGTGCAATGGCGTGATCTCGGCTTACTGCAACCTCCGATTCCCTGGTTCTCTTGCCTGGCTTCCCGAGTAGCTAGGATTACAGGCATGAGCCACCATGCCCAGCTAATTTTTGTATTTTTAGTAGAGACGAGGTTTCACCATGTTGACCAGGCTGGTCTCAATCTCCTGACCTCGTGATCCGTCCGCCTTGGCCCCCCAAAGTGTTGGGATTACAGGTGTGAGCCACTGTGCCTGGCCAACACATATATTTTTAATGGGTGCATAGTATCTTACTTATAGCTGTAGCATAATTTATTTACATAGACATAATTTATTTAATAGACATTTCAGGGATTTTTCTTTTTTTAAAATAACAAATGCAGCTGCAAGTGAGCATTTTGTGCACATAACTTTGTGCACATTTCAAAGTATATTTGTAGGGAATTTTTTTTTTTTTAAGACAGGGTCTGGCTCTGTCACCCAGGCTGAAATATGATGGCATAATCATGATTCACTACAGCCTCCACATCCTGGGCTTAAGCAATCCTTCCTCCTTAGCCTACTGAGTAACTGGGACCACAGGCACGTACCACCAAACCCGGCTTATTTTTGTATTTTTGGTAGAGATTGGGTCTCACTATGTTGCCCAGGCTGGTCTCGTACTCCTGACGGAGCTGAGGCCAGGTGTTCGAGACCAGCCTGGGCAACATAGTGAGAGGCCAGCCTGAGTCTCCCAGAGTGCTGGGATTACCTGTGTGAGCCACTGTGCCCAGCCTGGTAAATTTTTAATGATGGAAATACTAGGTCAAAGGTAACATGCACTTAAAATGTTGATTTCTGCTGGCAAACTGAATAAACTGCTGTAGTTTATTCTTCTACCATCAATGTGTGAACCTACCAGATTTTCCACATTCTAGCAAATGATGCATGCAAACTGTTTAATTTTCCCAATGATAGTTGAAAAGTGGCCTCTTCCATTATTTAATGATGATACTATCATTATTTAATTTGCATTTTCTCAATTCTGAGGTTAAACATCCTTTAATGTATTTGTTGGCCATTTATATCTTTTTGGTTCAGTGAAATGCCCTGTTCTTGACACATTTTTTTCCTCTTGGGTTTTTGTCCTTCTATATTATTTTATTAAGGAAATTAGCTCTTTTTCTGCTTGTAGATTATAAATCTGGTTTTTTTGTTTGTTTGTTTTACCATTTGAAGCCTGTTTATTAGATTATTTTTCACAAAGAGGAAATTTTAAATTTTTATTTAGCAATTTGAACAATTGTTCTCTGTTTTTTAAGTTCTTGCATTGGTTTTTAGGTTTTGCATTGATTTATCTCCATTCCAAGATTTAAAAATCCATGTTTTGTTTTCTTCTAGTGCTTTAATAAGATATATTTTTAGGCCAGGCACGGTGGCTCACGCCTGTAATTCCAGCACTTTGGGAGGCCAAGGCTGGTGAATCATGAGGTCAGGAGTTTGAGACCAGCCTGGCCAACATGGTGAAACACTGTCTCTACTAAAAATACAAAAATTAGCTGGGCGTGGTGGCGCGTGCCTGTAGTCCCAGCTACTCGGGAGGCTGAGGCAGGAGAATCACTTGAACCCAGGAGGCAGAAGTTGTAGGGAGCTGAGATCACGCCACTGCACTCCAGCCTGGTGACAGAGCGAGACTCTGTCTCAGTAATAATAATAATAATAATAATAATAATAATAATAATAATGTTCACTTTTACATTTAAATCTTTGAACAGTCCAAAGCAGCTTCATTCAGTAGAACCTCCTGTGTTGATGGAAATGTTCTGTGTTGTCCAATATGGCAGCCACCAGCCCCATGTGGCTCTTGAGCACTTGAATTGTGACTAATGCAACTGAATATGAGTTTTTACCATTATTTAATTTAAATTAATTTAACTGTAAAGAGCTCCAGGCGACTGGTGGCTACATTATTACAACTAGAGTTTATTCTGGTTTTAAGATTGCAGGAAGAGCCAGGCGCGGTGGCTCATGCTGTTAATCCCAGTACTTTGGAAGGCTGAGGTGGGTGGATCCCTTGAGCTCAGGAGTTCGAGACCAGTTTGGGCAATGGTGAAACTCTGTCTCTACAAAAAAATACAAAATGAGCCAGGCATGGTGGTGTGCACCTATAATCCCAGCTACTCAGGAGGCTAAGATGGGAGAATTGCTTGAACCCAGGAGGCGGAGGTTGCAGTGAGCTGAGATCTCACTACTGCACTCCAGCCTGTGCAACAGAGACCCTGTCTCAAAAACTAAATAAATTAAAAAATAAAAATAAAAAAATTGCAGTAGGGGCGGGGCACGATATCTCATGCCTGTAATCCCAGCACTTTGGGAGGCTGAGGTGGGTGGTTCACTTGAGGTCAAGAGTTTGCGGCCAGCCTGGCCAACATGGTAAAACCTTGTCTCTACTAAAAATACAAAAATTAGCCGGGCATGGTGGTGCATGCTTGTAATCCCAGCTACTTGGGAGGCTGAGGCAGGAGAATCATTTGAACTGGGAGGCAGAGGTTGCAGTGAACCGAGATGGAGCCACTGAACTCCAGCCTGGGAGACAGAGTGAGACTCTGTCTCAAAATGATAATAATAATAATAATAATAATAATAATAATAATTGCAATATGGATCACTTCCCCACCCCTACTCGCTGATACCAGTTGTCCCAATGTCATGCACAGAACCTTGCTTTTGCCCTAGATGTGAAGTGTCCCCATTGCCATATGCTCAATTTCCATGTATATTTGAGTCTATTTCTGGATACTCTGCTTACTTTCATTGATTTTAGGGAAACTTTATATCTTTATGAGAGCTTTCAGAGAGCTTCTCTACCTTACAGTATCTCAGAGCCTTAGGATTGCTTAACAGAAACATCTATTGGCTAACCTTAGCATAGAAGATGGCAATTTATTCTTTGTTAGTTCCCATTCTATTTTTTGACCATAATATTTAACCTGAACTAACAATGATGGCAAAGAACATAGAAAAACAGCCGAAGGGTTGACACGTGGAATTTTTAAAGAACTAAACACACACACACACACACACACACACACACACACACACACACAGATTTTTCCAAAGTTTTCATTCTCCTGGAGCCAGCTCCAGGTAAATGGGGCTGGGGGCAAGGTCAGTTTCAGCACCTTCATGTATGCATCTCTGGGCCCTCCCATCCCAAACAGCAGATATTCCTCACTCATCCAGAGCCTCCCAAATCTGTCCTCCCCTCCTCTCTCAGGAAAGGACTGAGCCAATGTCCTCTCACAGGAAAGCCCAAGGGGTCCTTCCCAGAGGGATGTGCATTTCAAAGGGGAGAAGATCCCTGGCTTTATAAGAATAATGACAAATTACTGGGGAATTTCTGGTACAACCATTGAGAAGAGACTAATAGTTGGGGGTGTTAAGTCACCTTCTTGTCTGCTAAGAAACTTGATTTCTTAGATTTGTAAGATTTGTTGGCTGGGTATGGGGGCTCACGTCTGTAATCCCAGCACTTTGGGAAGCTGAGGTGGGTGGATCACCCGAGGTCAGGAGTTCGAGACCAGCCTGGCCAACATGGTGAAACACTATCTGTACTAGAAATGCAAAAATTAGCTGGGTGTGGTGGCGTGTGCCTGTAATCCCAGCTACTTGGGAGGCTGAGGCAAGAGAATCACTTGAACCTGGGAGCGGAGGTTGCAGTGAGCCGAGATGGTGCCACTACACTCCAGCCTGGGCAACAGAGTGAGCCTTGTCTCAAAAAAGAAAAAAAAAAGATTTGTCAAGTGGGTAAACGCCAAGGGGGAGCCATAAGGAACAGTCTTGACTCCCAGCTGTCTTTCTTCTTTACTTTTCCAATCTTGATCCACTGCTTCTCCCTTTCCTGTCCTAGATGACTCCTTGGGGCGGAGCCACAGCTTTCCGGCCATCTCAGCTGCCACAGCCTCATTTAGGTGATGCCAATTCCCTTCCCAAGATTAAATGATTGAGGCCAGCCTAATACCCACACTTCCACCTTGTAACTGGGGTGTGCCTAGCTCTGCCAGCCAAACCCCACCGTGGGAGAGAGGGTACCTCTTCTCTTCCTTCTCCCATCCTTTCCTGTCTGTGTCTTCTGGGGCCAGGGCAGGCAGGGAAGGGCTTAGCAGAAAGGAGCAAAACTCCTTTGACTTTGAGTGTGTTCTTTGTAGTTCTCTCTTGGCTCCCAAAGCTCTTGGCCATGGCACGCGTCCAAGTGCTGGCTCTTTTGTCACACTCAAGATATCAGCTCTTAGGAGGGCCTATGCTCTAACTAACTGCAGCTCTGTTCAACTCCTGCCCCAGGGTCCAGCCCATGGCTTCTTACAGCTGAGGACCCTATGCCCTTGAAGGCTGCCTTTGTGGGTGGGTTCCCATAATGTCAACTCTAGTCAGCCTATCTTCTCAGCATCCACTTGCCACTCCCCTCCCGAAGAAAAAACTCATGCATTCATACCAGACCCAATGTTGGGGGTCCGTGCAACTGTACAGCAGCCCACTCCCTCAGCCCTGCCATCTACCACAGGTGCCCCAGCCAGCTCCCACTGTCAGAGCCCTCCGCTGGGGAGCAGGATCCAGTTTTCCCAAGCCCTCCCACCTATGCTTCACCCCAGTGCATCAGAATGGCCTGCACTTCTGCAGCTCAGCCACTGTTCAGGTGGAGTGAAGCACAGGCACCAGCAGCCTCTACAGAGTGTTCTCTTGGAGGCATCTGGGGTTCAAGGTGGGAGTAGTGGGAAAACACTTCAGCACCCTCCCCCACCTCAGTTGGACTCTTCTCCATTTCTTCCTCAATTCCTACCAGCAATCTCCAGTAAACTCCAGTCTTTCTCAAGATAGCTTGCTGGTGGGAGTGGATTTGAGTACTGCAGAACCTACCTGGTCAACTCAGGATAAATTCCACGGGGATGTGTCTTTTTTTCTTTCTTTCTTTCTTTTTTGAGATGGAGTTTCGCTCTTGTTGCCCATGCTGGAGTGCAGTGGCTCAGCTCACTGCAACCTCCATCTCCTGGGTTCAAGTGATTCTTCTGCCTCAACCTCCCAAGTAGCTGGGATTACAGGCGTGCACCACCATGCCCAGGTACTTTTGTATTTTTAGTAGAGCTGGGGTTTCACCATGTTGGTCAGGCTGGTCTCGAACTCCTGACCTCAAGTGATCCACCCGCCTCAGCCTCCCAAAATGCTGGGATTACAGGCTCGAACCACTGCGCCTGGGCAGGATGTGTCTTGAAGCTCGACTTTAGAACCTAAAGTTATTTTAGAACAAAATGCTAGAACAATAGTTAGCAAAATAAAAAGAGAAACGTTTTTAAGTTGACAGGTATTCAGATTCATTTTGAAGTTCTTTCTTTGCATTTGCACTGCTACTGGGAAGGTTTTTTCTCCTCTTTGGCAAAAGTAGGCTTCACGTTATCCATTCCAGCTCGCTGTGTACAGCAAGCATGTGACAGGCATCCTACCTGGCTGCGGCTGCAGCTGTAGCTGAGCACAGCCAACCCGTGGAATCCAGGTATGAGCAGCAGAGGCGGCCCCACGATGCTTGGCAGAGCTATAAGTTCTCCCCATGGGAATAAGTAGAAATTGTGCTGAGTTCAGATAAGAGGTATCTAATTAATAAGAAATTTAAAGAAGACCCAGTTTGTTCCCCACAGTGAGTAGTCTCCTTATACAAATGCCATAGACTGGTGGATTCAGGGAACCTCATGGCCACAATGGGCTTAATTGTCCTTTATGGAAGCACAGCTGAGCACAGTTGGGAATCAGAAACGGGGCTTTGGGAAATAGATATCGGCCAGTTAGTTCCACATTCATTTTCAATTGCTTGTGAACTGAAATATTTTCCTCACAAACAAAACACAAAAGGTAATTTTCCTCTGCTGATGTTGAATTTTGAAAATCAGGCTGGATCCTAGCACTTTGGGAGGCCATGGCAGGATGGTTGCTTGAGCCCAGGAATTTGAGACCAGCCTGAGCAACATAGCAAGATCTTGTCTCTACAACAAAAATTGTAATTAGCTGGATGCGGTGGCGTGCAACTATGGGCCCAGCTACTTGGGAGGCTGAGGTGAGAGGATTGCTTCAGCCCAGAGGGTCGAGGCTGCAGTGAGCCATAATTGCACCACTGCACTCCAGCCTGGGCAACAGAGCGAGACCCCGTCTCAAAAAAACAACAAAACAAAAACAAACAAACAAAACGACAAAAGAAAATCATGCTGAAGACCTTTTGGTTTTGCATTTACATCCTAGAACTATAAATCGGTAGCCAGAGCTGTCCTGAGCACCTTGTCAATGCTGAACGCATGAGCAGGGGCCTGTCCATATCCACTTCTCTAAGTCCATGAGCTTCCTCATTTTCTCTCAAGGGGAGCCATTGTTTTGTTCAACCCACATCCGTTGAGCAGCATTGATAACCGGCTCCTCAATGAGTAGAGGCAGGGGAGGGAAGAGTCAGGATGTGTGTTCTAATCCTGGTGCTGGGTCTGACTCTGAACCTTTTCATATGAGTCTCCTCGGGCTGTTCTCACAAAGCCCCGCAAACTGGGTGGCTTAAAATAACAGAAATTCACTCTCTTGCAGTCATGGAGGCCAGAAGTCCAACAGCATAGGTGGCAGCAGGGTGGGTTCCTTCCTGGGGGCCCGGGGGTTGAATCTGTCCCATGCTTCTCTCCTGGCTTTGCTGGGAGTCTTTGGTGTTCCCTTGGTTCGTGGACACATGGCTCCAGTCTCTGCCCCTGTAAACGCACAGCATTCTCCCTATGTCTGTCTCTGTGTCTTTTCTTTTTATAAGGACATCAGTCGTATTGCATTAAGGGCCCACCCTACACCAGTAACACCTCATCTTAACTTCACATCTTAATGACGTCTACAAAGACTCTATTTCCAAATCAAGTGTATGCACAGGATTAGGACTTCAACCTATCATTTTGGGGGACACAATTCAACACCTTCCAACCTGGCTTCTGCTATTGGGATATTTACTGTGAGAGTCACGAGGAAGAACTTTGGAGTCCTGGTGACATCTAGCTAGCCCACACTACCTCTTCCCCAGTGCCTTGAAGAGCAGCCCTTGGCTACTGACGGCAGACCAACGATTATAATTCGTGTTCTTCATTTGGTCACACAAAACCCAAACTAATGCACAAAAATTGAATGTAGTGGGTCACAGTTAGTAATTGAGCTAGTACAATCTTTGAAAAATCTCTTCTCCACAAATCTCAAATTCTTCCTAACCATTTGGTCTAACTGCATTTTGATACTTGTTCTCTTGCTCTACTTATTTCCCTCTGAGATCGCAAATGAATCGCCTCGTGAAAGCACACACTTGTCGCATTTCTTCTGAATTCTGATCCCTTTAATTCTGGTCCTTTGTCACTGACACCCATCCTGTTTCCTGTGCTAACAGACCAACAGCTTTGCTCTTATCTTCACCCCCTGGCAGCATGACTCTGAGCTGTGTCCCTAGATAGCATGTAATTCCCACCAGTGTTTATGGAATATTCCATCTAGCGCATCTCCTCCGCTGACTCATCATGTTCAGTTTGAGAACTTCAAACTGGCCAGTGTTGGTGGACGGGGCAAGTGTGACCCAAGAGCCACCCACAGGCAAGTAGCCCCCGCTCCAGGCTCACCTCTTCTTCCCTTTTGCATAACTCCATTCCAATCCTCCATCTGTCAGTCTCTTCCACTCAGCTCTCCCAATAGCTGGGCTGTTTAGTTGACATCAACTCCCAACAGCTGGGCTGTGTGGTTGTCCTGATGTTGACATCCTTGGGCTGTTTGTAAAGGAGAAGCCTCTAGCATTCTTACTGCATTTTTGTTTTTGTTTTTGTTGTTGTTTTCTTTTAAGATACGGTCTCGCTCTGTTGCCCAGGCTGGAGTGCAGTGGCTCCATCATAGTTCGCTGCAGCCTTGGACTCCTGAGTGCAAGTGATCCTCCCATCTTAGCCCCCTGAGTAGGTGGGACTACAAGCACACACCATCATGTCCAGCTAATTTTTTTATTTTTATTTTTTTGTAGAGACAGAATCGCGCTATGTTGCCCAGGCTGTTCTCTAACTCTTAGGCTCCAGCAATCTGCCTGCCTTGACCACCCAAAGTTCTGGGATTACAAGCATGAGCCACGGTGCCTGGCCCTGCTTAGAGCTGAGGTCCTGCAGCCCGTGCTCAGGTGCTGTGAGAGGAAGGGGCAGGGTCTCAGCATCTTGAAAGCAAACATTCACTAACCTCTCCATCTTTAGTAGGAGGCTCTGCTCTCAGGGGAGCCTGGTGTGGCCAGCCCAGAGGGTGTTTGCTTTCCTCTCTCCCAAGGGTCCAGTCCCAGGCTTTGCTGGGTGGGAAGAGGCATTTTCTCAACTGAGTGTTGCTTAAATGAACTCTCATCCCATTCTCCTTGGTTCAGTTCTATGCCCGCTGCCCCAACTCACCCTACTTCTGGAGGTACCTAGACCTTTCGGTGATTCCACACCTTGGATCTCAGCCTTCTCGTAGCCTGCACAAAGTTCCCAAGCTCTGCTGGGTCTTTATCACTCACTGGACTGCTTTCCAACTTCCAAGTCTTGTGGCTGTTGTTTATTCTTCCATTTTTCTCATTTATATGCCTTAAACAACACTTTTGTATTTGTATTATATGGCTCTATTGTAATACATTTAATTAATCAACTATTGTTTTGGATATTTAAATTGTTTCCATTTTTGTTATATTACAGTGAAGCTGAATTGAACAGCCCTGTACATATTTGTTCCTATAGCTGTTGACTATTTCTTAGAATAAATTATTGAAAGAGAAATTGCTGGAAACACAAACATACACAATATTTACTATATATTATATATATCAAAAGATTTATGAGTATATACATATTCATATCATATATATAATATATATTCTAGATATATATGATAATATTGTTTAAAAAATGATTTTGGTGCTATCCAGTGCAGGTATGCTTTTCTTTCATTAACTTTAGTGGTTGGGGTCTGACTCCTTGGGCTCAAATCTCAGCTCTTCCACTCACAGTTGGTGTGATATCATTTAGCCTCTCTGTGTGTTAGTGTGCTCTTCTGTGAAATGGCTGTGATAGATTGCCTGCCTTTCACACAGTAGTGAAGATTCAGTACAGCCATCACCGTAACGACCCTGGCACTGAGCCCAGCACAGAGCCAGCCCTTAGGAAGGTTCTGAAACGCTGGCCTTCAGGGTCAGGAAACAGCATTCCTCTTCCCACCTGACTTCTTTCTTTTTCCTTTTTTTTTTGAGACAGGATCTTGCTCTGTCACCCAGGCTGGAATGCAGTGGCGCAATCACTGCAGCCTTGATCTCCTAGGCTCAAGCAATTCTCCTACCTCAGCCTCCTGAGTAGCTGGGACCAGCGGTGCATACCGCCAACCCTGGCTAATTAAAAAAAAAATTTTTTTTATAGAGACGGAGATCTTGCTATGTTGCCCAGGCCAGTCTTGAACTCCTGGGCCCAAACAATCCTCCCGCCTCGGACTCCCAAAGTGCTGGGATTATAGATGTGAGCCACTGCATCTGATCCCCACCTGACTTCTGAACAATGCTAAACTAAATAAAAATATCAGTGGACAGAGACCTCAATGTCACCTTTATTACTGACAAGGCCAGATTCAAGGAACAGCCTGCTAGCTCCCTGCCTGTAGTGTAGAATTGGCACAGGTCTTGGAGGGAGATTTGAGTCTGTGCCCAGCTAGACACTATACCCCATCCCTCCCTTGGGCTGGTCTGCATAGAGACAGAGGGGAAAGACAGACTCTTGGGGCTTAGACTGTCGATAGGTTACCTTCTTGCAGCAGAGCAGTGAGAGCTGGAGCTGTTGCCCACGGAGAGCTTGCTCTGCTACCGTGGAGTGGGGGCAGGAGACCTGGAGTACTCTGGGAAAGTCCTTCTTCAAGAAAACCAGAGGGGCAGCTTCTCTAATCCCAGCTTTCTGTCCTCTTTACTCCCTGCGCTTCCCGTTCAAGACAGTGGTCGACCAAGGGCCAGCCTCACCTCCCAGAGCAAGCAAAGCAGCAGTTTGTCTGAGCAGGGCTGTGCCCACCTTTCTGTGATGCTATCTGACACCAGGCGCTGGGCTTTCAGAGATTCTCTTAGGCGCTTAGAGAAGTACAGAGTTTGCTCCTAAAGAGCTCTGAAATCAGTCAGAATACCACGTGAGTTAAATCAACTCAAGGTCACTTTTCCCCAAGGCCAAACACTCACTCTCTTTTATTTCTCATCTCAAATTATATCTAACCATGTTGTTTGACATTTCTTATCAGAGGTTCTGCAGTGTGATCAAATGACATCCTAAAGATATCCCCAAAATTCAGAAGCTCTAACAAGTTGTCTCATATTTGAATATAAGCCCTCTCTTCATTAAGAAATTCCTGGGGATAAATTAAAACCAGAAGATTAAGTTTCCTTGCAACTTGAAGTTCAAAGAAGTGAAAGTCCAAGGGAATCAAAGTTGGAATTAAATTTTTTTGCCCTTGCGAGTTAAAAGTCAAAGAAATAAAAGACCAAACATCAAGCTCCCCAGTTTCTAATTTGTCTCGGGCTCAGACATAGATGTTCTTGACAGATGTGCAGGTAGCCCCGGGGCGCTTCCTGCAGTTGGATTCTCCTCTGTTGGAGATGGCAGGGTTTCCAACTTTGGCCACAAAGGACAGTTACCTGGTGTCTTAGTTGCCTAGGACTGCCATAACAAGAGAACACAAACTGGATGGCTTAAAATGACTAAAATTAGCCTGGGCAACATAGTGTGACCCCATTTCTACAAAAAATAGAAAAAATTAGCCGAGTGTGGTCGTGCACATCTGTAGTCCCAGCTACTTGGGAGGTGGAGGCAGGAGGATCATGAGCCCAGGAGTTCCAGATTGCACCACTGCACTCCAATCCGGGCAACAGAGCAAGACCCTGTTTCAAAACAAAACGAAACACAAGCCAACAAAAGACAACAGAAATGTATTCTCTCATAACTCTGGAGGCTAAAAGTTCAAAATCCAGGTGTCATCAGGATTGGTTCCTTCTGGAAGCTCTAAGAAAGAAACCGTCCCATGCCTCTCTCCAGCTTCTACACCTTGCTGTGCCTTGGCTTGTGGACCCTCCACTCCAGTCTCTGCCTCTGTCTTCATGTCACCTTCTCTGTGATTCTGTGTGTCCTTTTTCTGTCTCTTATAAGGACACTCATAGGATTTAGGGCCCACCCAAATTCCACATGCTCTCTGTATTAGTCTGTTCTCGCTGCTGCTAAAGACATACCCGAGACTGGGTGATTTGTAAAGAAAAACAGTTTTCATGGACTCACAGTTCCACGTGGCTGGGTAGGCCTCGCAATCATTGTGGAAGGCGAGGGAAGAATAAAGGCACGTCTTACATGGGGGAGGCAAAGAGACAATGAGAGCCAAGCGAAAGGGGGTTCCCCTCATAAAACCATCAGATCTCATGAGACTTATTCACTCCCATGAGAACAGGGTGGGAGAAACCACCTCCATGATTCAATGATCTCCCACTGGGTCCCTCCCACCACACATGGGAATTATGGGAGCTACAATTCAAGATGAGATTTGGGTGGGGACACAGCCAAACCATATCGCTTTCACTTTGATCCTTAATTAATTCCATCTGCAAATATACCCCATTTCTAAAGAAGGTCACATTTTGAGCTTCTGGGTAGACACAAATTTTTGTGCTACTGCACTTGGGGAGAGTCAGTGACTCCTGGCACCCAGGCCGTATCCCACCCCTGTGGATTCAGAATCTCTAGGGTGAGGCCCCAGCAACAGGACTTTTCAAGCCTCCTTGGGCGATTCCAAAGTGCAGCCATGGCTGAGAAGCTGATCCAGGCCTCGGGAAGTTGAGTGGGTCTCTTGCATGTACCCCTTTTAAAGCAGTCAAGAGTGAAAAGGATGGGAACAACAGAATACCCTGGGCACACCCTCTGCCTTAAGGAAGCAGGCTTGTACCAGCCTTGCAGCCACCTGGGGGTGGGGTCTGAATGAGGGAATGAGGTGGAGAGAATCTTGCTTTCACCTCCAAGGATGCCCACCAGTCCAAGGCAGTTGACTGCCACTTTTGTAGTATATTTTATTTCAGCTGGAGTTTTTACAACTTAGATGAACTTTAGCTTTATTGAGGGCAGACTTTAAACACTCTTTACGCCGAATTCTGTTAGCTTGGGTTAATTGTATGGCCGTGGTGGCTGGCAAGAAATTAAGCAACCCTAAATATTAGTATAGCCTAGTTAAACTTTGGTTTATTACTAAAGACTTATCACTGCTGTTTCACGTGGGGGTGTGGTTGAGCAAAGTGTTTTGAGCCGCTTTCGGACTGGTGGGCATCCTTGACCTCTGAATGAAATGCAAGTGGAAGAACCTGCATCAACGCATTGTGATGATGCTGTGTTTGCTTCATCTCAGGGAGAATCCATCTGCTCATCAGAGACTTCGCTGCCTTCTGGCAAAGCTTACGCATTTGCTGTGGGTACATACCCCATTCCCAGGTCTTACTTGAGATAATGCTTTTCCCCTTTCTGCATAAGGAGACCTCTGATTTGGCCTTTGCCTTTTCAGCCCAACCTCTGGGCTGCTCCACTGGGCTTTATGGGGCCTGGCCTTAAAGTGTTTGGCTGGTGTGGGTTTCCCACTGCTGCCCTTGTCTGATGGTGGTGGTGGGGGCCCTTGAGTTTCTAGTAGTTTAAGTTATTTCCTAAATTAAGCATGTAATTTTTCTTAATTTTGTATTTCTTCTTAATTGTTCTTAATATTTTTTCTTAATTTCTTTCTAATTAAGCATGTAGGGTGAGCCTTGTTTGCCTGGTCTGAGTGCCTTGCCTCCTATTTCCTTGTGGCTTTGGTTTTTCTAACTGACTCCTCCATACTCTGCCTTGTGAGGCTGCCATAGTGAGAAAAATGAAATCAAAATGTTCTAGGTCTGTCGCAACCACCCATTGTTCAAAAAGTTCTCCTCTGCTGACGACTAACTCCCTCCTGAGTGGGACAATTCTACCTGGGTGATATTCTCCCATAAGATGAGTATTTTGGCTGGGCTTGGACTTGATTTGTTACTGCCCTCCTTGGCTCAGGACATCTTGGCTGAATCTCCTCTTAGAGTTCTTATTCCTGGAGCTTGTTCTCATAGGGTACAGAAGTACCCATGTCATGCTGACTGTGACACCTTAAAATCCACCTAAAGATGCTGCTTTCAGTGTTTTGCTCTCATCTTGGTGGCCTTCTCTCAAATCTGTTCAGATTTCCTGTGCCCACTTAGAATAGCTGTTCAACCATTAATGGTGTTTTTCCAGCTACACTTGCCATAGACTCTGATGCTCCAAGTGGTTCTCCTGGAAAGGTGGTCCTTCCAACATAGCCCTGAGAGTGCAGAGCTGCTAGATTTCATCAGACACCATTGATGCTTCTGATCTGTTAACAATGAAGATCATGTTGTCAACAGCACCCTCCCCCTTTCCCCTGTAAGAGCAGTTAGGTGTGCCCTTTCCTATTGATATTTGTCTTTCCTAGACCATAGATTTCATTTTCCCCCTGCAATACTGTTGTGGATGTCTGCTAGATTACACTCTTTCTCCTATATTATAAGGAAATTTCTTTCTCCAGTGGAAACCTCCTGGTTGGCCCTATTTTTATTTTTCCAAGGCTGCTGTTCTGACTTTCAGCCTTAAGCTTTTTTTCTTAAATGTCACTCTGATTTCTTCTTGATTTTTGAGCAAATATGATTTCTAAAGACAACATGTAACGGGCACAGGCCTTTCTAGCTTTTGGGTTGGCAATAACTTACTGACTTGTTTCTCTGTCTTAATCTAAAATGGCAGCTTATGTACACACACACACACACACACACACACACACACACACACTTGCATATATATGTGATGGTAGCATAAATATATATTATTTTACAACAGAGACCTGTGGGGTTTTTTTAATTTGTGTATTGCCAGAAATCCATCACTTCCTGAGAGTGAGTCAGTTTGGGTCTCTGAAGGTGAAAGCCAAGATCAGAACTTTTGCAATGAACAGATCCAGAGCTGACTTGAGACCCTAGTGGGGAACCACATAATTCAGCTGAGTCCCTCCAGCTTTCTCCTTGGCTATACATGGAGAATAGAATTGGGTATCCAATCTATTGCTGCCCATCTCCCTCATGCTAAAGCTTCAGTGAATGTGGAACCCAGCTGCCTCATAGTTTAAAAGCAGAATATATTCTGTCAAAGGAGGTCTCCTTTAGCCTTAGCCTCACCTGCAATACCAGCATGCATATTCCGATGTGTCTGCACAGTGTGGTTCAAGGTCAATGCACAACAGCCGGCACATCAAGGCCACCCACGCAGCTCATGTCTGGCTAATGCACTTGCTTGGTCCCTGTGGCGCATGCCTGTGCTAAGGCCCCGGGGTCTGTGCAGCTTCCCTGCAGCTTGTACCACCTGTTCAGGTTTGCATAGGCTGTCCTAGCTTGGGAGCATTTGCTAAGGTGTGGGTAGCTTGCACTTGGTCAAGGTCAGGACCTACTGCCCTTCCTGTTTAACAACAAAACTACCCAAACCTGCAGCAACTCACCAAGGTCAAACCTCATTTGGACTGTTTTAAATCTGCTTGTCCAGAAGCTACGAGAAGTTATTAGAAACTGTTGATATCCAAAATCTGCAAGGTCTGTTCTCACTAAAACCTCAATTGACCTGTGTCTTTTGTAATCCATAAAGGACTCCTATACCAGATCATGGTTTAGACATATGGCAGCACCAGGCTTAGAAGTACCCTATTGGCTCACCGTAAGTAAAGACAAAAGATGGCAGCCTGGAATGCTTGGGGCTGGAAGCTGTAGATGGAAATTCAGCTCTTTGCTGGCAGGAGTGGGGACGGGCCTGAGCTATGCATGCTCCGTCTCTTTCCCTGACTTCCCAATCAGGTCACTGACCCCAGCCTTCTAGGGAAAAGTAAGAGGTAGGACAAGGACTTGGAGTATTTAGGGAAAGCTTCTCTCATGGAAACCAGTGTAGCAATGGAGAAGCAATGGAAATGCAGTTATCACTATTTAGGAGGAGTTGAATGCCTTTTAGACACTTAGCACTATTTTGAGGTTGTCATGGCCACATCTTATGTTAGCTTTCAAATGGTAAGCTTCACATGAGCATCTAAACTCTGGGGTTTCCAGTGTCCCTTATTGAAGTGTTAACTTAAATTATACACAAATCTTTCACCCGAAATGCAGTTAATTGCTGTGGATTGGTAGAGCTCCAATGTCCACAGAAAATGTAATTTTGGAAATAAAATTCACTGTGATATAAGTATCTTAATTTATTTGACTCTTTGCCAGTTATAAGGTTTAGAGAATTGGCAATTATATTAGGATCATTTTCATTCTATTTCGTGTCCTTGGCTCTATGATGGCAACAAAGGGAAAAGGTTGCATATTTGTTTCCAGTTGAGGCTGAGCCCCTACATCTCTTCTAAGCTGCATCACTAGAGAAGGAGCTCAAGTGAAGTGTACCCTTGATGGATGTTCGTGAGTCCTCTCTGGCTACAAAATGGACTGTGGGTTTCTGGAGGATTGGTTTTGCTGCCATTTCCATGACACTGGTAGCCTCCCCGATATACTTACCTAGAGCAGGATAAATGGCCCCTGTGGTGTTGAATTGGAATCAGAGGTATCAGCATAAACTCATCATTTTATAGAGCAAGCATGACAGGTGATAGATGGTATAGTTGTATGTGTACACATGGGTTATTAACACATACATATCTTTCCCAGCTTTGTCTGCTGAGAAAGTCTAGAAGCAATGACATCCCACTAACAATGAGTAAACCTAGTGCCTGTAGCTTGGTCTTTAAACACCATCCCCAATAAAAGGAGGCAAGGGAAGTGGTGCCAGGGCAGGGAAAATACAAGATGAGCCTAGAACATCTTGTGATGCCAGGAAGTAAGGGAGTGCTCAAGAAAAGATGGAGTTTGTTAAAAGATTGCAGGAATCAACCCAAAGGACCTGTTAGTGGTCCAAGCTGAAACATTTGAGCAAGAAAATAAATGATGATAGTACTGAATTTTAATGTAAAGAATAAAATAAGTGTGGGCATGGTGGCTCAAGCTTGTAATCCTAGCACTTTGGGAGGCCGAGATGGGCAGATCATGAGGTCAGGAGTTTGAGACCAGCCTGGCCAACATGGTGAAATCTTGTCTCTACTAAAAATACAAAAATTAGCTGAGCATGGTGGTGTGTGCCTGTAATTCCAGCTACTGGGGAGGCTGAGGCAGGAGAATGGCTTGAACCCAGGAGGCGGAGGTTGCAGTGAGTCAAGATTGTGCTACTGCACTCCAGCCTGGGAGACAGAGCAAGACTCCGTCTCAAAAAAACGAAAACAAAAAAACCCAAAAACCAAAACCAAAAAACTAAAAATTAGCTGGGTGTGGTGGCATGCACCTGTAGTCCCAACTACTGGGGAGGCTAAGGCAGGATAATCGCTTGAACCTGGGAGGCGGAGGTTGCAGTGAGCCGAGATAGCACCACTGCACTCCAGCCTGGGCAGCAGATTGAGACTCCATCGCAAAAAAAAAAAAAAAAAAAAAAATAGAAAGCCATCATGAGTTTGTAATGGTGTAAATGAACAATTGCATAAGTAGGTGAGTAAATGAGGGAGCAATAGAATTTCAATTACTAAAGAGAAATAGAATGAAGTAGAGGAGAGCATTAAGCAAACACCTCAGTAATAATTGCTGCAGATAAGAGCCCCACTGATAATAAAATTAGTAGTTTTAGAAACCGCTAAACTAAACCTAGAAACTACTAAGTAGTTTAACTAAAAACTAAATAGTTTTAAATTAAAATTAGAAAGTTACAGGAGAAATAGGGTTTGTATAGTCTCAAAGTATCTCCCCCAAGATACTAATCAACTACCAAGAAGAGAAAGATAGTAACTTACAATGGAGAAGGCTGGCAGAGACCAACTTAACCACACGATCAAGGTAAATGTGCACATATTGGCATCAGGAACTCCTTGATAAGATGCACGGAAAGGATGTAATGTCATTTTTTTGCCACATTATTGCTAAAAATGTACAACTTTGCACCAATCATGAGGAAACATTGGCCAAACCTAAACTGAGGAACATTCCATAGAATAACTGATCAACATTCCCCCAAAATTTCAAGGTTGGGAAAGATGGGGAAAGACTCAAGAACTGTGACACACGGGAGGAGATTGGTAAAAACTAATTAAATGCAACATGGGCTCCTAGATGAGATCTTGGGGCAGAAAAAGCACGTTCATGGAATAATTGGTGAGATTCTAATAAGGAGTGCAGTTTGGTTAATAATACCATAGCAATATTAATTTCCTGTTCTTGATTAAACTATGGTTGTGTTAGCATTAGTTGGAAGCACAGTATACTACTTTTATGCCTTTTTTAATGTCTAAAATTAATTCAAAATAAAAAGTTTAAAGGAAAACATTTTCTCTCCTTATGACTTCATGCAGGGGCAGGTCCAGATTTTGTGGAGCCTGAAGTATAATTTTGGAGAGCCTCTTTAAGAATAATGTAAAATTACGAATATTAGGTACAAAAACTATGAAAATTAGCCACCAAAATGAATACTAATTTAAAAAGGGTAAAGAAAGTACAAGAGATTTTTGATTATATATAATTTTGGAATTGAATTGCTCTCATGCCACAAACACTGACTTATGGAAAAATATTATGCTTTTGGCCTGGCACGTTGGCTTATGCCTATAATCCCACCACTTTGGGAGGCTGAGGTGGGCAGATCACTTGAGGTCAGGAGTTCGAGACCAGCCTGGCCAACATGGTGAAATCCTGTCTCTACTAAAAATACAAAAATTAGCCAGGTGTGGTGGCAGGTACCTGTAATCCCAGCTACTCAGGAGGCTGAGGCAGGAGAATCACTTGAACCCGGGAGGTGGAGGTGGCAGTGAGCTGAGATTGTGCCACTGTACTCCAGCCTGGGCAACAAGAGTGAAACTCCGCCAAACAAAACAAAAGAAAACAAAAGAAAGAAAGAAAAATATTGTGCTTTCAATGAAACCTTGTTTATGTAGCCCATTTTGCTCTGTGGGTAGTAATTTGCATGCTGTGTCATCTAGAGCCATCAGACTTGGTAAGGACAAAATGTGTCCAATATGTGAAAACACGATCTAAAGGTTGACGTGCACAAATGATGCATCTTTATCCACAGGTGTGCCTGCTCTTTGTATCACTGCTGCAGGTTAGCGTGCATTTACACAGAAATTCTGGTAAGTTCTATTCACACAATTCCCATGGATAAAGGAAAACTTTGTCCATTTACAGCTGCATGTGCAGCATTAAAGGGTAGATTCCTTACGAGAGAGGACGGCCACTGGAGGTAGCCGCCGTGAGCACTGAGGCCTCAGCTTATGATTTAAACACGTAATGGCTGGAAGAGCTTCCCACAGACCAGCTTCAGCCTCTGACTTTAAACTTGTGTTTACTCTTCCACCCACATGTTTGGAGTGCTGGAAACTGAAGAGTGCTGGAAACCCACACGTCACTAGGCGATGGCCCGGTCAGTATATCAGGTACATCAAGTGAGCCACAGAGTGGGCGACAGGATTATTCCTGGCAGCTATTCCTATGCAGAGATGGCTAGAAGTACCATAACCATGTACAAAAAGTTCCTAAGCCAGATATTAATAAATAACCCATTAAACTCCAACTGAATATATCACCAAGGCAACTTCCTCTCAGTGAGATCCCAAAACTGCCCACAGCAGTTTAATGTCACCAGCATGAGGAGAAGTGGACAGAGGCAAGGATTAGAGAGACAGAGAGTGCATGGTTGTAACCAACTGCTGTTAACACGTCTTAATTTTGGCCAAGCACAGTGGCTCATACCTGTAATCCCAACACTTTGGGAGGCTGAGGCAGGAGGATTGCTTGAGCCCAGGAGTTTGAGACCAGCCTGGGCAACATATTGAGACCCTGTCTCTTCAAAAAAAAAAAAAAAAAATAGGTGGGCATGGTGGTGCACACCTGTAGTCCCAGCTACTTGGGAGGCTGGGGAGGCTACAGTGAGCTGTGATTGTGTGGCTGCACTCCAGCCTGGGCAACAGATTGAGATCCTGTCTCACAAAAGCAAAAACAAAAAAACCTTACTTTTGCAACATTTTCACAAACATGTATGACCATATTAACATGTTACCTGGCCCTCCTGGGGTTTTGGGAAAGGCCCCTGCAAGCCAAGAGCACTGACATGCAGACGTCATTCGTTTCATGCCATCAGCCCCTGGCTTATTCCTGGCTGTCTCTCACCTTCAACCCTGATCCCCACACGGGCCCCTTCCTAACACTGGCCAACAAGCCTTTTCTGTCTCTCTTTCCCATCCCTTCTCTTCTAGTCCCCTTTTGTGGAGACATCTCTGACTCTGGCTTCCTTGGCTTTTCTCTTCAAGACACTGCAAGCAAGAATGACTCCACCCTGGAAGCTAGAGAGAGGAAAGGCTGAGCATGACCCCGCACTGGTATTGCTTGTCTCTGTTCTACACTAAGAGCTTAGGTTCTCTTATAATTCAGTCCTGATGGTTAACTTGTATCAGGTGCCAGGTGAGCTCTGCATGTTGCCCCTTGGAATATTCCTAATGACTCCATGACAAAATCAAGAGTGATATTTAACTTAGGGAGTTTCGTAGGGCATAAGCTATGATCAACTGGAAATGGACTTGGCTATAGTGATGGATCAGGGCCCTGGAGGCCTGCTGGTGAACTGGGCATAAACCTTCTCGCTGCCACATTGTGGGAAAATGGTGGGACATCCCTGGGGGAGAGGCTGGGGGAGTTGTCATGGAGAGGGTTCAGGCAAAGAGATGGGGACAGTGGCTATTTGCCAATTGGTATAGAAACATTTCAACATTTTATGGCCTTCCTAGTGCCAATAGCCTGAATGCCAGCTCTGGAGATGGGAACTGAGACTGCCTTCATTTCACAGAGGAGAAAAAAAGATTGAGAACCGGTAGCTCATTCAGGCTCACCCAGGAGTCGTTTGCAGAGGCAGCTGTAGCACGCACTTTCTTAACCATTGGCCTTGGGGCCTCTACATGAAGGCAGGGTCCCCTCTTGCTTCCTCTGTCATTCACTCTGTCCCTTGGTGTTGCTACACCTGTACCTACTGGAATGGGAAATCCATGCTTTAAAGGAGAGGAAATCAAGTGAGAGCCTCTCATGAGAAACCATCTGGCTCCAGGAATGGGATCGTGGCATCTGGGAAAGGCTTTTTCGTGGAAGGGAGAATGCCCATGACCTCCTCAGCTGCTGCATCATTGAAGGCCAAACTAGACTTTGCATAATTATTTTAAAAAGCCCAGCATGTAGATATGCCAAGACCAGCCTGACCAGATGAGCCAAGCAGCATCTTAAACAAATGCCACTTAGTATGAGAATGCCTTCTCCCAAATTGTTGCCAATGCTGGCCATCTTCCAACAGTTTAATCTTTGACAATTAGGCAGGTAGGAATTGGTATTGTGTTGTTGTTTTGATTTGCGTTCACTTATGAGAGAGGTTGAATATCTTTAGAGTCAATATTTAGGAAGGTGATTTTTGACTACATGTATCAGAACTAAATGTCTGTACTTACATGTGAATTTTATTAACAGAAATGGATCATTTATTCTGGCACAGGAACACAAAGGTTTATAATAATAATAATAATAATAATAATAATATTTGACAATTACTGAGTGTTTACAACATGCCAGATGCTGTTCTAAGCACTTAATGTTATTATCTCATTTCGCTCAGACAACAACCTATTGGGAGGCACTTCGTTTATTCCCATTATACAGATGAGAATACTGAGACACAGAGAGAGTAATATCTTGCCCATAAGTCACAAAGTGAATTTATTACCGTACTGTAAATAATTGCAACATCCAGAAATAACTTATATAGCTGTCAATTAGAGAACTGGCTAAATAATATTTAGAACAGTCATTCAATGGAATGCTGGACAGCTAGCTACTTGGATGAGTAACATAGATGCTTATTACTATGGTAAGGAAAGATGTCCAAGATATATACTACTAGGTGAAAAAATAAGTGACAAAATAGTATCAGCCCACTTAAGTATATTATAAATGTGTTTATGTATGGGTCTGCTTCTGTATAGGTAGACATTATCTGGAAGAACATTTAAGAAACCCATATAGGGCCAGGCGTGGTGGCTCATGCCTGTAATCCCAGCACTTTGGGAGGCTGAGGCGGGCCGATCACTTGAGGCCAGGAGTTTGAGACCAGCCAGGCCAATGTGGCGAAACCCCATCTTTACTAAAAATACCAAAAAATTATCCGGGCGTGGTAGTGCATGCCTGTAGTCCCAGCTACTTGGGAGGTTGAAGCAGGAGAATTGCTTGAACCCAGGAAGCGGCGGTTTGAGTGAGCTGAGATTGCGCCACTGCACTCCAGCCTGGGTGACAGAGTAAGACTCCATCTTAAAAAAAGTAATAATAATAAAGAAGAAGAAGAAGAAGAAGAAGAAACCCATATAGGACAAATAACCTACTTGTGGTTACCTATGGAACATAGAATTGGGATAAAGGAGAGAAACCTTATTTTTCACTTTATATACTTCTATACAGCTTGATTTTTAAAAAGTACCATGAATATGTATTACTTTAGGAATTTTTTAAAATTACATTTTAAATGGATGTCATGGTTTCTAGCTCATGGGACTGTTTTGAGAATTAAAAGGGCTGACAATGAAGGAGTCTAGCCTATGCCCGACTTAAAGCTAGACCTCGGTGAATATTAATTCTGAGCCTAATACGATGCTTGGCAAGGGGTATGCTATACATCATTATTGATTGAAGAGTGAGTTCTGCTCTGAGCAAGTGTCCTAACTGCTTTAAACTTGTTTCTTTTAATTAAAATAATGTGCAAGAAAAACAGCATGCAACTCGTAGAGCTCATATGATTGCTGTGAGGATGAACATGCCATAGAGAAAGTCATCTCGGGCTTGGCTCAGAGTGCTGGGCTAAGGATTTAGTGCCACCACTCACAGGCGTGTGCCTGCAGGAAGCATATGGGTCTCAGGTTGCTGGGAGGATCAATTCAATAATGTATTCAAGGCAAGCCTTCTGTCAATGCTAAAACACTGCACCTAAGTTCAGCTGTGTAAAGGCATCATATGAAACAAACGATGCAACCCCCAGATCTTGTCCCATTCATTAAAAACAAACCAAACGAAATAAACTCAGGGGCTGGGCATGGTGGCTCACGCCTGTAATCTCAGCCCTTTGGGAGGCTGAGGCGGGTGGATCACCTGAGGTCAGGAGTTTGAGACCAGCCTGGCCAATATGGTGAAATCCCATCTCCACTAAAAGTACAAAAATTAGCCGGGCATGGTGGCGTGCACCTGTAATCCCAGCTACTCAGGAGGCTGAGGCAGAAGAATTGCTTCAACCTGGGAGGCGGAGGTTGCAGTGAGCTGAGATCGCGCCACTGCACTCCAGCCTGGAGGACAAGAGTGAAACTCCATCTCAAAAAATAAATAAATAAATAAATAAAATAAACTCAGGGAGCACTCACCGAAATGGATTACATTAAATCATTTCAATCAACTCTCTATTCTTTTTCTTCCAGAAAAAGGTGGGAGGACTTCCAGGTTCCACTTAGGATGTAGGAAGGTGGAAACGGCAGGGCTCATACCCCAACAACAAGCACATCTACAAAACCGTGGCCTTTGCAATCCCATCACAGCACTGAGGTCAACGGGCAGTCAGCCTGAAAGCTGAGGAAAGAGGCATGGCTTGGGCCTGAGCAGCAGCTTAGACGAATCAGAGCATGGAGGAAACAGGTGGCGGGTGGGGTAGGGGGTGCAGAGGAACACACAGCAGGTGAGAAGATTCCAGCCAGGACTTTTAACTGATTGACGAAAGCCAAGTGAGGGCTCTCCTGAGAGCATCGGCTCCCAGGGACTGCAGCCACAGGGAGACTTTGCACCCACTCCTGGCTCTTCTCTTTAACCTCACCAATTGCTCACAAGAAAAATGGGGGTGGGGTGGGAGGAGCAGCTGCCACTAAGGGAAAGGCCCAGAGGCCCCCAGGGAACTTCTCACTTGGGAAACGAGAGCCTTAAGCTGCTGGGGGGCAGGGGTGGGGTGGTGGAGGAGGAGCAAATCCTGCTGTCCCTGTTACTTTAATTAGTAGAAACCGAGGTTTAAAGCTGATGAAGACCCATTTTGTCTGGAGGAAAGAGGGAAAAAAGCCTTCCACTCCTGAGAGAGTGACAGGGTACCATCTGGGCCCAGGACACAGACAGTCTTCTCAGGCAGGAGGCGGGAGAAAAGGCAGGAACCCAGAGACCCCCACCCACCTCCAGACCCAGACCCAGGGGCGCAGGGTCTGCCTAAGACTGAGGATGAAGCAAGGCAACAGAGAGCAACCTTTTTGCATCCCCAGGCTGACACTCAGGGTTAGAAAGAACAGCATCTCTGTTACAGGGCAGGGGTCCCGATCCAGACCCCAAGAGAGGGTTCTTGGATCTCACACAAGAAAGAATTCAGGCAGGGCAAGTCCGTAAAGTGAAAGCAAGTGTATTAGGAAAATAAAGGAATAAAAGAAGAGCTACTCCAAGGTCTGCTGGTTGCCAATTTTGTTGGTAATTTCTTGATTATCTTAAAGATAGTGAAACCCAAGTTTCTCTTCAAAGAATCAGTATGTCAGTATGTTCAGCTATCTTATTCTTTGATTCTCCATTTTAAAGTTTAACTTCCTGGTTCTCTTCAGTCCCTCGCTTCTTGTTTCAGTAAACAACTTCCCTGTCAGTCTTAATCAGTAGTTCACATCTGTTCCCCTGGTCACCTGCTCTGTCCTGACTCATCCCGGTCACCTGCTTTGACTGAGTCACCACTGGTCACCTGCTCTGACCTAAGACACTTTTAGTTACCTGTTCCTAACTGTCCTTCCCGCCAAACTACTCACCCCGCCACTCTGGCTCACACCCTTGCCCTCTTTAAAATAGCCAATCAGAATTAGCTTAGACTGTGCAGTCCAACCCTAGCCAACAGGGGAACGACACAGCAGTAGGGGCTATCTGCCTCAGGAATAAGACCTTCTGCCCCTCCCCAGGTGTGCTCTCGCCATTGTTCCAACCAGGAGGAGCACCCTTTCTGCAGAAAGCAAAAGTTGCCTTGTGAGAAAATTAAATTTATGTTCGAGTGCTATTTCTTTATGGCACTGGGGAACAAGCATTTTGCATTTCTAACAATTATATGCTAAACAAGGGGTGGATTATTTGTGTTTCCCCTTTGTAGACCATATAGGGTAACTTCCTGTGGTTGCCATGGCATTTGTAAACTGTCATGGCACGGGTGGGAGTGTGGCAGTGAGGATGACCAGAGGTCACTCTTGTCACCATCTTGGTTTACGTGGGTTTTGGCCGGCTTCTTTACTGCAACCTGTTTTATCAGCAAGGTCTTTATGGCCTGTATCTTGTGCTGACCTCCTATCTCATCCTGTGATTTAGAATGCCTTAATCCTCTGGGAATGCAGCCCAGTAGGTCTCGGCCTCCTTTTACCCAGCTCCTATTCAAGATGGAGTTCCTCTGGTTCCAATACCTCTGACATTTCCACCAGGGGAGGGACAAGAAGGAGGGGAGAGGCATCTTCTGTGACATGCGTCACAGGAACAACCCAACACTGAGATGCAGCACCGGCCTTCAGAGAAACTCTCTGGCCACCCAGCCTGTGCCCTAGCAGGAGGTAATTCCAGAGGAATTTGAAGCTGATGGTGCACTGAGGATAATCATAGCAACAAGACTCAAACCCAGTTCAACTCCTGCCTAGACTGACCCAGCGTCTCAAGCCAAAGGTCTGGAAGGAGAAAAGGTATGCCTGTCTCAAGGCACAATACAATAAGATGTACCTCAGCCCTTGTTGGCCTATGTAGGAAGGTCAGTTTTCAACTCCAAACCACAAAACACATAACAAAGTCAAAACAAATCAGCTTACTGTTAAGAGACTAAGCAATCAGTAAAGCCAGATTTAGAAATGACCCCAGAAGTTGGAGTTATCAGAGAGGAAATTTAAAAGAACTACGATTAATATTTGAAAGTTCAAATGGAAACAGTGTGTATGTAGGTGAACAGATGTGGTATTTCAGTACAGAGATGGAAACTATTAGAGACAATCAAAGGGAAATTTTAGGGGGAAAAAAAAGAACCCATGGCAACAGAGATGAGGAATGCCATTGACAGGTTCATCAGACAGTTTCACATAGCTGAGAAAAAAACCCCAGTAAACCTGGAGATAGGTTAATAAAAATTCACCCAAACTGAAACACAGAGAAAAAAGAAATCAGACAGAAGAGAACAGCCAGGCTGGGCGCGGTGGTTCACGCCTGTAATCCCAGCACTTTGGGAGGCTGAGGCGGGCAGATCACCTGAGGTCCAGAGGTTGAGACCAGCCTGGCCAACATGGCAAAACCCCATCTCTACTAAAAATACAAAAATTATCCGGGTGTGGTGGCATGTGCCTGTAATCCCAGCTACTTGGGAGGCTGAGGCAGGAGAATGACTTGAACCCAGGAGGCGGAGGTTGCAGTGAGCCGAGATCGCGCCATTGCACTTTGCACTCCAGCCTAGGCAACAAGAGTGAAACTCCGTCTAAAAAAAAAAAAAAAAAAAAAAAAAAAAAAAAGAAGAGAACAGCCAAGAGCTGTAGGATGGTAACAGCATGTGGTCTAATATGTGTGCAATTGAAATCGCATAAAGAGAAGAGAGGAGAGAACAGACATAAGAAATATTTAAAGAGATAACAGTGAAGAACTTTCTAAAAAGCATCAAAGACCTTAATCTACATAGCCAAGAAGCTCAGAGAATACCAAGTGAGATAAATGATAAACAAAACAAAAAGCCACACCTAGACTCACCATATTCAAACTGCGGAAAACCCACAGAATAAAAAGAAAATAGTGAAGGCAGCCATGGAGGGAGGGGAGAACACATTTCAAAAAAAAAAAAAAAAAAAAGAATTATGGCAGACTTCTCTCCAGAAGATAAGAAAGCTAGAAGATAGGCTGGGCGCGGTGGCTCATGCCTGTAATCCCAGCACTTTGGGAGGCCGAGGCAGGCGGATCACGAGGTCAGAAGATCGAGACAATCCTGGCTGACACAGTGAAACCCCATCTCTACTAAAATACAAAAAAAAAAAAAAAAAAAATTAGCCAGGTATAGTGGCAGGCACCTGTAGTCCTAGCTACTTGGGGAGGCTGAGGCAGGAGAATCGCTTGAACCCAGGAGGCGGAGGTTGCAGTGAGCCAAGATCGTGCCACTGCACTCCAGCCTCGTGACAGAGAGAGACTCCATCTCAAACAAACAAATATACAACAAAAAAAAGAAAGCTAGAAGATAATGAAGTGTTTTTTTTTTTTTTTGAGACAGAGTTTCACTCTGTCACCCAGGGTGGAGTGCAGTGGTGCGATCTTGGCTCACTGCAACCTTTGCCTCCTGGGTTCAAGTGATTGTCTTGCCTCAGCCTCCCATGTAGCTGGTGGGATTGCAGGCACCCACCACCACACCCAGCTATTTTTTGTATTTTTAGTAGAGATGGGGTTTCACCATGTTGACCAGGCTGGTCTCAAACTCCTGACTTCAAGTGATCCACTTGAGCCACCATGCCCGGCCTGAAGTTATATTTTTAAAGTGAAAGAAAAAAACCCTAAACCTGTCAACTCTGAGCTCTGTACCTAGGAAAATACCTTTCAGAAATGAAGAAGATAGCGCATTATTTTTTTTGCTCAGTAAAGCAAAACCTGAGAGAATTCATTGCAAGCAGACTTGTACCAAAAGAAATGTTAAAGGAAATTCTTCAGGCAGAAGGATTAGGAAGAGATTATGGATCGACACAGGAAATAGAGTGCTAAAAATAGTAAGAATGAAAGTACAAAGAAAATGCACGTCTTTTTCTTATTTTTAATCACTAGAAGATAATTGTCTACAGCAAAAGTAGCAGCGATGAGTCGGGCACGGTGGTTCATGCCTGTAATCCCAGCACTTTGGGAGGCTGAGGCAGGCGGATCACCTGAGGTCAGGAGTTTGAGACCAGCCTGACTAACATGGTGAAACCCCGTCTCTACTAAAAATACAAAAAATAGCCAGGCATGGTGGCCGGTGCCTGTAATCCCTGCTACTCAGGAGCCTAAGACAGGAGAATTGCTTGAACCTGGGAGGCGGAGGTTGCAGTGAGCCAAGATCACGCCACTGCACTCCAGCCCCGGTGACAGAGTGAGACTCTGTCTGAATCAATCAATCAATCAATCAATCAATCAGTAAAGTAGTACCGATGTAACTGTGTTTACAGCAGGTAAATGAATGACAGCATGTGGGCTGGGAGGAATTGCGGTTCTACTGTTGTTAGCTACGCTATACATGAAGACGTCTGATATTATTGAGGGTAAATCGTGATTTGATTTGCTCTGTAGCCCCTGTATTACTGCATTGATTCACCCTTTCTTGTCCATCAACAGCTTCTTGGGAGGGTCCTGCAGCGTCCCAGCCTTTCAGGTATTGAAAAGCTCGGTGCAGTCCCGTTTGACCCTGCAGTCTCATATCCAGCTCCTGTCTTTCCTGATGGCCCCAGCACCCACCAGGCATCTTCCTGAGGGGCCTGCAATGGGAACGTCCCCTTCTTGCCTCCTCCCCGTCTCCCGGGTCTCCCTTTTTCTTCCAGCATTTTGGTGTCTGGGAGGAGGGATGGAGGAAGGGCCCAGGTCTCCGCTTACCTGGCTCTGCTGTGTGTGTCCTCCCTGGGCTTGGTAGCTGTGTGGGTGCCCTGTGTGTGTCCAAACCCCATAGGTTTGGCTGCATCCCCTCATTACCCAGTCCTCAGACTCCTGCTCGCCCTCTTCCCCATCGGGGGCTGCCCAGCCATGCCATCCACCTCCCAGCCTCCCGTGGCGAGGGCCCAAGGTGCTGAATAGTCCCCGATTCTCAGGAAGCTCAGGTGTCCCTGCTGCGAGAAACTGGGGAAGATTGCTGCTGCTAGCGGTGCCCCTCTCTGGCTTTTCATCAGCCGGCACCAACTGTCCTTTCCTCTGCTCAGATAGACTGGGGAACAGTAAGTCGGCTTCTCCAGCCACCGCCCAAGTGGGGATGAGCACAGCGTTCCTTTCTTCAGGCATCCCCCAATCTCCGTGGGACAGTCCCAGGGCTCCTCCTACCACCTGCTTTGCAGGGAAAGTTCCATTCTTTGGTAGAGGTTAGATGCACATGGGCTGGTGGTTTATGTCTTTTCTATGCCATTGAAAACACGACAGACCAGCCGACTCACTTTAGTTATTCCCCACAAATGGGCACAGACACCAAGGCAAGGATGCATAAGAGAAACCCATTAAATACCAGGAATAATGCATTTCTTTTGCCTTCCATCACTAGGTCAATTTCCATTGCTTACTATGCAACTGACAATGTAAATAATGCAACTGAATATACAAGAGTATCCTTAAAATATTATTTTGTGATTGTAGAAAAGAGAAGTTTGAGCTTCCCAATTTTTTAAACCTTATTTTCTTTTCTCCCTAAATACAAAAAGCAATGAACATTGTCAAAAATGAGGAAAGGGTATATAGAGGAGATAGAAAAATTGCAGAACCAAATTTCTTAGCCTGATGGCTAATGTCTCATGACTTGGATTCAGGCTGGGTTTCCTACTTCCAGGTGGCCCCTCTGCAGCCACGGGGGCTGCCACCGTGTACCTCTCCTGCACATCTTTGCTTATGATGAACCGTTACTGCCAAAGGGCTTCAGACTTACCACCAAAACACAGCAAGCATTTTGGTTTACATTTTCCACAAACTCTCTCTGCATATATATGCTTATGTAACTTGACTGTGCTATTTTGATTAAAGCTGTTGATGGAACAACTCAGCCAAGCCTCCCTTTCTCAGCAGCAGTAGAGGTGGCAGACTTTGATATTTCAAACCCCTCCAGGAAGAAGTGGGGTGGCAGTGCCAGCAGTGTGCTGTGTGCCGGAAGTGAAACAGCTCTGCAAACAAGCGCTCCTCGCAGAAAGCAGAAAAGATGTCCAGTGACACTGAACCTTGGTTGTGTGTGTGTGTGTGTGTGTGTGTGTGTGTGTGTGTGTGTTTAATGACAAGTGGGAAGGGAAAAGACCTTTTGCCAGGCTTCCTTCATCTATTGTCTTTCTGCCATTATTTTCTAACTGAGGGCTTGGCAACCTATGCCATGTCATGGTGGGGGGTGGGCACATGGTATTGGGGATGACTTGGAGGACTCTGAGGATGGGCAGAAACAGGTTTGAAGCACAGCCTTGTGTCTACTGGGATTTGAAGCTTGTTCTCCACCTTAGCTGTCACTTGAGCCTGAGAAAAAATAAGGGAGGGAGGGAGAGAGAGAGAAAGAGAGACAGAGAGAGAGAGAGAGATTCTCTAACATATCAGGCATGCTTACCCTCAAAGGAGAGTGAGATTTTTCTCCCTTCTGCCTATTTGTACCTGGAGGTTGGAATTTTTTTACTTTCTTTGTTTTTTTTTTCCTTACCTTGAAACCTACAGACTTTTGAAAAGATTACTATTATTATTTCAAAATAATACTGGATTCTTCCTGACCACCTAATACATTCAGAGGCCAGGCCCATATCTAGGTCATATTGTCTTTTTTTTTTTTTTTTTAAACTTTTACACTGCAGTTCTTTTGCAACCAGAAAGTTAACATAGTTTTCCAATTCACAAAGCCATGGGGCATGAGGAAAAGAGGTGTTATTGCTAATTTCTAACCTATAAGTTGGAAAGACATTTCCCAAACACTATACTATGAAACACTGGTACCGCAAAGTGTCTATGGCTATTTCATGGGCAGACCACTCTGTGATTAAAAAAACAAGAAAGAAAGAAAAGAAATTGTGAATATTGGTGATTCATTTAGCATTTTAAAGGCTTCTATAAGTTTTGCCATAAAGAAGTGTATCTAACATGTTAAGCTAGAATTCTCCAAACTTACTTGACTCTAGGAAAATTTTTCTTTAAGAATTGCCAAACCCAGTTATGGTGGCTTACTTCTGTAATTCCAGCATTTTGGGAGGCCAAGGTGAAAGAATTGCTTGAGCCCAGGAGTTCCAGACCAATCCTCACAACAAAGCAAGACCCTGTGTCTACAAAAAATAAAAAATAAAAAAAGCCAGACACAGTGGCCTGTGCCTGTAGTTCTAGCTACTTGGGAGGCTGAGGTAGGAGGATAGCCTGAGCCCACCAGTTCAAGGCTACAATGAGCTATGACCAAGCCATTGCACTCCAGCCTGGGTGATTGAGTGAGACCCCCTGTCTCTAAAAAAAAAAAAAAAAAAAAAAAAAAAAAAAAAAAAATTGCCATACAGTAAAGAAAATGTGGTATACATACACAATGGAATATTATTTAGCCATGAAAAAGAATGAAGTCCTGTCATTTGCAGCAACATGGACAGAACTAGAGGTCATTACATTAAGTAAGCCAGGAACAGAAAGACAAATATTAAATGTTTTTACTCATATGTGGGAGCTAAAAAAGAGGATCTCATGAAGATAGAGAGCAGATGGTGGAAGGGTATGGGGGAGAAGGGAATGAAAAGAAATTAATAGGTACAAATATACAATTTTATGGAAGAAATAAGACCTAGTGTTAGATAGATCAGTAAGGTGACTATAGTTTACAATAATCTATAGCAGGGGTCCCCAGCCTCTGTGCCGTGGACCGGTATCAGTCCATGTCCTGTTAGGAACAGGGCTGCACAGTAGAAGGTGAGTGGCGGGTGAGCAAACATGATTGCCTGAGCTCTGCCTCCTATCAGATCAGCGGGGGGCATTAGATTCTCTTAGGAGAACTGTGTATGCGTGGGATCTAGGTTGCATGCTCAACTGATCTATATACATTTCAAAGTAGCTTGAAGAGAATTCAAATGGTTCTAACATAAAGAAAGATAAATATTTGAGGTGATGGATATTCCAACGACATTGGTTTGATTTTTGCAAACTATATGAATATATTACATTATCACATGTACCCCTCCAAATTAATTAAGCATATGAGTGGTTCAATTTTCTTTTGCTGCATTGATCTATATCTCTATATTTTTTGTCAATACCACACTATCTTGTTAACTGTAGCTTTATAGTAAAACTTGAAATCAGGTAAAGTAAATATTCTGTCTGATTTTATTCTTCTTTTTCAAAATGATTTTGGCTATTCTAGGTCTTTTTCCTTTCCAAATTAAATTTAGAATTGACTTTTGAATTTCTACACAAAAGAATTGCCATTTTGAAAAATGAGGGCAGAGACTCTATGCGAAAAATTTCAGATTCCCTAACTACTTAGCAAATTGAATGAATGAATGAGCAAATGAATAAACAAATCATCTAGGGACCAAAGGCAAATAGCACATTAGAAGTGAGGAGCCTATTAGAATGATTTTGAACGGAGGCTCAGAATTTATTCTGAATCGTATTGAATTAAAAAAGTTAAATAACTGGGCCGGGAAAAGTGACTCATGCTTGTAACCCCAGCACTTTGGGAGGTTGAGGTGGGTGGATCACCTGAGGTCAGGAGTTCGAGACTAGCCTGGCCAACATGGTAAAACCCTGTCTCTACTAAAAATACGAAAATCAGCTGGTTGTGGTGGCATGCACCTGTAATCCCAGCTACTTGGGAGGCTGAGGCAGGAGAATCGGCTTGAACCCAGGAGGCGGAGGTTGCAGTAAGCCGAGATCATGCCACTGCACTCAGCCTGGGTAACAGAGCGAGACTCCATCTAAAATAAACAAATAAATAAATAAATAAATAAATAAATAAATAAATAACAGGGCCTATTCCTTTTACAAGCAGTTGAAATATAAGCTTGAGTGGCTGCAGTAAGAATAAATTCTGAGTCTCCATTCAAAATCATTCTAATAGGCCCCGCACTTCTAATGTGCTATTTGCCTCTGGTCCCTAGACCATTTGTTTGTTCATTTGCTCATTCATTCATTCATCAACCTGCTAAGTATTTAGGGAATGTGAAATTTTTCACATAGAGTCTCTGCCCTCAAGAAGCTATAGTCTAAAGACTAAGATGACAACTGGCTCCATTGAAGGGCAAGATAATAGTAATAATATCAATTAATCAATTAATTAACCTAGTAATTTAGTAAATAGTTATGGAATGCACTCAACAACATTTCTGGGGAAATGTGAGTAAACAAGTCCAAGTCCTCGCCCTCATGGGATTAGCACTCTGTTTAGGAGAGGCGGACAATAAACAAATACATGTGTAAAACATCGGTGTGTCAGCTGATGACATGTGTTGAAACTAGGGAATGGGGCCGGGCGCAGTGGCTCATGCCTGCAATCCCAGCACTTTGGGAGGCCGAGGCAGGTGGATCACCTGAGGTCAGGAGTTTGAGAGCAGCCTGACCAACATGGTGAAACCCCATCTCTACTAAAAAAATACAAAAAATATTAGCCGGGCGTTGTGGCGCATGCCTGTAATCACAGCTACTCAGGAGGCTGAGGCAGGAGAATCGTTTGAACCCAGGAGGCGGAGGTTGTGGTGAGCCAAGAGTGCACCATGGCACTCCAGTCTGGGCAACAAGAGCGAAACTCCATCTCATAAAAAAAAAAAAAAAAAAGAGAAAGTAGGGAATGGGACAGGGAGTGCCAGATCGGGAGAGTGCGAGATCAGGGTGGTCAGAACAGGGTTCATTGAGAGGTGACATTTGACCTCTGCGTGTGGAGTTGCTTACTTCCCTGGCGAAAAGCATGTCCGGCAATGGAAAGAGGCAGTGTACTGGCTGGGGATCTGGTCTGCTGAGACAGAGCCTTATATAATGTTGCGTAGTCACAGACTGACATCCCATCACCTTTGCCATATTCTGTTAGTTGGAAGCAAGTGACAGGTCTTGCCCACACCCAAGCAGAGGGCACCACAGGAAGGTGCCAACACCAGGAAGCTGGGATCATGGGGACTGTTTCAGAGTCTTTCCACAACAGGGCATTTTTCAAGGAGGCCAAATGGCATTTGAGGTTCAGAAACCCACCTCTCTGACAACAGCCCACCTAAGCACATGGAGAGTTTCTCTGTCCTACAAGTTTATTGAGAACGGGGACCTCTGCCTTATGTATTCCTGTACGTTCAGATTCTAGCTCAACGCCAGACACATAGTTGGCACTCAAAAAAAATGTTTGTGGCAATGAATTAAACGAATGAAGTTGTGTTGCATTACAGAATAGTGAAGTAACTGGCAAAGGGGGACCATTCCGTCCAACACTGAAGGAGATGGAGAAGACGAAGGTGAAAGAAGGTACAAAATAAACACATCTGAAATGGAAAGGGAATGGATATAGACAGTTTTGCATGCTTTCTGAAATATTTAAGATCTTCTTATTATTAAAGAGTTGTGTAAGGCAGTCACTAGGAACGAGAAATTGTCCCCCTCCAACAGGGCATGCTGTGCACATGATAAGCCTTTCCTGATAGGGAGGTTGGAGGAGCAGATGAGCAGAACACCGAATCTGGGGGACATCCTCAGGAGGGTCCCCAAACCTTATGATATTGTTAGGGTGAAGGGTTTACAGTCTGACCTGGATTATATTTCATGCAGTCATGAACAGCTGTGGGAAAATTATGACCACAGAGCATTGATTAACTGACCAATGTCAACATAAATGATGGTTTTTGGTGGGGTATAGTGGCTTAAGCCTGTAATCCCAACACTTTGGGAGGCCAACAGGTGAATTGCTTGACCTCCGGAGTTCGAGACCAACCTGCGCAACATGGTGAAACTTTGTCTCTACCAAAAATATAAAAACTAGCAAGATGTGGTGGCACACACCTGTGGTCCTAGCTATTCAGGAGGCTGAGGTGGGAGGATCACTGGAGCCCAGGTGGTGGAGGTTGCAGTGAGCTGTGATCATGTCACTGTACTCCAGCCTGGGTGACAGAGCAGGACCCTGTCTCAAAAAAAAAAGAAAGAAAGAAAGAAAAAAGGATAGTTTTCTATAGTGCTTCACCTGGTCCTGGTCAACATTTAAAAAACCTGAAGCTCCCTTGCTCAGTAGGGTCTATTGCTCTTTGGTGACATTTGTTCAAGTCACAGTTCCTCAGCTTAGATCAGCTGTGTCACTGGCCTTGCACAGTTCCCTTCCTGGCTATGATGGATGCCAAGGTGGCTGTCTTCCAAGTTCCGTCATTTCCACTGCACTCATTAGATCTTGTGTTGCTCAGCCTTATATCAGCAGTGTCAGTTCCTCTCCTAGCCGTGGCCATCTTCTTAGCGTGAACTTGTTATTAAAACTAGCTAAGACCTTTCCAGAGGCTCTTCTTTTAGCCAAATGAGACATCTGGTGGACACCCAGCTCCTCCATATATTTCAAACCACACTTTGTTTTTGCGATGGATTTGTGATTTAGGATGTAGGATGTGTGTGATTTAGGTGTAGGATGGAGTCATATGCCTCCTCTGAAAGGCCACACTTTCTCCCAGCTGAGTTGTTTTCCTTTCCTGGAATCAGCCTTCTTCTCCCCCCACTCCTCTCCTCCCCAAATGAGTTTCTACTCTTTCTCCATAGTTGCATTTACAAGCTCAAAATTCTGCCTAACTCAGCTGACAGTTTCAAGGCAAGCTTAGAGCAGCTCCCTTTGGTGTACAAAATGAGAATTCTTTTTAATGATGGTGAAATATTTAAGGCTGAATTATACTACTCAACTTAAACCCTTTAATGGAAATTACAAAAATATTTCCCTTATAACCATTTAAACCTGCCAAAAAGGTCACGAATGTGCAAGGAAGCATTTCAAGGTCACGCTGGAGACCGTGTCCTGGGCTGTGATTCAATTTTCGGTTGGGAGGAGGGCACACATGTGAAGTGGCGTCCCTTCTAGCTTTGGGGAAGTTATTTCTGTAAGTCCGGGGAATGTCTCCGTGGGTCCTGGGCAAGTGGCTCTTTTCTCGGCTATGTTCTCCGAGGGGAGAGAGCCTGTCTGCTTGGGTCAAGTCATGTCCTGTGAAGCCAGAGTGCTGTGAAGGTTCTTGGCACGGACTAGCTTTTGTGCCCTTAGCCACAGTGGTCTTTCCCTTGGGCTCCTTCCAACAGGATGGTGTGGGCATACGGTGCCAAATGGCCCTGAAATAGAGTCAGGGATGTGAGCACAGAGTAGACAGCTGCCTTGTAGCCTGACATCCGCCTAAACGCCCCACTCCATTCACAGGGCACAGGAAGAAAACCTGCTTACGTTCACATCACAGACCGGCATGAGTGCATTCTCACAGTTGAATTTTCTATATTTAGGCTTTTCCTTCATCTAGGGAAGCACCTGCAGGTTACTAATACCCCAAGGTGCTGATTGTTTTTTTTTTTTTTTCTAGAAATCAACACATCTAGGGGTTAATAGGCTAGAATGACACAAAAATAGTCCGGTACTTGCAACCACTAAAATATGTTAAAAACGAGCAGAGGAGTTATTCTAGACAGTTGGCACAAAAGTCAGAGCATCTTACTAAATAAAAGCTCATCTTGGAAACTTAGCATTGCTTTATTATACAAGTAATATGTGATCATTGCTGAAATATCGGAAGATTCAGATAAAGCAGGAGAAAACATGGGGAAAATACTTGTAATCAGAGGTAGCATTTAAGGACTTCTGAATGTCCTTGCAGAGTATTCCCCGTGTTATGTGGAAATAAATCACATGCCATTTATAACCTTTTTTTTTTTTTTTTTTTTGGGATGGAGTCTCACTCTGTCGCCCAGGCTGGAGTGCAGTATCCTGGCTCACTGCAACCTCTGCCTCCCAGGTTCAAGCGATTCTCCTGCCTCAGCCTCTTGAGTAGCTGGGATTACAGGCACCCACCGCCACATCTGGCTAATTTTTTTTTTGTATTTTTAGTGGTGATGGGGTTTCACCATGTTGGTCAGGCTGGTCTCGAACTCCTGACCTCAAATGATCCACCCACCTCGGCCTCCCAAAGTGCAGGGATTACAGGCGTGAGCCACCTTGCCCAGCCAGAACCTGCTTTTTTACTTAATATATTATGAATAACTTTCTATATTGATTAATTTATTTCTGCAGTATAACTTTTAAGGGCTGCACATTATTTCATCATATAGTTGTGCCATAATTTACTGAATTGATTCCTTAATTCTTGACTGATTAAATAGCTTCTAATCTTTCACCACAATTTTTCTAACAATAGTCATGAATGTTTGTAACATTTTTGTTTTGTGTCCCAGGTACACAGGATTGGATTGGGCATTATCTCCAGCTTGGGGCACTCTATCTTCATTAATCCATTTAAAAAAATATTTCCTATTATTTTTTTTTTCTTCTTCACCCTCATTCCACGTCTCACTCCATTTCTCCCCCTAGATCCTACTTTTGAGTAATTTCTGTGGTCCTTCCGATCTATCTTCCATTTTCTACACCTTTATTTACATGCAGGTGTAACTGGTGAAAGATATATATTGCTTTACGTGTTTTAAAATGTGAACTTCTTAATTTTCCTTCAACATTACGTAGTGAGCATTTCTTATGTTGGTTTGTGTAGCTTCCTTCCTCCCTTTTGATTTCTGGGGCTTATTCAATCACGTGCAGGAACTGAATGTCGTGTGTCTTTCCATCCTGGTGCTGGACTTTTAGATTATTCCTAACTTTATGCTATTATAAGCAATGCTGTAAGGAACATCCTCATAAATGTACTCTAGTGGCCTGATGTGCAAGTTTATTGGAGGTATTTACCCTGGAGTTGAATTTCTAGGTACCATTACATGTGCAGAGTAATTTCCATTAATTAGCTTTGCCAGTTTATACTCCTACTAATGGTATATGGGGACTCATGCACTGCCCCCCACCCCCCAATAGGATCTCGTTTAAAATTGTGGGCCAATCTGATAGTTACAAAGTGACCATTTTTACTGATTTAATTTATGATTACTAATAGGGACATTTCATTATGTGTTTTTAGCTATTTTTTTTCCATCTGTGAATAAACTCTTCATAGCCTTTTACCACCTTCTATTTTTTCATTATACATTCTAGGCTTAATTTTCTTTGTTATATATGCTGAGGTCATCCTTCAGTCAATTATCTGCCTATTAATTTTATCTCTGAATTGAAATCTTTACCTTTCTGTTGGTCTTAAACCATAAATCTCCTCCTTTATGGTTTGAGCTTTCAGAATCTTATATAAGAAATCATTTCTCACCCCCATAGAACAGAGTTCTTTCTTAATTAACTACTTCCTTAGAATACATTATTTAGAAATGGTATTGCTGGGACAGTAAGTATTTATTAGATCCTTTTGCTTACAATGGAAAGAAATTTAGCTCAAACAGCATAATGTAATCAAGGAAATTTATTGGCTCACTTAACTGAGAGATCAAAGGCATGGGGTCAGCTTCAGGAACAGCTGGATCCAGGAGTTCAAATAATGTAATGAGGGCATTGGTGCTGTGTCTTCCCATCTTTGCCCTGTTGCCTGGGCTTGATTTTCAAGCAAGAAGTCTCTATGTGGTGTCAAGAAGGAACACTGGCCAGTTTTGTCCCATGAAGTCTACAGAGGTTGCAATTGTCTTTCCTGGTATCCCGGGGAAAAGTCCTGAGGAAGGCTTTGCCTAGTAGCTTTGAGGTAGGAGGTGGGACTTACTCCAGAGGTGGGGCTTGGACACTGGACTAAATTGAGGATTAGGTAAAACAGGTCCAAGGCGGAAGTAGCTTTCCATAAGACACGTACACCAGTGTGCCATGTCAGTTTACTATTGCCATGGCAACACCCGGAAGTTACCACCCCTTTCCATGGCAATAACCCGATGACCCAGAAGTTACCACCCCTTTCCTAGAAATTTCTGCACAATGTGCCCCTTAATTTGCATGTAATTAAAAGTGGGTATAAATATGACTGTAGGACTGCCTTTGAGCAGCGACTCTGGGCACACTGCCTGTGGGGTAGCCCAGCTTGCAAGGAGCCGTACCTCTGCTGCTGCTGTGCAATGCCGCTTCAGCAAAAACTGTTGTCTAACACCACAGGCTCGTCCTTGGATTCTTTCCTGGGTGAAGCCCAGAACCCTCCTGGACTAAGCCACCATTCTGGGGCTCGCCCGACCTGCATCAGCTTGAGTCTCACATCTACCCTTGGGAATAGGGAGAAATGGCTCTTGATTTGAAGCATTCTGAACCGCCCCCCACCCCGCCGAGAAAAGGAGAACAGTGGTTTCCCAGAAGGGGACATACTGGACAAATAAGCATATGTCCATATTTTTTTACTTTGTGATACATGTTGGTTCCAGAATAGTGAACCAATTTCCATTCTCAGAAATAGCCATGAGTGTGTCTATTCCTTTATGACACCCTTCCCGACAGTAGGTATCATCATTTTAAAGACATTACAAGTTTAATAGACAAAAGACGACCCTGCGATTCATTTGATTTTTTGTTTGTTTTGAGATGGAGTCTCAATCTGTTGCCCAGGCTGGAGTACAATGGTGCAATCTCTGCTCACTGCAACATCCATCTCCTGGGTTCAAGCGATTCTCTTGTCTCAGCCTCCCGAGTAGTTGGGATTACAAGTGCCTGCCACCATGCCCAGCTAATTTTTGTATTTTTAGTAGAGATGGAGTTTCACCATGTTGGCCAGACTGATCTCGAACTCCTGACTTCAGATGATCCACACGCCTTGGCCTCCCAAAGTGCTGGGGTCACAGGTGTGAGCCACCATGCCCAGCCTGATTCATTTAATTTGATTTTCTGTGATTACTATGGGGGTTGAGCATATCTTTAAGTATTTATCAGTCATTTGCTTTGAAGGGGTTTTCACGTATTTATTGGTCATTTGCTTTGGCGTGTGACATGGTGAGATCATTTCTTCCCCTTCACAGGGCACAGCACTTGCTGGGTAATAAGGGAAATGGCCGGTTCTCTGGTTGGGATGCCTAAATCTGAACCTGGGAGTAGAAACTAGGGTGAGATTCTATTTTATGAAACAAAGGTGGGCCTGCCTTCAGCAGAAGCCTGGGGATACGTTTCCTAACCTATTGTTGTTTGCCTGATAACCAATGTCACTTTCTTTCCCCAACCTGGCAATAGCTTATATTATCATTCATTAAATGGGAGTCCTTCTGAATTTCTGTCTTCTACATATTCATGGAGACTGGGGGTTTTTGTCCAGGCACCATTTCGGACCAGAAGGTGAACGCTTTTAGATTTCAGAATCATGGGAATGTCCCCTCCTACTCTGTCCCACTGGATTACAGGAGTGTGGACGAGGATACAGCACCAGGCACACCTGTGCTTTGATGATTCACACCTGAGACCACCAGCAGTCTCCTCCTGCTGGAGCTCCGTCCATGAGGCTTCTTACCACACGTCCTTCAGGCACTCTCCCAGAATCATGTTTGTCGCCCACAGCAATCATCTCTCTGTCCAAGGCTGGCTGCCTGCTGGCTTGCTTCCTCTTTGGCCCTGCGGTGGCCACTCCAGTGAGGTCCAGCTGGGTGCTTGACCAGTCCGGCTTCCCCTTCTGACCCAGGACCTCCTTTCTTACCAGGGACAGATGGGGTCCCTGCAGCAGAGAGCAATGCCTGAATGGTCAACCACTCTGCATTCACTGACAGCTTTCATTGTTTTACAGTGCATAGCTTTTGAGTGCACCAAAATCATGATTCCCATTCAAATCCTTCAGAGCTAAAAAGTTTTTCTTCTTTTTAAGAGAATTAGTTCATATAAATATTTAAAGTAACAGATACAACACACTAAACAAAACCGAACCCAAGAAAGCCTTCGAAACCGTCGTTTTATTTATGTCCTTGTGAAGATTAGTCTGGGATTGATAAAGAAGGATAGGAAGCGGTCCCTTTCCTCTGGGAGCACGCAGAGTCAATGGCGGGACAGGAGAATGCTTCCTTGGTTGGGGTGTGAGCCAGGGACCAGTGGGAGTGCTGCTGGTGGCCGACTCCACCCTCAAGGACCCTCACACCTGGCTTCTTCATTGTCCTGCCTCTGGGAGACTGCACCCAGCATGAGGAGAGTCACTCAAAAGCTCTCCAAGTTCCTGCAGAGTCGCCTCAGGGGCCCCTGAGACCGTGCCCATCCCATGGTGCTCCTCTGAGCGCACTGACTGATCCTCCACAAGTGCCGCCATCCTCCCTGCTGATCCTGCCCCCGACAGCTAACAGAGCGATGGGGCTGCTGGAGGCCCAAGTCGGCCCCCTCCCGGAATCAGCTAAAGTAGGTATCTAGGCAGGCCAGGTTCCCCAGACAACCACGCCTTTTGTTCAGGAATCTCTTGGAGCTGCCAGGAAATCCAGAGATGGTGGAGGAGGGCACCCACCCATCCTGGGTCCTGGGGAGCTGACCTGGTCCACCCTTCTTGTGCTGGAGCAGGTCAGTCATCACCCAGGAGCCCTGGGCTGGGCCCAACTCATGCATGAGGTGGCTTAGGGCCTGTGTAGCTTCTGGCCGGGAGGCTGATTCTGAGGGAGCAAGCTGACGGTTCTAGGCGGCAGGGCCTAGAGTGCAGCCTGGCCTATACATGCAGCTTAACATGTGACTGATAAGTGTTTGGATCCAAGGTTCGGGTCATGTCCTCCACTTGTGTGTGTGCATCCACACATGGTAAGGGGGAGCCGTGGAGCAGGGGATCCCTGATTTTCCATATGCCCCGAGTTTCCTTCTTTGTCTGATTCTGCACAGATTTGAGACACCTGCTCCAGCCTTCCTTGTGACCCAGGGGTGGCTCTGTCCAGAGATAAAAAAAGGGCAAAGAGGGGCTGCCTCATGGTCATCTGATGGGCCCGGGCTGTACTCTCCATGGAGTGGCATCTGCCTAGGAGAAGACATCCCTCGGGAGATCTGGTGTCCTTGGCCCCCGCCTGTGAGGGGCAGAGCCAGTCAGCCTTCAGATGAGACAGAAAGTGGGTGCCCACCAGGTTGCGTAAGGGTAAGTCACAAGCCAGGAAATGGGTATTTGGTGACCACAGCTCAGGCATGGACTGGAGATGCATGAAGACTCCTCATGGCAAACCCTTTGCTTGCTCTGCTGGGTCACAGGACACAAAGCACCCCAGAGACAGGGGAGGCAGTGCGGTAGTTGAGGCTTGTCATGCACCCTGGAGACTGGCTGGATGTCTGAGTGTTCCTGGTGTGGAAGACAGCGTGGGAACTGCCGTGATTCTCAAAGTGTGGCGTGGAGAAGCTCCACACGGTGGCCTCAGACAGATCCCCAGAGGCAAGTCATGTATTGTATCTAAGGGCCGAGTGCACAAGTCCAAGGACTTGGTTTCATTTATGATCAAGCGCTCTTCCAAATGAGTTATCAACAACTTCTAAAAAGGAGCACTCAGAAGCGAAAACTAACATGTCACTAGCATGTGCTGGAGTTAATTTGTTTAGCTGCTAGCAAAACTGGCTGCCACAAAGAGCCAGAAATTTCTTTTCCTTCCTTCCTTCCTTCCTTCCTTCCTTCCTTCCTTCCTTCCTTCCTCCCTCCCTCCCTTTTCTCTCTCTTTCTTTCTTTCTTTCTTTCTTCCTTCTTTTGTTGACAAGTTCTCACTCTGTTGCCCAGTGCGGTGGTGTGATCTTGGCTCACCGCAACCTCCGCCTTCCAGGCTCAAGCGAGCCTCCCACCTTAACCTCCCAAGTAGCTGGGATCACAGGCATGCGCCATCAAACCTGGGTACTGTTTTTGTATTTTTTTGTAGAGATAGGATTTCACTATGTTGCCCATGATGGCCTCCAACTCCTGGGCTCAAGCAATCTGCCAGCATCAGCTTCTCAAAGTGCTGGGATTACAGGTGTTAGCTACCGTGCCCAGCCTAGAAATTTCTATAAAGCCTGTGTGCATGTGGATTCTCCAGGTTCTTATTTTGGGGCAGGTTTTTTGTCCTTACCAGTACATCATCCATGCTGTCTTCAGTTGAATATGGTAATTAATTTTAGCTATTTTTTAAAAATTTAATTTTATTGAGGTCTAATTTATATACAATAGAATGCATCCATTTTAATGTATAATTTGATGAATTTTGATAAGTCTATCATCTAATTACTATCTCAGTCAAGCTACAGAACATTTCCATCACTCCAGAAAGTTCCTATGGGCTCTCCTTTGTAGTCAGACTCCACCATCAGGTAAACACTGTTCTGGTTTCTATCACCATTGATTGGTTTCGACTATTCCAGACTTCGTATAAATGGAACCATACAGTATGTGTTCTTGTGTATCTGACTTCTTTTGCTTAGCGTAATACCAGTGATATGCATTCACGTTATTGTGATGATCAGAAATTTATTCTTTTTCATTGCAATTACGGGCATACCTTGGAGATATTTTGGGTTTGGTTTCAGACTGCTACAATAAGGTGAGTATCACAATAAAGCGAGTATCACAATAAAGCGAGTCACACAAATTTTTTGGTTTCTCAGTGCATATTAAAGTTATGTTTAGGGTGGGCATAGTGGTTCATGTCTGTAATCGCAGCACTTTGGGAAGGCAAAGCAGGTGGATCACTTGAGGCCAGTAGTTCAAGACCAGCCTGGCCAAAAGGGTGAAACCCCATCTCTACTAAAAATACAAAAATTAGCTGGGTGTGGTGATGTGTGCCTGTAATCCCAGCTACTTGGGAGGGTGAGGCAGGAGAATCACCTGAACCTGGGAGGCCGAGGTTGCAGTGAGCCAAGATTGCTCCACTGCATTCCAGCCTGGGTGACAGAGCAAGAGCTTGTCTCAAAAAAAGTTATGTTTATACTATACATAGTCTATTAAGTATGCAACAGCATTATGTCTAAAAAAAGCCTTAATTAAAAAATACTTTATTGCTAAAAAATGCTAACATTCTATCTGAGTCTTTAATGAGTTGTAATCTTTTTGCTGGTGGAGGGTCTTGCCTCAATCTTCATGCTGCTGACTGATCAGGATGGTGTTTGCTGAATATTGGACTGGCTATAAAAATTTCTAAAAATAAGACACAAAAGTCTGCTGCTTTAATGATCTCTTCCTTTTATGAAAGATTTCTCTATAGCATGTGATGCTGTTTGATTGCATTCTACCTATAGTAGAACTTCTTTCAAAATTGGAGTTAATCTTCTCAAACTTTGCTGTTGCTTAGTCAACTAAGTTTACGTAAGATTCTAAATCCCTTCTATGCAAATTACCAAGCCAGGTTAAAAATAAAATAAAATAATTTCTTCATTGTCATTTCAACAAAGTTCATGGCATCTTCACCAGGAGAAGATCCCATCCCAAGAAACCACTTTCTTTGCTCATCCATAAGAAGCAACTCCTCATTCATTCAAGTTTATCATGAGGTTGCAGCAATTCAGTCACACCTTCAGGCTCGAATTGTAATTCTAGTTATCTTGCTATTTCCACCACATCTTAAGTTATTTCTTCCACTGAAGTCTTGAACCCCTTAAAGTCATCCATGAAGGTTGGGATAAACGTCTTCCAAACTCTTGTTAGTGTTTGTATTTTGAGCTCCTCGCACAGATCACAAAGTTCTTAATGACATCTAGAATGGTGAATCCTTTCTAGAAGGTTTCCCATTTACCTTGCCCAGATCTAATACAGGAATCATTACATATGACAGCTATAGGCTTATGAAACATATTTCTTAAGTATTAAGACTTGAAATTTGAAATTACTCCTTGATCCATGGGCTGCAGAATGGACGTTGTGTTAGCCGGCATGAAAACAACATTAACCTCCATCAGAGCTTTTGGGTGACCAGGTTCACTGTCAATGAGGAGTACTATTTTGAAATGAATCTTTTTTCCTAAGCAGTAGGTCTCAACAGTGGGCTTAAAATATTCAATCAACCATGCTGTGCTGTCATCCAGGCTTTGCTGTTCCACTTATACAGCAAAGGCAGAATCAATTTAACATAATTCTTAAGGGTCCTAGAATTTTCCGAATGGTAAATGAGCATTGGCTTCAACTTAAAATCACCAGCTGCATTAGCCTCTAACGAGAGTGTCAGCCTGTCCTTTGAAGCTTTGAAACCAGGTGTTGACTTCTTTGTAGCTATGGAAGTCTTGGATGGCATCTTCTTTCAGTACAAGGCTATTTCCTCTACATTGAAAATCTGTTGTTCAGTGCAGCCACCTTCATCAGTGATGTTAGCTAAAGCTTCTGGATAACCTGGTGCAGCTTCTACATCAGCACGTGCTACTTCACCTTGCACTTTTATGTTATGGAAACGGCTTCTTTCCTTAAACCTCATGAACCAACCTCTGCTAGCTTCAAACTTTTCTTCTGCAGCTTCCACACCTCTCTCAGCCTTCAATAGAATTAAAGAGAGTTAGGGCCTTGTTATGGATTAGGCTTTGGCTTAAGGAAATGTTATGGCTGGGTTTTTTTCTTCTACTTAAATCACTAACACTTTCTTCCTATCAACAATAAGGCTGTTCTTTTCACAACTTTGGGTACCTTGAGGCCTAGCTTTCGGCCTACTTTGGCTTTTGATGTGCGCTCCTCACTAAGCTTAATCATTTCCAGCTTTTGATTTAAAGTGAGAGACATGTGACTCTTCCTTTCACTTGAACATTTAGAGGGCCTTACAAGGTTAATTGGCCTACTTCCAATATTATTGTGTCTCAGGGAATAGGGAGGCTAGGGGAGAGGAAGAGAGATGCCAGGAACCGCAGGTTAGTGTAGCAGGCAGACCACATACACTATTTATAGATTGAGTTTGCCATCTTATATGGGCATGGTTCATGGAGCCCCTAAAACAATCACAATAGTAACATCGAAGATCACTGATCACAGATCACCATCACACATATAATGATAATAATAATAAAGTCTGAAATATTGCAAGAATATTTCACCAAAATGTGACACAGAGACACAAAGTGAACGCATGTTGTTGGAAAAATGGCACTGATATACTTGTTCAATGCAGGGTTGCCACAAATCTTCAATTTGTAAAAAATGCAATATCTGTAAAGTGCAATAGGCAAACTATGCCTGTGCATTTTTTTTTTTTTTTTGAGACAGGGTCTCACTCTGTGCAGTGGTGCGATCTCGGCTCTCTTCTCGTGTTTGTTAATATTAGTTATTCACTTTCCTCTCTCTTTTGCTTTCCCATAGGTGGAAAAGCTGGAGGTATAGCTGTCACTCTCACGTTTGGAGCTGCTCTCTTTCTGAGCCATCAAGAGCTTGCACACCACGAGAGCTGGGTTTGGCCTGAGCCCCCATCAGGCCTATAGCCCCCAACTTTCATGTGCACCTGGCCTCCAGTCATGTGTTCTCCTGCCTCAGAAGGTACCTGAGACCTAGATCTGTGTGTTTTCATATTATGAGTCATGACCTCTAGGGGGTCATGAAACAATGTAGAGGTTTATGATCTGCATTACAAAAAATGAAATGAAATTCCCAGCAATTTGGGAGGCTGAGGTGGGCGGATCGCTTGACGTCAGGAGTTCGAGACCAGCCTGGCCAACATGGTCAAACCCCATCTGTACTAAAAGTACAAAAATTAGCTGGGCATGGTGGCACACGCCTGTAATCCCAGCTACTTGGAAGGCTGAGGCATGAGAATCCCTTGAACCCGGGAGGTGGAGGTTGCAGTGATCTGAGATCACCATACTGCACTCCAGCCTGGACAACAGAGTAAGACTCTGTCTCAAAAAAAAAAAAAAAAAAAGAATGAAATAGAGAAAGTATCAGAGTGTACTGTACTCAGTAGGAGTAACTAATATTTTGTGAAGTTTTGTTTCACTTGTGCACGTGCTTGTGTGTGTGTGTGTTTATGTGTGTGTGAATGTGTGTGTGTCACAGGCTACCATGTAAAATGCCTTTTTATTGTGGGTCATGCACAAAAGCAAGGCTTGAGAAACACTGGTCTGGAAGAGCCCCCAGAATCTCTCTCTTCCTCTGTGTGCAGGCAACTGTAGCTGCAAATGTGTTGTGGATGTGTCTTTTTTTGTTGTTGTTGTCATTATTATTTTTTTTTTGAGACAGAGTCTCACTCTATCATGCAGGCTGGAGAGCAGTGGTATGATCTCGGCTCATTGCAGCCTCGACCTCAGGGCTCAGGTGATCCTCCCACCTCAGCCTTTTGAGTAGCTGAGACTACAGGCATGTGCCACCACACCCGGCTACTTTTTTTGCACTTTTTTTTTTTTTTGTAGAGACTGGGTTTTGCCATATTGCCTAGCAGATCTTGAACTCCTGGGCTTAAGGGATCTGCCTCGGCCTCCCAAAGTGCTGAGATTACAGGCATGAGCCACCAAGCCCATATGTGGATGTGTCTTTAGCTATCCTAGGAGTGTACCCCAAGTGCCATCCAGATCCAGATCCACCTTGAAGATGTTCTAGTTTTTCCTCCCTCCCTCTCAGGACAGGAGTTGGGGGTTGGCACCTGTCCTGCTCTGGCTGGGTCCAGTTCCTTGCAGCCCTGCCAGACCCCTCTCTGGTCCAGATCCCAACACGCCCTTGCCATGGTTGCTGCCATCTGGAGCCTCACTGCCCTCCCACAATGATGCAGCCACTTCTGCTCTGCCAAGACTGTGACCTCTGCACCTGGTTGGCAGCTGCCACCATTCCTCTTGCTCCACTCCAGCTGGCCACCTGGGCTGCTACTGGATCTGCCTGGCTCAGGGCTAGGATATAAAAGCTTCGGCATCCAGATGGGTGTTTTTAGAGGTTGGGACCCTGAGACCTGGACCAGACTGGGTGAGAACTACACAGTGGTGGCCCAGGTAGTACTTCTGTGGGTGATGGCATCCTGATTGATGAGGGAAGGCATCAGGAGTCAGGTTAGGGGGAGGAAGGAGGGAGGGAACAATGGGAAAATGAATGACAAGGCTGGGGCTGGGAGGATTGGAGGGAATTAGATGTGGTGTGCAAATCAGCTCGGGAGGGATAAAGACGGAATCTGTGAGTGGGAGGAGGGCATCAGAGGCCCATTTTAATGTGGCACTGGACACACTGGGTAGGGACAGATTGGATGGTTGAAAGAGCCAGGTAGACCGGATAAGCTGGCAGAGCACCAGGCACCTCTGGGCTCCTGCCTCAGGAGCCTGACTCTCTAACTTTTCCTCATTTCAGAGTGAGTCCCCTCTTCCTCCAAGTGTCCTACCCAGGGCTTGCTCTGAGGTGCCCGTCTCCTCCTGTTCGTTGTCAAAAATTGGAGCATCTTAACCTAAGTGCAGGTGATCTAATCTGAGCTCCAAATCCTTCTCAAAGGCCCTCTTGCTGGAATTTTGGGCTGCTTATGTCACAGTGGAAGTAGACAGAAGAAAACGGTACTCTTGGACGGGCACAGTGGCTCATGCCTGTAATCCCAGAACTTTGGGAGGCCAAGGTGGATGGATCACCTGAGGTCAGGAGTTCAAGACCAGCCTGGCCAACATGGTAAAAGCCCATCTCTACTAAAAATACAAAAATTAGCTGGGTGTGATGGCGGATGCTTGTCATCCCAGCAACTTGGGAGGCTGAGGCAGGAGAATCGCTTGAACCCTGGAGGCGGAGGTTGCAGTGAGCCAAGATCACGCCACCGTACTCCAACCTGGGTGACAGAGTGAGACTCTGTCTAAAAAAAACAAAAACAAAGACAAAAACGGTGATCTAGTAACACAGAAATGGCGACTGAGCACTTGGTCAGGGGACCTTGCACACAGGCTTGGCTCTGTCCTGTGAATTTCTTGTGTTCCAGAAGTTCAAGGGCCTCATCTTACTCTTTGCAGAAATGGAACTCCATCCTGAAGATAAAAGATGTCTGCTGCTGGGCTCACTTGAAGATACTTCCTAACTTACATGAATAATTAGCATGGTATAAATGCACTTTATTTGAATACATGCTTTCTTCCTATTCAAAACTATATGCTCTTTTGAAGCCAGAGATAACATGTCTTCATCTTTTATTTCCCCAGCATGGCCAGAGACTTGAATACAGTGGGTGCTAATTAAGTAGTTGTTGAATTGAACTGGAAAGCCAAAGTGAAATGCTCTCAATTCTCACAATGGATTGTTCCTTTATTTTAAAAATCTCATTCAAGAGCCACACTGTGATCGCCTACGTGAATCATGCCTATCTGTGTTAGCTCCACCTCTTCTGATGCAGCAAAAGCGTTTTAAAAAAGCTGCACCTCCCATTCGGAAGCTTGCCTTCCTACTGGGAAGACAGCTCCAGTGTGTACATTCATTCCTTGCTGGAGAGGTGGGTGTTGGGTGGAGTTGGGTGGGGGAGGAGGTGTTAAAACACCATGGGAACAGGTTGCATTGAAACTATTAAAAGTCAAGGGTGGCGCCTGTGTTTTCCCACTTAATTAACCGAGTAACACAGTTACTAGCTAAATGGAACTTCACGGAGAGGATGCCCCACCCGAGCTGGCTGTGTGGAAGCAATAGGAGCTTGAGAGTTGCAACGCTGACCGCCATCACTCTCCCTGCATCCCGCCATGAAAGGGAAAACACAAGTCACCACGAGGCCACTGCAAGTGGGGGGACAGGGCCGTAGACTGGACGTCAGGACACCCAGGATGGAGCCTGGGCTCAGCCTTTAACTCACCGAATGACCTTGGCAGGCCACTTCACGCTGCTGCAATTCAGTGTCCTCATCCATAAACGCATTGGGCAGATGACCCTCGAGGTCCCTTTCATCACAGACACTTTAAGTCTGAAATTTCCTTTGGGCTTTAACATTCTCCGCCCGAGAGGGCAGAACACTGAGGCATCAAGACACAGACTCTGAAGCCGTGGAGTGGCTGGGGGGCCCAGACGCGGCTCAGTCAGGCGGGCACTGGCAGAACAGTTTCGGCACAGCGTGGTCCACAAATGAAGGGCTGACCACTCAGCAACTCTGAAGACATCGGGGTGGCTAATGATATAATTTTTCCAGTTTTTCATAGCTATTGAGGACATTTATGAAAATCTCTTTATATGCAAGCAATCGGCCACAGACCTTTAGACTGAAGTTTAGTGTTGTCCATCTTCACAAAGAAGTGCATCTCCTAAAAAGAACTGTGCCTTGGAAAAGTGAGATGTAAATTGCACATGGTCTGATAAAGTGGTTTGCTGTCAAAATAGAGCCAAATAATAAGATGTGCCGGATGTAGGCAAATAATATCGTTCACACTCAAATAATACGCAGAGCCGGTGGGGAAATAATATTTTGCATAAATAGCTTCAGAGAGGGACGTTTAGTTCTACCACCGTCTGTTCACATCTGATCAAATTTTCTCCACAAGGGGTGAGCTAAGCAGGTCTCCAGCTCAGCATTTCCTGGAACTGCTGGGAAGCAAACAGACTCCCCTGGGAAACATTTTTTTTTCTGTTTTGTTTAAGGAGACTCAGAATTTTATGCAATTTGGAAAAATGCATGTCCTAGATCATAAAATTAATGTAGCATTTTGGGTGTTAGTTTAAGGTTGAAAAATGGCGAAATGAAAAATATCAAATGTGAAAGTATTCCTTTTTTTGAGACAGAGTCTCACTCTGTCACTCACGCTGTAGTGTAGTGGCACAGTCATAGCTCACTGCAGCCTTGAAATCCTAGGCTTGATTAATCCTCCCAACTCAGCCTCTTGAGTATCTGGGACTACAGGCATGCATCACCGTGCCAGCTGATTTTTAAAATTTATTTTTAGTAGAGACAAGGTCTCACCATGTTGCCCGGGCTAGTTTCAAACTCCTGAGCTCAAGCAATCCTCCCACCTCAGCCTCCCAAAGTTCTGAGATTACAGGTGCAAGCCACCGCACCTGGCCTGAAGTATTCTTCTAGGTAGATAAGTACAAATGCAGTCCCTTACACAGAATAAGAGCTCAAAGGAATGTTGTTATGAGGCATTTGTGTTCTTCATTAATTTAGAAGACCTTGAAGACCCTAGAAACAAAGAGGTATATGATAATGTATGAAATTAACTCATTCAATACTGCAGTCTTGGAAGAGGTCATTTATCATATGGGGCATGTGCTTCCTGAAAGGCAGCTTTAAACATTAATGATTAATTTAAAAGTTGATGAACTATTTATAAAAAGAAACAGTGTTTTTTTGTTTTTATTTGTTTTTGCAACCTACAATGAGATACTCCAAGAATTTTGCTAGGAAGTTAATATTTTGGCATATATATTGTCTCAGGCTGCCATAACGAAATACCATAGACTAGATGGCTTAAACAACAGAAATTTATTTCTGATAGGACTAGAGGATGGGAAGTCCAAGATCAAGGTGCCGGTAGTAGGTTTCACTAAGGCCTCTTCTCTTGCTGTGGGCACCTGGCATCTGGCTGTGTGCTCACATGGCTTCTCTGTGAGCGTGGAGGGAGAGAGAAAGCTAGCTCTTTGGTGTTTCTTCTGTAAGGATGCTAATTCCATCATGAGGGCCCCATCTTCATCTAATCCTATTCCCCTCCCAAAGACCCCATTTCTAAATACCATCCATTGGAGGTTAGGACTTCAATATATGAATTTTGGGTGGACACAAACATTCAGTCTATAACATGTACTTTGTACATACATTTACTCAAAAGCTATGCTTCTTTTAGACTGTTGCCTTGAAAGCCAGCAGGCAGGAAAGCCGGGAACATCCAGCCAGTGTGAAGGGGCTGCCAAGAGGAAGTGAGTGGAGAAGGAATACAGCTCTTGCGTCCTGGCTTGGTGATGGAGGTTGGATGGCACTGACTGCAGGGCCAGCTTTGTGGGGCCCCTGCCTTCTCCCTCAGACCTGCTTAGCATGTTTGGTGAGGGGAAGGCATTGTTAAGACAGTGCTTTTTCCATCCATCCGTGAGTTAATTATCCACAAGAAAAATAGCACAAACGATGTGACCGTCACTGGGACACCAACAGCAGCCATCCAGGAGACCTCTGGCAGTCCCATTTCATCAAACAAAGTCTCCCAGGGTGGAAGAGCAGGGATTCTGGGAGGCTACTTCTCAGTACTAGATCTTCCATTCTGTTCTATCTGCATTCTGCCCAACCAAATTTTAACTCACTTCCCAAAACCTCAGATACTTTGCAATCCCAGGCCCTGATGACATGGCAATTTCTCTTTGAGGGAAATGATGCCCCTCCCCTCAAACCATGTGGTTCTTTCTCCTCTTCCCTCCCTTGGCTCAGGGACCAGCTTCTCCACTGACCTTCCCAGAAAACCCAGGCTTCCAGGGATCTCGCCTCTGAGCACACAGCACATTTTCTCTGTACCATTTGAGCCATCTCACCAACTCCCTGTGTTGTCAACATGAAGATTCTGAGGTCCTTAAGGTCGGGGGAAAATGCAATTAGATTCTTCTTTGAACTTGCTCAGCTGCTGAGAACCAGGCTAGGAGAAGGCTCTGGAGTGTGTGCTGATTGGCTCAGGCCCCCAGATCATCGGCCCTTGACAAACACTAAGTAAATACAACAGGAAATTCCTTTCCTCGACCAAGAGAACATCTTGTTGCTATGAAACGTGTAACAGTTATGAAAGCCATGACAATGTGCTACAGCGAAACTGTCCCCCGTCAAGTATTAGGAGAAAGAGAAAGGGACCACAGCTTATTGGGGTGATCACCAAGTGGCAGGTTCTGTCTATTATTTAATTTAATTTTCACAACAAACCTGTGAATTAGGTATTTGCTTCCCTGTGTAACCAGTGAGGAAGCTGAGCCTTGTAGAGATTGACTTGCCCAAAGCCAACTAATTAACAAATGGCAGAATAGGAATAACATTCAGATTCATTTGATTTCTAAGTCTACGCTTTTTTCATATATTAAAGCGCCTTCCAACACATTATACATATACAAGTATATTTTATCACGGTAAATTTCAGATTTAAAACATCCTCCTTAATGCCAAGAATTAAATACATGAATGGGTTCTCAGAGCTTCCCTCAGTTACATTGTGGCTTTACTCAGCTTGATACCTGTGGACAGTGTTCATGTCACTTCTGGGTTAGGCAATCCTGATCTGTCCAATCTAAAGTGATGACCTTCAGTGCTTTTTTGCTTTTTTCTTATGTCAGGAAGTCAGGCATTTATTGAACTTTAAGGACAGACTTTAAGAAGGAACACATGAAAAAAACTGACTATTCTTAGTTAGCAGGGAAATGCAAATCAAAACCATGATGAGATACCAAGTTACACCCATTAGGATGTCTGTAATAATAATAATAATAATAAGCGGATGCGTGTAGTCCCAGCTTCTTGGGAGGCTGAGGCAGGAGAATCGCTTGAACCTGGGAGGCGGAGGTTGCAGTGAGCTGAGATTGCACCACTGCACTCCAGCTTGGTGACAGAGCAAGACTCTGTCTCAATAATAATAATAATAATAATAATAATAATAATAATAAGATATTAAGTGTTGATAAATGTGTGGAGAAATTGGAGCCTCATTCATTGCTGGTGGGGATGTAAAATGGTACACCCACTTTGGGAAATAGTCTGGCAGTTCCTAAAAATGTTACATATAGAGTTATCATATGACATAGCAATTCCACTTCTAGGTATCTACCCAAGAGAAAGAGAAAGATATGTCCACATAACAACTTGTACATGAATGTTTATAACAGAATTATTCAAAATAGCCAATAAGGGGAAGCAAACTAAACGTCCATCAACAGATGAATGGAAAAACAAAATGTGGTATATCCAAACAATGGAATGTTATTTGGTAATAAAAGGATTGAATGCAAAAACATGAATGAATGTTGAAAACATTATGTTAAGTGAAAGGAGCCAGGCACAAAAGACCATACATTCTTTGATTCCATTTAAGTGAAATGTCCAAAATAGGCAAATCTATAGAGACGGGAAATAGATTCGTGGTTTCCAGGGGCTGGGAAAAAGAGGGAGTGATTCCCACTGTCTAATGGTGTGATGGTTAATACTGAGTGTCAACTTGATTGGATTGAAGGGTGCAAAGTATTGATCCTGGGTGTGTCTGGGAGGGTGTTGCCAAAGGAGATTAACATTTGAGTCAGTGGGCTGGGGAAGGCACAGCCACCCTTAATCTGGTGGGCAAAATCTAATCAGCTGCCAGCTAATATGAAGCAGGCAGAAAAATGTGAAAAGGCGAGACTGGCCTAGCCTTCCAACCTACATCTTTCTCCCGTGCTGGATGTTTCCTGCCCTCAAACATCGGACTCCAAGTTCTTCAGTTTTGAGACTCAGACTGGCTCTCCTTGCTCCTCAAGCTTGCAGACAGCCTATTGTGGGACTTTGTGATGGTGTAAGTTAATACTTAAGAGACTCCCATATATGCATATGTATATATCCTATTAGTTCTGTCCCTCTAGGGAACCTTGACTAATACAAATGGGTATGGATTTTCTTTTTGGGATGACGGAGTATTTTAAAGTTAGGTAGTGCTGATGGTTGCACAGTATTATGAATGCACTAAAAACTATTGAATTGTACACTGGCATGGATGAATTCTACGTCATGTGAATTGTATCTCAATAATGCTGTTATTTAAGAAAAAAAGGAGAAAGAAAGGAAGGAAGGCAAAAGGAAGAAAGAAGGAAAGAAAGAAAGAAGAAAGCAGGCACCCCTACTGCCTGTTCTTGTAGAGCCCAGGGGTCTGGGTCATTCAAGAAACTGGTCCACTAGCAGTTTCTCAAGTCCCCATGCACCTTCTCAACACCACGCTTCTGTTCATCCCATTCATCCTGGGAGGCTCTTCCCAGTTCTGTCTGCTTGGCCCAGTTCCCTTCATACCCACTCTTCCCTGTGGTTTCCACAGAGTGACCTGGCAGGTTGCCCTGCTTTCTTATCTGTGTGCCCAAAGACTGAGCTCTTTTGGGCTTGTCACATGGTGCCATGGTTCCTGGCCACCTGTCCATCTTCCTGATTACTCTGAAGGTTTGTGGAGGGTCAGGAAACAATTGCAGTTATTTTTGAGCACCTAGCAGCTGGCACAGGACCTGGCAGAGAGCAAAAGCGGGTAATCGCATGTGGAGTGGAACTGCGGCTATCCACACAAAGGCCTTCCATACACGCACACCAACCCCCCACCCCCCAACCCCATCCCAGGGTAAAGCCAAGGCAGAATTCACTGCATTTCTTTTTAGCCAGTTTCCTCCTTCCTGTTAAATTTAGGGCAAATGATCAGCTATGTGTGTTGTGATTGTGATTAAAAAAAAAAAATCCCCAGGTTTGTAATCCAATTCAGGAAACTGGAGATTCTACTAACCAGTGCTGAGAAAGACTGGCAGGTTCTGCTAGAAATTCAGAACGCCAAAAAAGTCAAAGGCGATTACCTTGAAAATAGCAATTTACCTTATGCTACCAACTTATTTTGCCTTCTGTAGAATAAGTAAAATTGATTTAATTTAATAATGTGTTTGCCAATTCTGAGAAAACTTGGTCAAAGTAGTAAATAATTTCTTGGAAGATACATATTTGCTGCCTAAATGCCAAATTATTTTGTTCACAGTTTAGATACATTCCATAAATGTTTTTGAGAGTATCAATGGAAAATTCTGACTGCAAATTGATCAGTGCTGGCCTGCCCCAATTACAGTTTGTATTACATAGGAATTTTGGTTGCAAAGGACAGAATGTCCTATGAACTGTCTAACCAAGAAGAGAAATCCATTTTAAGGGCATTGAGACCTCTATGAACCTAAGGCCTGGGAGGCTACTGAGCTTCAGAGCAGAATAGAATCAGGCCCTGGAATTCATTGGGACTCTCAGGAAGAACACTGCCAGGGACTCCAGTTTCTGCTTCCCCCAGTCTCTGGGTCAGCCTTTGCTTTGCTACCCAAAGGCCATCTCTGCCTCCCAGCCAACACATTTTAAAATGGCGCCCCAGCAGCTCCTATGTTCATATTGGCTTCATTCAAGACAAGAGTCAAGCTTACGTGGAAACAGCCTCATTTCCAAATTACATACACATTTTAAAGTTAATCTTGGTAAATTTCAGATTAAAAACATCCTCTTCCATGCCAGGAATTAAGTACACAAATGGAACTTCTCTGCACACACAAAGAGTTCTTTGGTCTGGCTTGAGCCAGGTGCCCAGCATAGTGATATATGAACCTGGATGTTCCCTGTGGGCCACATAGATGAACAAAGCAGGCTCAGTCCCAGCAGAAGGAAGGGCCTGCTGGGCAGATAAAACAATTGTGCCTGCCATACAGGGACAGAGCTCTCGGCTCCTCCTCTGCAACTTTGGCACCACTTCCCTACAACCACACTGGAATTTCCCTGAGCTCTTTTCCATGCAGCTCAATAACAACAGTAAATAATCATTTACCATTCTGACCATTTTTTTCTAAACTCTTTTTTCATTCTATTTCCTTAAAAGAGATGCTTTCTTCCCTAGCAATTTATAAATGCCTGTGTTGCAATATGGATTATTATTATTTTTTGAGATGGTATCTTACTATGTTGCCCAGACTGGACTCAAACTAGGCTCAATCAATCCTCCTGCTTCAGCCTCCCGAGTAGCTGGTATCACAGGCATGTGCCACCACTCTCAGCTAATATGGATTATTTTATAGGTAACACTTGGAAAAGTTGAAGTTCCATGGAGACCCTCTAGAGGTGCGGGGCTAGCTGGCAATGGGATATAGTGGGTGGAGTCAAGGGAATGAGGAACGGGTGTTAAGATCTCAGATCTCCAGTCAGTATTCATAGTTGGCCTACATTCTCCACTGTGGACCGCTGTTGGAATCAGGAGTCAGGTTGGAGGTCTAGTCAACAAGAGGAGAGGAGAAGGAAAAGGACATTTGGCTGCTTCCATAGGTGTCTAGGGCTGGTTCACTAGAACCCCAGGCTTGGGTGGCTATGGGGTATAGATCACACCGGTAAAAGATGACAACCCGTGCTCTTCTGCCCAGCTGAGTCCAAGGGAGGTGAGGCTTTGGTATCCAGAGCTAGAGACTAGGGGACTGCTGGGCCCGGAAGTCCAGGGGCTTTGGCCATCAGCTTGTCCAGAGATGGCAGTTATGGAGGGAGTGTGGAGAGGGGTCGTGGGCTGGCAGATTTTCATAGGCTTCTAGGCCCTGAGCCTGGATGGGATTCAGAGACAGGTTCAGGAGGTAGCAGGAAGTCAAGATAAGCTGCTGCTTAGTCACAAGGTTGAAGGGGGCAATGGAGAGGTATCTTGGGATGGTCTCCACCCACTGCTGTGGCTGAAGGTTCTAATATCTTCTCTTCCAGGACTGGGTGGGGCTGAGACGGCAGTTGCAATGTGTATTATTAGTCCATTCTCACATTGCTGTAAAGAAATACCTGAGGCTGGGTAATTTATAAAGAAAAGAGGTTTTCTTGGCTTATGGTTCTGGAGGCTGTACAGGAAGCATGATGCTGGCATGTGCTTAGCTTCTGGGAGCCCTCAGGAAACTTACAATCATGGCGGAAGGTGAAGGGGGAGCCGGTCCATCACATGGCCAGATTTGGAGGGAGAGAGAGGAGAAAGATGCTATCACCAGGACAGTACCAAGAGGATGGTGCTAAACCATTCATGAAAAATCCACTCCCATAATCCAATCACCTCCCACCAGGCCTCCCCTCCAGCATTGGGGATTACATGTTGACATGAGATTATATCACAAGGCGACTCAGGAAGGTAGGGACTGGCCATTTGGAGTGACAGATAGTGCCCAGGTCCAGGGTCTGAAGACCTGGGTTCTCATGAGAGCTCTCTCCCTATTAGTCATTGATCTCACAGCATTTCCCATCTCTGCAAGGAGGCTTCCTCCACTGTAAAATAGGAAGAAGAAAAGTAACTCCCTGTGAGACTTAAATAAGGTCACAGACTTCAAGCCTCTTACACAGATAATTAGGCACAAGGGAAGCTTAATGGGTGTCAATGCCCTGCCCTCAGCTTCCCCTTCCCCTTCCCCTCCTTCTCCTTTTCCTCTCCTTCTCCTTCTTCATCTCACTCCAATTGCCCAGGCTGGAGTGCAGTGGCATGATCTTGGCTCACTGCAGCCTCGACCTTCCTGGCTCAGGTGATTCTCCCACCTCAGCCTCCAGAGTAGTTGGGACGACAGGCATGTGCCACCACGCCTGGTTAATTTTTGGTATTTTTTGTAGAGATGGGTTTTTGCCATGTTGCTCAGGCTGGTCTCGAACTCCTGGGCTCAAGGGATCTGCCCGCCTTCGTCTCCCAAAGTGCTGGGATTACAGATGATGTGAGCCACTGCACCCGGCCCCCTTGGCTTCTTCGAATGCTGAATAAAATATCTGTCTCCTTGCCTTATAAAAGAGGATAGCAAATTTCCTTCTGACATCACAGGGATATTTGCAGGTACAAATGTTCTGATGCACATGAGGGTGCCCCAGCTGTGATTAGTAGTGAATGCTGAATACTCCTCTGTCCTCTAATTTCCCAGTCTCTCTTGAAGTTAGGTTGGGACTAGGTTCCAGCTCATGTGATGTGGGCAGAAGTTATATCAGCCACGTCCAATCTTGACTTTAAGAACACCCTCCAGATTCCCCAGTTCTCTCCCTTCTTCTGCCATAACCACCTTGGAAGCCGGGGAAGTAAGGGGGTGCCCCACCTGCACTGTGAGAAATCAACCTTTGTTGGGGGTTTGTTTTGCAGCATAGCCGAGTCTATTCTGACTAATTCAGGTACTTTGAAATTCCTCAAGGGTTACCCAAAAAACAAACAAACAAACAAACAAAACTCACACATTCAAGATGATGCCAAAGCTACTCCCTGCTTACAGAGATCCATTTGGGAAAGTGTGAAACATATAGGAAATGTACAGCATCCTAATGTTCAGTTGGTATGTTTTCTACAATATAATGCTCTAGGTTTGAGAATTGTTTCACGCTAGTCTTTATATTATATATATATATATATTTGAGATGGAGTCTTGCTCTGTCACCCAGCCTGGAGTGCAGTGGCACGATCTTGGCTCATTGCAACCTCCACCTCCAGGGTTCAAGCCATTCTCCTGCCCCAGCCTCCCAAGTAACTGGGATTACAGGCTCCCACCACCATGCCTGGCTAAGTTTTGTATTTTTAGTAGAGACGGGATTTCACCATGTTGGCCAGGCTGTTCTTGAACCCCTGACCTCAAGTGATCTGCTTACCTTGGCCTCCCAAAGTGCTGGGATTATATGCATAAGCCACTATGCTTGGACTATATTATAAAATTAATACATGCTTATGGTAAAAAAAATTTTAGAGTGTAGAAAGGAACAATCTGAAAAGTAGAAATTACTCTCCCCCTCTTAAACATAGTCCTGTTCCTGAGATAATATTTCTTGTAATTCTTCTCTTCAATTATAAACACTTTTTAAAATAAAAGAAGCACAACTGGGATTCCCTTAAATATATTCTTCAATAATTTGCCTGTTAGCTTTTAATATAGATTACAAATATCTTTCCATGAAGACCTATTTTAAAAATGACAACATAGTATTTCATCATGTAAATATACCATAATTTATTTAAGCAATTTTATGTTTTTCAGGGTTTTTCAATTGCAAATAATGCTGCAGTAAATGTGCATGTCAGCCAGGCACATTAGCTCACACCTGTAATTCCAGCACTTTGGGATGCCAAAGCGGGTGGATCGCTTGAGCCCAGGAGTTCAAAACCAGCCTGGGCAACATGGCAAAATGCCATCTCTGCAAAAAAATACAAAAAATCAGTCAGGCGTGGTGGCATGCACCTGCAGTCCCAGCTACTCAGGAGGCTGAGGCGAGAGGATCACTTGAGCCCGGGAGGTGGAGTTTGCAGTGAGCTGAGATCACATCACTGCACTCCAGCCTGGGCAATAGAGCGAGACTCTGTCTCAAAAACAAAAACAAAACAAAACGAAAAACAACAAAAAAAAACCAAACAAACAAAAAAAGATGTTCATGTTTACATCTTGCAAATTTGTGGAAGTTTATCTGCAGGAACAATTTCTAAAAGGGGAGTTTCTGGGTCAAAGGGTATGTGCTTTGGAAATGCTGAGAGATTGTGCCAAATTGCTTTCCTAAAATACAATAGCAGTTTACATTTCCGAGAAGAGCGCATCAGTGCAGTCACTGCTTTCCAAGGAGGGTTTTTATGTATTTATTCATGCATGCATTCAACCAATCATTCAATCAACCAACCAACCAACCAATCTTCACTGGATTGTCTATCATGTGTCAAGTGCTCTGTGGATAACACGGTGAGGGGAACAGACTTGAACTTTGCCCTCCTTGGGTGACAGTGTAGTGGAGAGTAGCTGTGCACCATTTTATGTATTTTGATATGTGTAGTGAGAAAAAGTATGAGGTACCATGAGACCACAGAGCAGTTGGTAATGATCTACTCTGGGAGCATCAGCTTAGACCATTTGTGGGAATGATCAGCTGGAAGCCCATGTTTAGGCCTTTCAGAAGCTAACAAAAATACTCTCTGTGGCTTGTTTTTCTTCTTCTTTTGCCTTGGTTAATATTTATTTCCTCTCTTCTTTATCACTAGGCACAATGGAGTCCTTCATTTCTCTACATTTCCTTCTTTATTAAATAGGACCAGCTGGTGGTAGCTTGCCTTCCTCTTGTTGTAAAATCATTGTGCCTTCACATTTACTCGATGTTTGGACTTTGTATGACTCTTTTTGTCTTCCTCAAAATTATTATTTAAAAAAATGTTTAATTGGGTAGGGCTCGTGGCTCACGCCTATAATCCCAGCACTTTGGGAGGCCGAGGCAGGTGGATCACCTGAGGTCAGGATTTCGAGACCAGCCTGGCCAACATGGTGAAACGCTGTATCTACTAAAAATGCAAAAATTAGCTGGACGTGGTGGTGCATGCCTATAATCCCAGCCTTTTGGGGTGCCTGTAATCCCAGCTACTTGGGAGACTGAGGCAAGAGAATGGCTTGAACCTAGGAAGCAGTCGTGGCAGTCAGCTGAGATCCTGCCACTGCACTCCAGCCTGGGCGACAGGGCAAGACCCCCATCTCAAAAAAAAAAAAAAGGTTTAATTGATGTAAAAGATACATGACATAAAATTTACCATCTTGACCATTTTAAACAGCACAGTTCAGTCTTGTTAAGGACGTTCATGTTGTACACCAGTCTCTAGAACTCTTTTCATCTTCCCAAATTGAAAATCTGTATCCATTCAGCAGTAACTCGCCCTCTCTCCTCCCCAGGGTAGCCACCACTCTACTGTCTGTCTCTGTGATTCTGGCTACTCCAGGTGCCTCATATAAATGGAATCGGACAGTGTTTGTCCTTTTGTGACTGGCTGCTTTCACTTAGCATAATGTCCTCAAGGTTCATCCATGTTGTAGCATGGGTCAGGACTTCCTTCCTTTTTAAGGCTGAGTAATATTCCCTTGCATGTGTACACCACATCTTGCTTGTCCATTTCTCCCCTGATGGACTCTTTGGTTGCTTCCACCTTTTGGCTGTTGCAAATAACACTGCTACAAACATGGGTATGCAAATAGCTCTTTTAGGTCCTGCTTTTCATTATGTTGAGCATTTACCCAGAAATGGAATTGCTGGATCACATGGTAATTGGTAATCCTATGTTTGGTTTTAGTTGTTGTTTAAAGAGACAGGGTCTTGCTTTGTCCTCCAGGCTGGAGACCAGTGGCACGATCGTAGCTCACTGCATCCTCAAATTCCTGGGCTCAAGCAATCCTCCTGCCTCAGCCTCCCAAAGTGCTAGAATTAAAACCACACCTAGCTCTGTTTTAATTTTCTTTTTTCTTTTTTTTTTTTTTTTGAGATGGAGTCTTACTCTGTTGCCCGGGCTGGAGAGTAGTGGTACGATCGTAGCTCACTACAGCCTCGAACTCCTGGGCTCAAGTGATCCTCTGGCCTCAGACTCCCAAAGTGCTAGAATTACAGGCATGAACCAGCACACCCAGCTCTGTTTTAATTTTTTTTTTTTTTTAGACAGAGTCTCTCTCTGTCACTCAGGCTGGAGTGCAATTAGGTACGATCTCGGCTCACTGCAACCTCTGCCTCCCAGGTTCAAGCGATTCTCCTGCCTCAGCCTCCCAAGTAGCTGGGAAAACAGGCATGTGCCACCATGCCTGGCTAATTTTTTTTTCTTTTCTTTCTCTTTTTTTTTTTTTTTTTTTGAGACAGAGTCTCACTCTGTCACCCAGGCTGGAGTGCAGTGGCGTGATCTCGGCTCACTGCAAGCTCCGCCTCCCAGGTTCGAGCCATTCTCCTGCCTCAGCCTCCCGAGTAGCTGGGACCACAGGCACCTGCCACCACGCCTGGCTAATATTTTGTATCTTTTTTTTTTTTAAGTAGAGATGGGGTTTCACCATGTTGGCCAGGCTGGTCTCGAACTCCTGACCTCAAATGATCCACCCGCCTCAGCCTCCCAGAGTACTGGGATTACAGGTGTGAGCCACCACACCCAGTCTGTTTTAATTTTTTTTTTATATAGAATCCATCCTAACGGGCATGACGTAGTATCTCATTGTAGTTTTGATTTGCACTTCCCTAATAGTGACTGATGTTGAGCATCTTTTCATGTGCTTCTTGGCCATTTGGATATCTTGGCAGAAATATCTAGTCAAGTGCTTGGCTCATTTTTTAATCAGGTTGTTTGCTTTTTTGTTGCTGTATTTTTCCTTTTTAAGATAAACATATGCAGAAGTGAGCAGGGTGAATTCTGAAAGTTATCATTGAAGCTTTTATTCTGAAACTCCTGGCCCTGGGCCACATTCTCAAACTAAAGAAAAACCATTTTTCCCACTCAAGGCTCAAGTTCAATACCCACAGAATGTTTCCGGAGTGCTGACTTCATGCCAAGAGGGCATTGTCTTCCTTCAAGGACTGTGTGGCCTGTTCCTGCTACGGTGTTGCTCTCCCGGCTGGGAGGCTGGCAGGCGACCACTCAGCCACCAACCTGTGCTTGAGGGGGGAGTGGCCTGGGGAAGGCGCGTGTGCCAAGACTTTCTTCTGATCCTGCTCCCCAAGGCCACCTAGTTGTTGTCCTCCTTCCTTAGAGTCCTGAGAGCAGCTTCCTAGAGGTCTTTCGTTCACCCAACGGTAGCCAGAATTTAGGCCCAGCTGACCACAGCCCTCTCTCTCCCTGGTGGTAGTGGGGAGTGGAAACAAGGCTTCTCCTGGGGAGTCACAACCCGCTAGTGCAGAGGCAGGCTCCTGTGGACCTCCAAGGGCCCCTCTAGGTTCTGCGTCTTCTCTCCCTGGTTCCCCGTTTCTTCCCTTTTGCACCCTGCAGCAAGCAGTCCCTCAGGTCTCACGGGGAAGAAACTTTGTGTCCTTCAGATTCTATCAGCTAAAATATTTCTGAGGCAAACAATCCTTTTTCTTACAAATATTGACCAACTGTCAGTGCATACCTCTGATTCGGTGACTTAGGCCAGCAAAGTTTCTGTTCGTATGAGTGAGGTCTGCCCAGAAAGTGGGATTGGGAAGGAAAGAAGGGATAAGAGGCTCCCAAGTAAGATTTCATTTAAAAGAAGTGTTCCTCTCGTTTAAAAGGAAACGAGGAAGGAAGAAAGAGGGAGGAAAAGAAGGAAGAGAAAGAGAGAGAGAGGAAAGAAGGAAGGAAGGCAGGGAGGGAGGGAGGGAGGGAAGTAAGGGAGGGAGGGAGGGAGGGAGGGAAGGAAGGAAGGGAGTATAACAAAATTATGTTTGAAAACTACCTCTCCTGGTAGTGGGTGCAACTAGGAGAGTGGTGACCCAGGGCTATGTCTGCAGTGATTCTGGACTTCTTTTTCCTTCTGGAGGCTTGGATAAATATTTGTGAAAGGTTTTTTTGTTGTTATTGCTGTTGTTGTTGGGACGGAGTCTCACTCTGTTGCCCAGGCTGGAGTGTGGCACGATCTCGCTCACTGCAACCTCCACCTCCTGGGTTCAAGCAATTCTCCTGTCTCAGCCTCCGAAGTAGCTGGGATTACAAGCCCCCACCACCACATCCAGCTATTTTTTTGTATTTTCGATAGAGACAGGGTTTCACCATGTTGGCCAGGCCGGTTTCGAACTCCTGACCTCAAGTGGTCCTCCCACCTTGGCCTCCCAAAGTGCTAGGATTACAGGCATGAGCCACCGTGCCCGGCCTTGTGGAAGGTTTTAAGTCTCTTGACCAGGATGTTCCATCTTGGTGTGATGACCGCTGCGTGTTTAGGAAATCAAAGGTTGTTTTCCACACAATTTCAGCACAATTACAGATGAGCATTCAGAGACCAGGGAGGACCCCCCAGCTTTCTTGCTCTGCCCTCGGAGAATAAGGCGTTACCAGCCTGTCCTGTGACTCCTCACTTGAATCCTCACATCCACACCAAGGGCTTGGCTGGATTTCCTTCATCTCATGCTCTCATGACTTGGAGGAAGAGTAGCAAGGTACAGAGAATTTGTGTGTTTCATGTCTGAACTCCACAGCCCCCAAATGTGACAGCAGAGAATGGCCTTTCAGCAGCCCACAATCCCTCAAATAGGAAAGTCTGCATAGCACCCCAAACATTTTTATTTTTTAAAATAATTAATTAATTAATTTTTTTGAGACAGAGTTTCACTCTGTCACCAGGCTGAGGTGTAGTGATGTGATCCCAGCTCATTGCAACCTCTGCCTCCAGGCTCAAATGAGTAGCTGGGATTACAGGCGTGCGCCACCACACCCAGCTAATTTTTGTATTTTTAGTAGAGATGGGGTTTTGCCATGTTGACCAGGCTGGTCTCAAACTCTTGGCTTCATGTGATCTGCCCCCCTCAACCTCCCAAAGTGTTGGGATTACAGGCGTGAGCCACCACGCTTGGCACCTCATTTTTAGAGCTCACTGTCAACACTGACTTATTGAATATTAAAAGTCATCATATAATTTTGGGATTGGGAAGGGTGAGAACTGGAAAATATTTTTTGTTTTGGTCAATGTTTATCTGTATTCCTACTTGAAATTTTTATAATAAGCCTATAGAGGGAATTTCTTTTTTAAATATAAAACCCATGTGACTAGATCCTTAAATATGATGTAGGTATTAGGATTATTTCCATCTAGGGAAGGAATCTACAATTTTGGAACTGTAATGCAGGTTGGAGGCAGTGGAATTTCTCTCTTTCTTTCTTTCTCTCTCTCTCTGTCCCTCTCTCTCTCTTTCTTTCGACAGAGTCTTGATCCACTGCCCCAGACTGGAGTGTGGCATGATCTCGGCTCACTGCAACCTCTGCCTCCTGGGGTTCAAGCAATTATTCTGCCTCAGCCTCCCAAGTGGCTGGGATGACAAGCACCCGCCACCATGTGCAGCTATTTTTTTTTTTTTTTTTTTGTATTTTTAGTAGAGACAGGGTTTCACCATGTTGGCTAGCCTGGTCTCGAACCTCTGACCTCCACCCGCCTTGGCCTCCCAAAGTGCTGGGATTACTGGTGTGAGCCACCACACCCAGCCAAATGTCTTAAGTCATAGAACTGATATCCCGTTCTGGCTACACTGAGGGCAGACAGCTGAGTAAAGTTTTCTCTATTTCTTTCTCATAGTATACATTCTATTTGAGTTGTGCTTTCAAGATTCAAAGCACCTAACTTACTTCATATCAACCCTATGAGTTTGGGAGGCACAGATTCTTTTTCTCACTTTACAGCTTAGGAAGCTGAGGTCCAATGAGATTAAATGACTTGCCTGCCCTAAGATATGAATACCAGGGCCCAGATGTGAAATTAAAATCCTATTTATTCTCTTCCATACCAGGGATTTACAAACTCTTCAATAAGAGTAGGGCTGTTCTTCTATATTATGTTTTCTATATTACAATTTGCACTACAAGACTTTCTCTAAAGATTTTGCTTTATGGTCTCTGGCCCTCTGCTGTGTCCCCTGAGGACTTTCCGTAGTATTGAGCCCGGGCAACACTTCCTAAGGCCAGACTTTACAATTGCAGGGCATCCTTTTCCAAAGGTGTTTGCACCAAGGAGAGTTTCAAACTTCGATTGCTTTTAAGATCTAAAGGAAATGAACCTCAGGTGTGGTAATGTTCCAGGTCTGAGACAGGTGTTACTATAGGGACGGGGCTTCAGATCTTTTGCTTCCTGGAGAGTTGGTCACATTGTAGTCACCTGAAGCCTATTTTTCCTTTTAGCCTTAGTTGCATCCATTTAGACTCTCATTAAGGTTTAAAAAGCAGCTTTATTATTTTCAGGTACAGAGGATTCCAGCTCAGCTTATTGCCATGATAGCTACTGAGTGACCATGTCATCTTGGCCTTTATGTTAATTCATTTTGGTCTTTATACCACACACTCCAACACTGCTCACTGGGTTGGGCAAACTTATTCACAGTCTTTCCACAGTCTGTCCTTTTGTCAGTCTCCTTAAATTCAGTATAAAGGAAATATTTATTGTCTAGGAAAGAAAGGAAAAAAACAACAATAACAAAACAACCCAGAATTCAGGAATTGTGGTAGTCACTTCCTTAAAAGAAAAGGGAAACTGTCTTCTATTTTTGACACCTAAAAAAAGTTTTGTCACATATTGCCCATGAAAGTAACTTAAACTCCATTAAAAAACCCCAAAAACCAACCAAAAGCACCACCTCCCCAACCTCGTTTAACAGTATCTATTGGGAGGTTTTCTTTGGGGCAGGGTGCGAGGGTGAGAACAGAGTAGTATCGACCAGGAAGTTTTATTTTTCTTTACTTGTGTATTGCTTGAATTTTCTAAAGCGAGTTTGTATTACTTCTGTGATCAGGAAAAGCAATAAAGAGAAATTATTTCCTTGAGGGTAAAAATGTTGGTAAGGAATAAGTGTGCCTTTAGAAAACAATTTCTGGAAAGCCTTATGCAATTGCAGGTAAGCTTCTGTTGCTAGGGGGTTGCTAAGGAACATCAAGTTCCTAATAGAATCCTGAGCAGTGATCAATGGCTGCAAGAAAATGTCACATTCCTTTAATGGGCAGGAGAACATTCTTTCCTTTTGATTGAAAGGGATCCAGGCAAAGTTCAGGGTTACCATACAAGGAGGCTACTTTTGCTTTTGGAAAGCCAGTGAGAGGGGTTAGGGCCAATGGAGGTGGGAAATAGACCAGATACCCCGTGGAAGACCTGAGGCATGGAGTTTGGCATGACACAGACACATCACGTATTTCTAAATCTCACTACTGTCCTGAAAGTTAAACAATCATGATGCCATAGGCAGATAAAGAAGCTCAGAAGTAATGTGTTTGCCCAGATCCTATAGTTATTAATTACAAGCCTGGGACTGAAACCCAAGTCTGTCTGGTGCCAAAGATTATGTTTTTTTCACTGTGCTAGTCCTCGTCTGAGAGAAATGGAGAATCATTGGGGGATGACTTCTGATAAAAATGGCCAACGAAAGCTGTTGCAGAAATGAACTGAAATATTCACACTCAGCAAGTGTTACCTTTTTGTCATTAATCGGTTCTGGCATCTCAAAGCCAGGTTTAGCCTTGGAGCATTGGATTCAGGAAAGGATTAACTGTTGCAAATTATAGAGATGTATTTGAATCTACATCTCTGCATAATAGGATTGGAATAAGTTCATGAGAGTTAAGAAGTACTGATAAATGTATCAAATTAAAATTAGACATTTAAGTAATTTCAGTCACTGCTGGAGAAGGAGAAAGTTGTAGGCTGTTTTAAATGTGGGTGATTTTTTTCCCATTCCTTCTAATGGCTTCGGGAATTGGGTTAGTGACAAGGATCTGGGTCAAAGTCTACTCTTTACTTCAAATCCCCATTTTCTGCAAAGGCTTGGCTTGCCTGACAAGGACACCAATCAAGAGTCTGAGGACAGGGAATTGTATTGGAGAGGGGAGGGATTCTCCCTAAAGGCAACACTGGAAAAAGCCAAGATTCAAATGATGGGAGGATCACATGTTTAAACTCTATGCATAAATGTTGACGGACTATATTGAAATATCAAATCTAGGTGTGGTGACTCATACCTGTAATCCCAACACTCTGAGAGACTGAGGCAGGAGGATGGCTTGAGCCCAGGAATTTGAGAACAGTCTAGGAAATACAGTGAGACTCTGTCTCTACAAAAAAAATTAAACATAAAAAAATTAGCCAGGTGTGGTGGCACACACCTATAGTCCTAGTGTATTAGTCCATTCTTGCATTGCTGTAAATAACTACCTGAGACTGGATAATTTGTAAAGAAAAGAGGTTTAATTGACTCACAGTTCCACAGGCTGTACAGGAAGCATGGCTGGGGAGGCCTCAGGAAACTTACAATCGTGGCAGAAGACAAAGCGGAAGCAAGCATGTCTTACATGGTGGGAGCAGGATGAAGAGAGCAAGGGGGAGGTGCTACACACTTTCAAACAACCAGAACTTGTGAGTATTCTATCATGAGACAGCACTAGGGACATGGTGCTAAACCATAAGGAACCACTGCCATGATCCAATCATCTCCCACTAGGCCCCACCTCCAACACTGGGAATCACAGTTCAACATGACATTTGGTTGGGGACACAGAGCCAATTCTACCTCAAGGCATATTATTCCACCCTGGCCCCTCCCAAATCTCATGTCCTTCTCACATTGCAAAATATAATCATCCCTTCTAAACAGTCCCCCAAAGTTTTAACTCATTTCAGCATTAACTCAAAAGTTCACAGTCCAAAGTCTCATATGAGACAAGGCAAGTCCCTTTTGCCTATGAGCCTGTAAAATAAAAACAATGGGTATACAAGCATTGGGTAAATACTTCCATTCCAAAAGAAAATAATTGGCCAAAGCAAAGGGGCTACAGGCCCCATGCAAGTCTGAAACCCAGCAGGGCAGTCGTTAAATTTCAAAGCTCCAAAATAATCTCCTTTAACTCCATATCTCATATCCTGACCACACTGATGCAAGGGGTGGGCTCTGAGGCCTTGGGCAGCTCTGCCCCTGTGGCTCTGCAGGGTACAGCCCCAGGGCAGTTTTCATGGACTGGCATTGAGTGTCTGCAGCTTTTCCAGGCACACAGTGCAAGCTGTAGGAGGATCTACCATTTTGGGGTCTGGAGGATGGTGGCCCTCTCCTCACAATTCCACTAGGCAGTGCCTCAGTGGGGACTCTGTGTGGGGGCTACAACCTCACATTTTCCATTCACACTGCCCTAGCAGAGGTTCTCCGTGAGGGCTCCACCCCTGCAGCAGACTTCTGCTTGGAATCCAGGTGTTTTTATACATTCTCTGAAATCTAGGCAGAGGCTCCCAAGCATGAACTCTTGCCCTCTACACACTTGCAGGCTTTAACACCACTTGGAAGCCACCAAGGCTTGTAGCTTGTGCCCTCAGGAGCAGCAGCCTGAGACATATATGGGGCCCTTTTAGCCATGGCTGGAGCTGGAGTGGCTGGAACACAGGGAGCAGTGTCCTGAGATTGCACAGGGCAGCATGGTCATGGTCCTGGCCCACGATATCATTCTTCCCTCCTAGTGCTCTGGGTCTGTGATGGGAGGGGCTGCTGTGAAGATCTCTGAAATACCTTCCAAGCATTTTCCCCATTGTCTTGGCTATTAACCTTTGACCACTCTTTACTTTTGCAAATTTCTGCAGCCAGCTTGAATTCCTCCCCAGAAAATGGGGTTTTCTTTTTTACCATATGGCCAGGCTGAAAATTTTCTAATATTTCACATTCTGCTTCCCATTTAAACTTAAGTTCCAGTTTCAGATCATCTCTTTGCTCATGCATATAAGCCTGAGCTTGAGTGCTCTGCTGCTTAAACATTTCTTCCTCCAGATACCCTAAATCATCTCTCTCAAGTTCAAAATTCCACAGATCTCTAGGGCAGGGACACAATGCCTCCAACCTCTTTGCTAACTCATAACAAAGGTGACTTTTGCTCCAGTTCCTAATAAGTTCCTCATCTTCATCTGAGACCTCCTCAGCTTGGACTTCATGGTCCATATCACTATCAGCCTTTGGTCACAACAATTTAACAAGTCTCTAGGAAGTTCCAAACTTTCCCTTATCTTCCTGTCTTCTGAGCCCTCCACACTCTTCCTGTTATCCAGTTTCAAAGTCACGTTCACATTGTCAGGTATCTTTATAGCAATGCCTTCACTTTTGGTCCCAATTTTCTGTATTAGTTCATTCTTGCATTGCCATAAAGAGACTGGCTAATTTGTATAGAAAAGAGGTTTAATTGACTCACAGTTCCACAGGCTGTATAGGAAGCATGGCTAGGGAGGCCTCAGGAAACTTACAATCATGGCAGAAGACAAAGAGGAAGCAAGCATGTCTGTCTTACATGTCAGGAGCAGGAGCAAGAGAGAAGGGAGAGGTGCTACACACTTTTGAACAACCAGATCTTGTGAGCATTCTATTACGAGACAGCACTAAGGAGATGGTGCTAAACCATCAGAAACTGCCCCAATGATCCAATCACCTCCTACCAGGCCCCACTTTCAACACTGGGGATTACAACTGGACGTTTGGAGATTTGGGTGGGGACACAAATCCAAAGCATATCACCTAGCTGCTTGGGAGGCTGAGGTGGGAGGATTGCATGAGCCCAGGAGTTTGAGGCTGTAGCGAGCCATGATTGCACCAGTGCACTCCAGCTTGGGTGACAGAGTGAGACCCTGTTTCCAAAAAAAAAAAAAAAAAAGAAAGAAAGAAAAATAAAACAAAGAAATATTAAGAGTACAGGAGCTGAGCATGAGATCAAGGTCATAACAAGCTAAGAAAGTCAGAGTGAGTGTGTGATGGTCATAGCATGCCCACAGCTTTCCTTATTTTGTTTATGTGCATGTCCTCTTGAACTGAGCAGGTTTAATGGGAAAATGCAAGGAAGGATAGTCCCAGTGCTTCTTACTCTGGGGTCTTGGACTGGCTTCATGGAAGGACTCCATGGGCAGCTCCTGTAATTGTCTGCAGTATTTTGTGTACATGCATCCAACTCATTTTTTTTTTCTTTTCTGCTCTGGCTCTTATTTGTTGGCTACTGCTGCCTGCAAGACCTCACAGCTCCCCTGGCTGGTGGTTTTCATCATGTTGGGCACATGTGCATGCCAAGGATGCTGCCTCCAGGCGTCTCTAAAGCTGATGGCTTTTTGTGAGTCAAGAGTGGAACTGGTTCAGAAGAGAGGTAAAGAGAAGGGCCTTTCCCCCGTTCATGCTTTGTACATGCTTTGTCATGTCACCTCTCAATGCTCTGTTCTGCTCAGAGACTCACAGTGTTCTTTCATGAAAGCAGTTCCTTCAGCACCCAGCCCAAACCCTCTTAACACAGGGCCCCAAACCTAGTTCAAAGGCCGAAGGCTGCAGAAAGGAACTGCTGCTCCCCCTCATTTATCTGCTATGATGACCCTTCTCTCCGAACTAAAACCTTCCCTTTATAACCTCACTACTATGCACATTAGTTTCTTTTTTTGGTATTTTTGTATATTTTTAATTGACAAAATTGTATATATTAATGGGGTAGAGCATAAGTTTTTGGAAACACGCAGGCATGGGAGAATGGCTTGTATTAGTTTCCTATTGCTGCTGTAATAAATTTTCACAAACTCAGAGGCTTAAAACAATACACATTTATTTATTTATTTATTATTTTATTTTACTTTTTTTTTTTTTTTTTTTGAGACAAAATCTTGCTCTGTTGCCCAGGCTGGAGTGCGATGCTGCAATCACAGCTTACTGCAGCCTTGACCTCCCGGACCTAAGAGATCTTCCCATTTCAACTTCCTGAGTAGCCGGGACTACAGGCATGCACCACCACACCTGGCCAATGAAAAAAAAATTGTTTTTGGTAGAGATGGGGTCGCCTTATGTTGCCCAGGCTGGTCTCAAACTCCTGGGCTCAAGCAACCATCCCTCGATGGTCTCTCAAAGTGCCAGGATTACAGGCATGAACCATTGCACCCAGCCACAAATTTATTATAGAACTTATATAGAAAGATTCCAAAATGGATCTCACGGCTAAGATCAGGTGTTGGGAGGGCTGCTTTTCATCTGGAGGCTCTAGGGGAGAATCTGTTGATCTGTTTTCTTGCCTTTTTCATACTCCTAGAGGCCACTGGCATTCCTTACCTTGTGGTCCTCTTCCATCTCCAAAGCCAGAATCATCCAAATTCATGTTTCTTACATCACACATCTTGACTCCGACTCTTTGGCCACTTTATTTCACATTAAAGAACCTGGTGATTACATTAGACCCACTCAGGGGCTGCTACCAGATAATCCAGGACAATCTCTCCATTTTAGGATCAGCTGATGAGTAACCGTAATTTCCCCTTGCCATGTAATGTGACCTATTCCCAGGTTTTGGGGATTAGGACATGAATATCTTCGTGGGGAGGGCCACTATCTGCCGATCATCCTATACGAATATAATTCTAGGTGCAAACAATCCAAATGGCAGGCACTATTATCTACACCAGGAATCTGGCCCAACTCAGCCAGCCAATATTCCCTGCTGTGGTCATAGCTATTATTATTACATAGAATGTGCACTTACATAGGGAAGTATTGTTTTGTCTGTTCATCTCTCTCCTGGTGAGAGCACTTTCCTTCCAGTGTGTGGGTGGGCTTGAGATCCTACGGTTAGAGGACTCAGAGCCGGGAGCTAACACTCATTGACTCAGGTCGACGTTGATGGATCTGGTCTGAGAACCTGACCCAAGCCAGGCTGCTCAGCACATCTGAAAGTCCCTGGGACTTCTCACACCGCACCTGTAAAGGTGGAGTCTGTCTCTGATGATGGGAGACCCAAGATATCACATGTGGCAGGTGCTGGCCACCATACTTCCAGCCACATGGGGAAAGCCAGCTTAGGCTGATAGGGAATAAGGCTGGAAAGCAGAGATGAGCCTGAGATGGGAGAATGAGAAAGACACACACACTTGGAGTCCCAGCTCTGGTACTTTCAGCTGCTTTGCAACCTGATCGTCCCATGTGGGCGTTCATTAACCTCTCCTTCTACTGCATCAACTGTCACGGTGTTCTTCCAATAACTTCTCCCTTTTGTCTAAGCTAGTAGGTTTTTGTAGCTAACAGGTAAAATAATCTTCACTAATACTACTTATTGTAGAAATAAAGACAAAATGTGTAAAAGGAGCCTAGAGTTAATAAGAAAAGGTGTCTGTTATAAGGAGGAGGAAAAGCCTGAAACAACAACAAAAAAATACAGACATTTTGAGTGTGAAAAAGAGAAGAAAGAGACATGAGGAATCAAAGCATAGGAGTGTTAAAATGGGAAAATGAGTTCCTCCCTTCACAGGTCTTCAAGTAGAGGCTGATAGAAAGATAATTTGTGGGCCAGGCGTGGTGACTCATACCTGTAATCCTAGCACTTTGGGAGGCCGAGGTGGGTGGATCACGAGGTCAGGAGTTTGAGACCAGCCTGACCAACATGGTGAAACCCCATCTCTACTAAAAAATACAAAAATTAGCCAGGTATGGTGGCGCATGCCTGTAATCCCAGCTACTCAGGAGGCTGAGGCAGAAGAATCGCTTGAACCTGGGAGGCAGAGGTTGCAGTGAGCCGAGATCACACCACTGCACTCCAGCCTGGGCAACAGAGCAAGACTCCATCTCAAAAAAAAAAAAAAAGAAAGAAAGAAAAAAAGAAAGATAATTTGTGCATTTGTATAATGATGTTTCAGATCGCTGATGCATCTGAAATTCTATGACTAGGATACTCCAGTGCTCTAGTTTTCTACCTCCCTTTCTCTCTTTCTCTACAACTTTCACTCTCTAGCTTTCAATTCATGGAGAGAAATCCAAAAGCTAAATAAAAATTACAGACCAGAGAGGAAGAAAACTCTGTTAGGTGGTGATGACCTACAGGGCTGTCCTCAATGTAGTTTCAGAAAGCAGTTTCTAGGACCTGCCTCCCAAATTGTGAAAGGTTTTGTAGGATGAAGGATATTGCATGTGGCTTCCTGCACATGAGGGTATATCTCATGTGTTGTGGTGCCTCAATGCTTATCTTCAGAATTGTAGAGCTGGAGAGGAGAGAGTTAAGTTATACTCCCCAAAATGAGAGAAATTAAATTATTCGTTGAACAGAGGACTGGTAGAATGGGCACTGGCTACAGGAAGCTTAGAGGAGACGTAACCAGAGTTTTTATGACAAGGCTGGAAGAGAGGTGCAGGAATGATAGGTCACAGGAAGAAATGCATTCAGGTGCCTTTCCCCAGCTTGAGGCAGGGCAGGTGTAGATGGATGTTTTGTGATTGGGAAGATGTAGGAGTGGAAAGCTGGGGTACTGGTGGGGGAGGCAGTGTTCTGGGCAAAAGAGTGACATGACAAAGTCGTGTGAAGATTTGGCTGGGACACGGACAGGGTAGTAAATGATATAGTTGAAAACAATTTGCCAGAAAGCCATTTGGGAGAAAGCAAAATGGTCAATGGAAAGCAAATTGGTTGAGACAATAGTTTGGTTCATAATGAACATACATAATATTTTGAGTATTAGTAATTTTCATGCACTAATGGTTGCATGGTTTTGCAACCATTTGCAAGTTTTTTTCAGAATTTTTTCCGCATTTGAATTACTTAAAATTTCTAATTCACATCCAGTGAAGTTTCTTGGCCAAGATTAGCTGGAGCTAGGGGAAAGACAGGTGACCTAGAACTTTTGGTTCAAGAAGTTGTAGCATCTGAACTCGGGGAGAAAATGTGATTAAGTTCCACAGTTAGGTCAGGAGCTATGGCCTGTGAGCTTGGAAAAAAGGATGGAGTCTGGATGTTGGAAAGAGGCCGATATGAACATGAAACGAAAGGTCAAGAACAACCTTAGAGCACAGGTCATCTGGACTGTGGTCCAGAGGTGAAATGGTCATGGTAGAGTATTTCCAAATCAAGGCTTTTGTAAGCCTTAAATTCCACCCTTATGAGTAACAACTCTGAGTCATAAGGTAGTGGAGAGAATGCCTGACAATACTCAAATCTGAGGTCAATACGTGCATTAGTCTGTTCTTGCAGTGCTATAAAGACATACGTGAGATGGGGTAATTTACTTTGAAGACAGGTTTAATTGGTTGACAGTTCTGCGAGCTGTACAGACTTCTGCTTCTAGAGAAGCCTCAGGAAACTTACGATCCTGGCGGAAGGTGAAGGGAAAGCAGGCACGTCTTACCATGGTGGAGCCCCAGAGAGAGAGAGAGAGAGAGAAGGGGGAGGTGCCACACACTTTCAAACAGCCAGATCTCGTGAGAACTCTATCGTGAGACAGTACTAGACGGATGGGGCTAAAGCGTTAGAAACCACCCTCTTGATCCAATCACCTCCCACCAGGCCCCACCTCCAACACTGGGGATCAAAATTCAACATGAGGTTTGGGTGGGGATACAGAGCCAAACCATGTCAGCACAGCCTTCCCAGAGGTCTCCTCTGCTGTCTTTCCACTCTTTGGAAGAATGTCAGGGGCTGATGGAAGGCTTTGAAACCGAAAGGGACCTACCAGGGGGAACCTCATATGAACAGGAAGAGCCGGCAGGAGCTGCACTGCCCACAATAACGTACTCTCTTGCGAGAGAAAATCCATTCTCCTGTTCAGCTGACCCCATCGCAGGACCTTCTGCCCTCTTTGGATGTCATTGGTTGCCACTATAAACTGAGCATGTCAGTACATAGAGAGAGGCCTTTCTTTTGATGTTTGATCGCCTTTTGATTTGATTTATTTGGATTCTACAGCTTCTTTTTTTTCCCCCAAGATGGAGTCTCACTTTGTGGCCCAGACTGGAGTGCAGTGGTGCGATCTTGGCTCACTGCAATCTCTGCCTTCTGAGTTCAAGCGATTCTCCTGCCTTAGTGTCCTGAGTAGCTGGGACTACAGGTACACACCACCATGCCCAGCTAATGTTTTGTATTTTTAGTAGAGACTGGGTTTCACCGTGTTAGCCAGGATGGTCTTGATCTTCTGACCTCCTGATCCGCTTGCCTCGGCCTCCCAAAGTGCTGGGATTATAGGCGTGAGCCACCGCGCCAGGCGAGATTCTATCACTTCTAACTGAACCCTTTCATCGCACCTTCCCCAGGGTTGTGTGTAACATGCAGACATCGCAGAGTTTCTGAAAACTATTCTGTGGTGACGGCTTTCTCATTGAAAACCTGAGGACCAGAGCCTGTGGCGTGGTTGAGTGCCTTACAAGAGTGTTTTCTAATTAAAAAAAAGTCATAATGCCCATGCCAACAATTTAGACAACTAAGAGATATAAAATGAAGACAAAATTCTTCTTCCTATCTCAGGACCTCAATTTTTTCCCCTGAGGGACTCCTGTCATTTTCCAGGGGTAGGCTATTACCCGTATATCATTCCAGAAATGTCCATGCTTGTATTTATTTTTGAACTAACAACCAATCCCTTTTAATCAGTTGTCATTATTTTCCTCTGGTAACTCTGTCTTGAAACCAGGCTGCAGTACCCACGATGAGCACCATCTCTAAAACAAGAAGAGCCAGCCGGGCATAGTGGCTCATGCCTGTAATCCCAGCACTTTGGGAGGCTGAGGCAGGTGGATCATGTAGTCAGGAGTTCGAGACCAGCCTGGCCAACATAGTGAAACCCTGTCTCTACCAAAAATACAAAAAATTAGCCAGGTGTGGTGGTGGGCACCTGTAATCCCAGCTACTCAGGAGTCTGAGGCAGGAGAATTGCTTGAACCCGGGAAGCAGAGGTTGCAGTGAGCTGAGATCGCGCCACTGCACTCCATCCCCGGGCACAGTGTGAGATTCCGTCTCAAACAACAACAATAACAACAAACAAACAAACAAACAAAAAGAAGAGCCTTTGGCGGACCAGCCTTGCCAGGCACCTTCTCGAAAATCCCATTCTTCCCATTTTGGGCTAATCTTGTCTCTGAATCTGCTACCATCTCTCACCCCGATGGTCACAGCTGACATTGCTGCTGATGGTCAAACCACTGTACTGCGTTTCAAAGTGTTAACGGTTCATTTTCTCCAGCCATAGGCTTGTCTCGGGGACTTAGCCTCTCTTCCTAGGGTGGATTCCTGGTTGGTTGAGGACTTGGACTCATACAGATGGAGGTCTTCATTTCTTAGAGGTACACCGTTGGCTGCAGGGGTAAGGAAGCAAAGCAAAGTCCACATGGCAGGAGGCCACGAGGCACCTCTAGCAAGGCAGCAAACCCCAGCTTCAGGGCCGCCCAGGGCCGCCGGGTTAACAACTGAGAATGTCACCCAGCGGCAAGGGAGAGCTGGCTTCCAGCACATTCTCCAGTGCATCGTGGTATCTTATGTGGCCGATGGCTGTCTGTTTCTGTTCGAAGGTATTATTAGACTGTCACACAGATGGAAATAGCATCGTGCTGGCGATGTCACATACTGATGCCCGATCCGGAATGCGCGCGGAGATGCCTCATTTCATTCCCTTCCTGGGAGGCAGGCGCCATCACTGCTGCAGTCCTCGCTCTGCAAAAACTCTTCCTAGTGTGGATGTTGCTAATTGTCTGCCTTCCTTGCCAGGAAATCTACGGCTTGTCGGAGGAGAAGACTGTCACGTTAGGGAGCAGTTTGCTTCGCGAGCTTTGTTATTTTTCTACAACAGCTGTCCACGTAAGATTAAAATCCTGAGGAAGCTTGAGCGTCGCCCCCTCTACCCCCAGAGAAATCTGGCCCACCAAATGCTAGAACACGCAGCGGTTTGCTGATTTTCCTCCTTACTCTGTGGAAGTCAGCTTTAAACGGTGTGTCCCAAGGGAAGCCCAGTCGGTATATTTATACATGAGGATGCCTAGAAAGCCACGTCTTCACAGTATTTCATATATTTACAGAAAACAAACATATGGCTCAGCAGTGTGTTGAATATATTTTATATATCTATAGCTGTATATTTCTACCTTTCTGTGTGTATCTAAAACCACAGATTATTAAATTCGAAATAGGTGGTAGAGATCATCCTGTAACTAGTAGATTTCCATGCCACAGTTCACTTTTAGGTGAGGAAAATGAAAGTCTACAGAGAGTAAATGACTTGTCCAAGGAGGCAAAGCTATTACAGTTGGTGACAGAGTCAGGCTAGAAAACAGGGGGTCTGCTTTTTCCTGGTTCCTGCTTCACCCCAACAGGATCCATTCTTGCTGCTCTCTGCCCTCTCTGTGCCTCCAAAGACTAACTCCTTGAGTTGCATCTCTTGGGCTCCCCTTCCCATTGGCTTCTGGTTGGTTTGGCCAATGAGAGGCACTGGTGTAAGGTGGAGGGGAGGTAGAGAGGGAGGCTGGGGTGTTTCTGCCCACCACCCCTGCTTTGACATCTCACCTCTGACAGTAGCTCTGACCCTTCATGACGACAGCCTTCTCCTCTAGGTTCCAGCTCTCACCTGCCTTTCCTTGCTCCTTTAGTCGTAGGGAAGGTGGCACTGCCCACTGTGAGAAGTCTCGGGGTTCCCCGCCATCTCCTGTGTGGTCCCCCAGCCCTACCCATACCTCCGTAAAGAATCCTTTCTCTAGAGTCTCTTCCTTTGGACGATTTCCTGCTTGGTCGCTGACGGATGTGCCTGGTGTCCTGAAGTCACTTCTCACTCTCCTGTGCTGACCTGTGGCTGCGTCTGCAATCCGTCTGCACAGCCTGCACAGTGCGTGGGGCTAGCAGGCCTTTGGCAGACACTTGTGGAATGAGTAAATGAGTGCCTGCAGGAAAGAACAGAAATGCCCAAACAGGGAACGTTGCCTATTATTTGAGCAAAATGTATCCATTTTGAAGTTTTTCTAGAGTAGAAAATAATGTTAAGAAGTAAAACTATTGATACAGAGGAGTTCAGAGAAGGTGCAAGGATGGTACAAGGAAAAAAACTGTGGGCTAACGGAGTTGTAACCTCATTCGTGCTCCCAGCTAGAGAAGCACAGCTGGCAGATGACGTGTCTGTGAAAGCAAATCAGACATTGCCCTTTTGAGCATGGCGAACCACAAGCCACAACAGGAAGAAATCTGCCAGGGCCTTAGAGATCTTCTTATTCTACTTCCTCATCTTACAGAGCAGCGGGGCGTGGTCTAGGAGAGTCAAGTGAATGTGGGAAACTGGATGATGATCCCTAAAGGTCCACACCTTCGTCTCTGGCACCTGTGAGTATGTCCCCAATGTGGCAAAAGTGACTGCAGAGGGGGTTAAGCTGAGGATCTTGAGATGGGAGATTATATCCTGGGTTATCTGGGAGGCTCAGTGTAATCACAAGGGTCTTTATAAGAGGCAGGAGGTCGGACTGAGTAGTAGGAGCTGAGATGATGGAACAAGAGGTTGCGGTGATGCAAGGACGGGGCTGCGAGCCAGGGATGCAGGCGGTTCCTGGAACTGGAAAAGGCAAAGGAGTGGATTCTACCCTGAAGGGTATGCAGAAAGAATGCAGCCCTGTGGAAACCGTGATTTCAGACATTGGCCCTCCAAAACTGGGAGAGGAAGTTTATGTTGTTTTAAGCCACCAGGTTTGCAGTAATTTGCTACAGCAATGCTGTGGACTGAATTGGATCTTCTCCCCAGTTCGTAGGTTGAAGCCCTAACCCCTGATGTGACTGCATTTGGAGATGAGGTCTTAAGGAGGTAATTAAGGTAAAAGGAGGTCGTAAAGGTCTGATAGGACTAGTGTCCTCATGAAAAGAGACACCAGAGAGGATGTCCCCTCCCTGTGCACACTTAAAGGAAAGGCCACGTGTGGACAGAGTGGCTGTCAGCAGGCTGGGAAGAGCCCTCATCAGAAACTAGCCCTGCCGGGCCTTGGTTGGGGACTTCCAGCCTCTATATCTGTAAGAAACCAGTTTCTGTTGTTTCGGCTGCTCAGCCTGTGGTATTTTGTTATGGGAGTCCTGGCTGACTGGTATAGTCCTATAGAGCAGGTCAGAAATGCTGAGGTCTTTCCTGGGCCTGCCCATCACTCCTGCCTGGGCTATGGGATCACGGGCATCACATATCACCTCTGCACTTCAATTTCTCTACCTTGAAAATGAAACTAACAATATAAGTCCTTGAATACTTCATCAGAAGGTACTAAGGGTCTAATGCAATAATGAAGAAATGCTCTTTTAAAATTGTACAGTATCAGTCAATTGTTAAGGGCAATATTTTTATAAACTCAAGTTTTTTTCTGTTTTTTTTTTTTTTTTTTTTTTTTTTTTTTTTTTTGAGACACGGTCTCACTCTGTTGCCCCAGGCTGGAATGCAGTGGCATGATCACAGCTCACTGCTGCCTTGAACTCCAGGGCTCCTGCCATCCTCCTGCCTCAGCCTCCCAAGTAGCTGAGACTATAGGTATGCACCACTATGGCCGGCGCATTTTTTTTTTTTTTTTGGTAGAGACAGGGTTTCACCATGTTGCTCAGGCTTATCTTGAACTCCTGGTCTCAGGGGATCCACCCACCTTGGCCTCCTAAAGTGCTGGGATTACAGGTGTGAGCCACTGCACCAGCCAAGCTTGAGGTTTGAGAGGCGGTATGTTATAGGGAACTGCCCAGCCAGGTACTTCCCAGGGTGTGGTTACCTCATCTACAAAAAGATAGATGATGGTAGATCACTTGCCAGGGCCCACCACCATCCAGACTCCAGGTTCGGGGCACTATTCCTCCTGTCCACAGCACCTGGACACCCACAAGCCCAGCATCCAGCACCACGTCAGTTCATGGGAACAGGGCGTGAACATTAGTGATAATGAGAGCAGAAGGCCATCTCAAGGCACTAGTCATTGAGACTGTGCTTTACAGAAGCTCCTGAAATGTGACTTAGGAAATGGGCTATTTGAATGCAGATTTGGCTTATTAAAGTGACAGGCTTGGTCCAAGGTCCCTCACTGGGACAGCATTAACCATAAACTCACAGCAGTCTGTCCCTGGCCACATTATGAGTTACCCAGAAAAATTAGAGGGCACTAAGATTACCAAAGTGCTGCAGAAACTCCAAAGCAAATAATTACAGAGGCACAGCTGGAGAAGAGAAGAAGCATTTCCAGGACCAGAGAGGGTTGCACCTTCAAGACTAGAGAGGCTTCCATGGGGATTGGCCCCTGGGACCTTCAAAAGAGGGCTGGCTGCTTAAAGGAGTATGGAATTGGCTCGAGAGCAGACAAACAGACCAAAGGAACAGAATAGACTGAAGAAACACGATAAAGAGCTCAGAGACAGACATCAGTGCATATGGAAATCTAACATGTGATAAAGGTGGCATCATACATCAATGGGAAAAGACAGGCCATTTTGAAAATAGTGTTGGGAGAACTGGCCATCTCTATGGAGAAAAGTGAAACTAGATTACTGTCCAGCATCACACACAAAGGTGGAATCCAGTTGGACCTGAATGTGAAGGGTAAACTGTAAAATTAATTGTGTGTGTATCCTTTTGACCTAGGGAAGAAAAGGACTTCTAAAACAAAATTTCAATATCACAAACTATAAGGTAACACCAAGCCAAAACAGAAAACCAATGTGATTATATCAAATTGATGATTTTGTCTTTTGTTGTTCAAAAAGTACACCAAACTCTTAATACTTGAAAAAAACCCAATTTAATAATGAACAAAGGATCTGAATAGACATTTCTCCAAAGAAGATGTATAAATGGATGATAAGCACATGAAAGATGCCCAATGTCATAGCCATTAGGGAAATGCAAATCAAAACACAGTGAGATGCCTCATCACACCCACTAGGGTGGCTGTGATAAAAAAGACAGACATCCCTAGGATTGGTGAGAAAGTGGAGAAACTGGAACCCTCACGCGTTGCGAGCGGAAATGTAAAATGGTGCAGCCACTGTGGAAAACAGTTTGGCAGCTCCTGAAAATGTGAAACACAGAGTTACTATGTAATTCCATTCTTAGGTATACATAAGAGAGAAATAAAAACATATTTCCATAAAATAATTTGTATATATGAATATTCATAGCAGCATTATGCATAATAACCAAGACGTGAAAACAACCCAAAAGTCGATTCGCTGATGAATGGATTAACAAAATGTGGTATAGTCAAGCAATGAAATGTTATTTGGCAATGAGGAATGAAGCATTTTGGGAGGCTGAGGTAGGTGGCTCTCTTGAGCCTAGGAGTTCGAGACCAGCCTGGGCAACACGGTGGAAAAAAAAAAAAATCCTGGCATGGTGGTGCGTGTCTGTGGTCTCAGCTACCTGGGAGGCTGAAGTGGGTGGATTACCAGAGTCTAGGATGTTGAGGCTGCAGGGAACCGAGATCGCGCCACTGCACTCCAGCCTGGGCGACGGAGTGAGACCCTGTCTCAAAAAAAAAAAAAAAAAGGAATGAAGTACTAATGAATGCTACCACAAATGAGCCTTGAAAACATTATGCTAAGTGAAAGAAGCCAGCCTCAGAAGACCGTGTATTATATAATTACATTTATACGGAATGTCCAGAATGGACAAATCTATTAAGGCAAAAAGTAGATTAGTTATTTTATAGCACAGGGTGCTGGGAAGTGACTGTTAATGGGTATGTGGCTTATTTGGGAGATGATGCAAATGTTATCAAAATTGATGATGGTGCTGGTTGCACAACTCCGCGAATATACTGAAAACCATTGAACTGTGCACTTTAATGGGGTGAACTGTACAGTATGTGATTTGTTTCTCAAGTCGTTAAAAAGTACACCATAAAATTAATAAAAATATATCAAAGTGGGAAAAGGCATTTGTCTGTAATTGAAAAGGAAAGAATACTTAGAATATGTAAGGAAATACTGCAAACCAACAAGACAAGGATACGAACAGGCAATTTACAGAAGAAAAAAACTCAAAGAATAACAATCATGTGAAGAGATACTTCAACTCCCCTACAGAAAGAAATGCAAATTAAAACTATAATGAGACTTCACTTTATTAGACTGGCAAAAATTGGAAGAATAGCAGCTGGATAGTGCTCATGTTGGCAGGGCTGTGGCCTACGGGGACCCCCATGCTCTGATGTTAGGAGGGTAGACTGGTACATTCCTTGAGAGATCAATCTGGAAGAGTTCAGGTAAGCATGCCCTTGGAATTCCGTGGGATTCTGTGGAATTTATATGCACACGCATACCACCACCAATCTTCTCTGTGTCGATGAGGGCATAGCTCAGTGTGTTTATCTGTATGTGGTGGGGTATGAAGACAACTGGGCACCCATCACTTGGGGGGTGATGAGATAGAATGTGGCAGACACCACAGGGATCTGTATAGTCCTTCCAATCGATGGAGGAGGGGTGCACTTAGCCACATGAATGCACCTTTGTGCAGTATGAAAAAATTAAGCAGCAGGCTGGGCACGGTGGCTCACGCCTGTAATCCCAGCTCTTTAGGAGGCCGAGCAGGGCAGATCACCTGAGGTTAGGAGTTCAAGACCAGCCTGACCAACATGGTGAAACCCCATCTGTACTAAAAATACAAAAATTAGCCTGGCATAACCTGGGAGACAGAGGTTGCAGTGAGCTGAGATTGCACCATTGCATTCTAGCCTGGGCAACAAGAGCGAAACTCTGTCTCAAAAAAATAAAAAAAAAGAAAAAAAAAAGAAAAAATTAAGAAGCAGCTAGGCAAGGCAACCTTATTTGTGGAAGTCATACAGGTACACACCAAGAAACAGGCACTTTCTAAGGTTACATCTAAATAACAAGATGCATATTATCCATTGGCCTGGTTGCCTAGGATGGGGTGGTTAAAAAGGAGTGAAAAGAGGCAAAATAAATAATAAGATGAGAGAAGGGAGATTAAAAAATACTTTATACGGTTCTAGTCTTCCCACTGTCTAGAGAAAGCAACCTATGAGCTTTTCTTCACACACCTCTTTCTAGTTTAACCCATTTGTGCCTGAGGTTGCTATTTTTTGAGTTTTTGCAATCAGACCTTGGCAATGACCTTGAGCAGTAGGGAATAAATAACTCCCATATGCTCAGTGTTCCAATAATGGAACACTAGGCATACATATGTTTTAATGAGCTCAAGTGGCCCCTCTAGAACTCTTTTTTTTTACAATGCCCATTCCCAGGCCAGAGCTTTGCAGCTTCTTTTTCTGTTGGTCTGGGGTAGGAACCTAAATTGTGTATTTTTAACAGTCTCACTTTGTGATTCTGACATAGGTGGCCCTTAGTCCATTTGAGAAGCTGATCAAGACCGACTTTGACTTCCCTGTTTTGGACATGTCCACCCCTTGCTCACTGCTGCTGGACTTGGCCTTGGTCTGATCTGTGCTGTCTCATCTTGCCCCTCTAGGATCGGCTGTCTGCTCTGCACTAACCCAGCCGCTAGCCTGGTCCCTGTTCTGGCTTTGCTGGGTGGACGTGGCATTGGCCCTGACCATCTGCCTTGCTGGCCTTCATTACAGCCAGACCCCCACTCAGGGCTCGCAGCTCCTGTGGTCTCATCCCCAAGAACCAAGACAGGGCAATGTCTCTTACTGCCTGTAAGAGCTTGTCGTCCAGGCCTGGAGCAAGAGCCACTGTGGACCCCAGAGCCACAGGAACGCCTCTGCCTGCGGCGGATGCCTGGCCAGGCTGAGGCACGCGTGGGAAAGTGCTAATCAGGACTTTTCTCTCTGGGTGGCTCGCACCATCCTGGCAGAAAGGCAGTGGGTCACTGTGTGGCCACACAGCCCAGAGCCATTCAGGGGGCAGGAGGGAACATGCAGAGCGGAAATGAAATGTCCCCTCTCAGAGCTGCCAGGCCAGATGACGTGCCCCGAACAGTCGCGACTTTCTTTGTGAGGACCAGGGCTGCATAATGCGCATCCCCGAATAGAGCCCCGTCACCCGGGAGACAGAGGCCTTTTCTTTCGCAGGCTGGTGACTTCACTGTACATTCCCAGGCCGCGGGAAGCACTGGGAAGCCTCTCTTCCGCCAGGCCTCGGACAATGCCGGGGAAGCAGGGGAGGCGCTCGCGGGGGCCTGGACATGGGCAGCGCCGGCGGAGAGAGGTCCACATTGCCACGCTGGTCATGTCGAGCCCAGGCTGGCCACAAAAACGGCCTCTGTGAATGGGGATCAGCGGGGCAGGGGCTGGTTTCCTTTCACCCCTCCATGAAGAGGAGGCTGAGATGGAAAACAGCAGGCGAAGAAGGAGCTGGGGAGCCGGGGTTGGATAAGCACAGGCCCAGCGCTCCATCACACGCTGACTGTCCCCTGGCAGGGACTGGAATGTACATGAACGAGTTCTGGAAGCTCTAGAGACTGTCTTCTTAACTGTAAAAGGAGCTCCCAATGGCCACTTATGGGATGGCTATGGGATTAAATTTCACTAAGTGCATAATAGTCCTTGCAAGATAAGTTAGGAATTCTTCAATAGACACTGCCCCAAAACTGTACTATGGGCCAGACAATTAGCCCTTATTAATATCAATGGATACAATCTTAAGAATAGTTTGCAGCCAGGCGCGGTGGCTCAAGCCTGTAATCCCAGCACTTTGGGAGGCCGAGGTGGGCAGATCACGAAGTCAGGAGATCGAGACCACGGTGAAACCCCGTCTCTACTAAAAATATAAAAAGTTAGCCGGCGGCAGTGGCGGGTGCCTGTAGTCCCAGCTACTCAGGAGGCTGAGGCAGGAGAATGGCGTGAACCCGGGAGGCGGAGCTTGCAGTGAGCCGAGATCGCGCCACTGCACTCCAGCCTGGGTGACAGAGCCAGACTCCGTCTCAAAAAATAAAATAAAACAAAATAAAAATAAAAAATAAAAAAAAAACTTTGCAAAACAGATTTTCTTATTTCATCTCATGGGCCCACTTTGCAGTTGAAGACATTGAAACTCAGATGGTTTAGGTAAGGTACCCACCCAGCGCACAGGAATTGGCAGATCTTTCATCTCCAAGTTCAGTGATTCTTCCCCTGTGCCAACGATGTGTCTTTTCTATGTCCCAATAGTTTACCCAACTGGGAATTCTGCCCTTTCTGGAAAATTTGACCTAGCCTCTGCTCAACACAGAAGTGATTCATTTTCAGATCACCGTCCGCGGACAGCCCCTACATTGTCTGGCCTGACCTATTTCTCCTCCCTCTACTCAGGGCAGATGGAAAATTTTCTTCCCAGCTGTGCCTTCTCTTTGAGATTGCCCACCACTCTTCTGATGGCCTGATTTGAGACTATCCCCTCTGCTGTATACCCAGCATTGGCGAGGCCAGGTCAGGCAGGCATCCAACCTCAGCCACGGAATTCAACCAGCAGCTGTGCACTCATGCAGCTGGCAGCTTCAGAGGACAAATGCTAGCATTTCCTCCAATTCAGGGGGCTTCTTAGAGTTTAATTCTCACTGACTTCTCTTGGCACTGGGCAGGACGAGGGTCTTAGTACAGTGACCCTGGAGTGCTAGCCTTTATTGTGGTCTTTAACATGACTGGTCCTGCAGAGATCCATGTGGTAGAAGAAATTCCAGCCCTTCATTATCATTTGGGCCCTTTTCTTTTCTAACAGGTGAGTGTATGATGGTCACTGGCACTATGATTGACTGACAGAAGAACACCAGAGACACTCAATAGAGGAGGGCATGGGGACCAGGTGTCTACCTAAGGCAGGAGATGGCCCAGCATGTGCTTTCTAGAAGCTCAGAGCAGCACACACTGAGCCTGCAGGTGGCTGACCTCTCCCGCCAGGAGCGAGAAATCTGCCAGGTGTCAGGAGCTGCTCTGCATCTGGAGCACATCAGGCATCTCCAGATGTGGGGTACCCTTTGCCATTAAAGAAACTGATATTCTCTTACTGGGCCTGCTGTCATCTTTAGTCAATCATCTTCAATGATCATCTTACATTGGTCATGAGCCACGGCAGGCAAGGAAGTGGGAGCAGCATGACATGGTGAAGAGGTCTGAGGCGGGAGTCCAGGCTCTGCAGGAGGGCATCTGGTCTTGAATCCTGTCCTAACACAAACTGTGTGAGCTCTGTCAAGTTCCCTTTGCTTCTCTAGATTGTAGATCTCTCTTCTGTGAAAGGAGCGTGTTTGTTTCCTATTGCTGCTTGTGTAAGTCAAGGTTCTTCAGAGGAACAGAACAATAGGATTCATATATATATATGTATATAATTTTTTAAAGGTATTGGCTCATGTGGTTATGAGGCCTGACAAGTTCCTAGATCTGTAGTTGGCAAGCTGGAGACCTGGGAGAGCCAAGAGTGTAGTTCCAGTCCAAAAGCTAGCAGGCTCGAGACCCAAAAAGAGCTGACGTTGCAGTTTGAGTCCAAAGGCAGAAAAAAATCAAACAAACAATGCCCCAGCTCAAAGGCAGTCAGGCAGGTGGAAGTCTTCCCTTACTCGAGGGAGAGTCAGCCTTTTTGTTCTATTCTGGCTGTCAACTGATTGGATGAGGCCCACCCGCATTAGGGCAGGCCGTCTGCTTCACTCACTGGACTGATTCAAATGCTGATCTCATCCAGAAACATCTTCAAAGACACACCCGGAATAATGTCTGACCAAATGTCTGGGCACTCTGTAGTTGATGAAGTTGATACATAAAATTAACTACCACACTAACTTTGTCTAAGAAGTGTTCTTTCTACTACAATTACGCTCATTCTCCCTCTGGCAAGTTATGAGGAAAATCAACCAAAAGCCAGACACTAGGCTTAGTGTTTGGTCCTAAAATAACTCAGGACAGGTTTCTAGAACAGCTAGATTTGAAGAAAAGAGCTGACTGCAGGGGGCTCCTCCTTCATGTGTTAAGGCCTTATTCTGATGTGAAAGACAAGGATGAAATGGGAAGATGTCCAATGAAGATGCCATATTTCTAATATGGAGAGCAGAAGCCAAATGGGAGAGAATGGACAGAAATTCCAGTTAGAGTTTTGAGAAAACAAACATTCTAGGCAACCAAACAACACACCAACCAACCAACCAACCAACCTATCCACCCACCCACTAACCAACTAACTAACCAGCCAACCTACTCCCCCATACCCACCAACCAACTAACCAACCCACCCTCCCACCAACCAATTAACCAGGCAACCCACTCACACCCCTCCCCTCCAACAACCAACAAACCAACCACCCCCTATACAAACAGCTTTTGGTTGCACATAACCAAAGCTGTTGTTGAGTGGGAAGTGGAGATTGTCTAATTAATAATCTGTTTTATTCTTTTTCAGATCACGTTGCACAGGGTACATAAAGCTGAATCATCTGGGGGAAGTTTGCTAAAGACACAGAATGCAAAGCCCCATCTCACTCTTCTTGAATCAGAATGGCTGACTGTGGTGCTCAGGAATTTGCATGTTTAATAAGTTTTCCCCGGGTGATTCTAATGAATGCAACTTGAGTACTGTTTAGTATATGCTGAGTATACCTGGAGCTTTGATGTGCTGCAGGGATTAGAAGAGTTTTCTGATTTTGACCTTCCCATTTTGAAATAAGTAGATTCACCATTTTTTTTTTTTTTGGGATGGAGTCTCACTCTGTCGCCCAGGCTGGAGTGCAGCGGCGCGATCTCTACTCACTCACTGCAACCTCTGCCTCCTGGGTTCAAGAGATTCTTCTGCCTCAGCCTCCTGAGTAGAGATGGAGTTTCGCCATGCTGGCCAGGCTGGTCTCGAACTCCTGACCTCGTGATCCACCCACCTCGGCCTCCCAAAGTGCTAGGATTACAAGCGTGAGCCACTGTCCCCCGCAAGTAGATTCACTTTTACATGACAAAGAAGACTTTGTCACTCCTCCTCCCATTCATTAGTCACTAATTCAAAGAGGAAGTTGGGACCAAAAGTCATGCATCTGAGAGGCTGCCATGATTTCTCCCCAAAACACATTGGCAGGTGTAAAATTATTGAATGAACCCATCCCACATGTGGGCTGTGTTTCTGGCTGGGTTTGACCCACATGCATGTCTGTGGGCTGCTCTGTCTAGACTCTTCAATATTCCAGCCACATTTTGTGCCTTAGAATGAAATTGCTGTCGAGATATTGATCTCCGTTTTTGTCGGGGTGCAGGAATTTTATTCTATGTTGTCAGGATCCCCTCTGGATGGTGTAATAATATTGTGAGATAGTTCTTTAGCATATCTTTAAATCTTCATATTTATTTTGAAAAAATTAGAAATTTTAGAAATATGCATTCATTTTTTGCACCATCTAGAATTAACAACTGATAGTATTTTGACTTATTGGCTTCCTTTTTTAAATAAAAAATTAAAATATTACAGATATAGCTTATGTCCTTGTACTTATCAGATCTACCACCCCTACTTCAATTCCATTTTCTTCTCATCTTGCCAAAGCCACCTACTCTCCAAAGCTTGGCACATGTCCCTTTGTTCCATTTGAAAATAATTTAAATACATATATCCACATGTACACAGTATCTAGTATTGTTTTCGTGTTTTCAAAATTTCTCACACACATGGCATAAACTTTTTCTTATCATTCTGTATCTTGTCTTTCTCACTCAGTCTTTGGCTCTTGAGTCTATGCATAGAGCCATGTGTGGATCTAATGCATCTCTTCGAACAGTTGAACCTTGGAGACCTACACTTATTTTATTCATGCATTCCTACACCGATGGACATTGGCACCTGGTTTCCTCCGCTGCAGATAATGCTACATTAAACATCTCCGTACATATCACTTTGTGCATAGAGTTTCTCTAGCATATAGAACTAAAAGTTAAATGGCTACACTATAGAGCATGCACATTTTAAATTATCATAGATATTACAGAAACACTCTGCAAAATGACTAACAGAATTTATTTTCCCACCAGCAGTCTATGAGAAGGGCATCCTTCCCCCTCCACTTTTGCTGATGCTATGTACAATTTATCTATTTTTTTTTTTTTTTTTTGAGAGGGCGTCTAGCTCTGTCACCCAGGCTGGAGTGCAGTGGCTCTATCTCGGCTCACTGCAACCTCCGCCTCCTGGGTTCAAGTGATTCTCCTGCTTTAGTCTCCAGAGCAGCTGGGATTACAGGTGCCCGCCACTATGCCCAGCTAATTTTTGTTTTTTCTTTTAGTAGAGAGGGGGTTTCACTGTGCTGGCCAGGCTGGTCTTGAACTCCTGACCTTGTGATCTGCCCGCCTCAGCCTCCCAAAGTGCTGGTATTACAAACATGAGCCACTGCCCGGCCAGTTTACCTAATTTTTGTCAATCTGATTGATGAAAATGATGCCTTGCTGTTGTTTTGCTTTTTGGGTTTCACTAATAATTGTTGAGACTGAGCATGTTTTATAGGTGTTTATAATACTTTTTGATGAGTAATTCATTATCCACTCCTCTAGGTTACAGATTAGATAGAATTTGTAAGTGATAAACTGTTTATACTTTTAAAAAGACTATTTTATTATAAAATAATCAGTGATCACCATTAAAAAATTAAAACTTTACAAATTTATATGAAGTTAAATGTAAAATCCTCTGTTCCTCTTAACCCATTCCTACAGCTGGTGACCAAGTGGCTTATTGTCCATGAAGGGAGGTTTGTAAGAGGAAGGGAGGCTTGTAAGTATCGCATTTTAGGACACGCTGTGGAAGCCAGGACTGCCCTGCGCAGCAGCCACTGTGAACAGCTTGTGATTCATGTGAGTCTCCCTGGACTTCTTCCAGCTTACAGAAAAATAATAATGCAATGATTTTGTATATAGCCTTTACCTAGTTTTACCAAGTTGTTCACGTTCTGCCACATTTAAGCATACACTCTCTCTCATATACATAAGTGTGTGTACATATATGCACATAAGGATTGCTATTATTGCAGAGACATTTGGGACTAAGTTGGGGGACATCTTCATCTTTTATCACTAAATATCTCAGTGTGTATCTCCAGAGAGCAAGGGCATTCTCTCATACGTGCAGAGTACAAATCATTTTCAGGGAATTTAACATCCATCTAATACCACTATCAAATATACATAAAAACACCTTAAAGCTTTCTATAAAAACACCTTAAAGCAAGATACCATGTAAGTCTATATTGATAGTCCCCCAGTCATCCCGATAGTGTCCTTAATTGCAATTTATTCTTCTGATTTGGGATCCAATTCAGGGACACTCACTGCCTTTGGTTGTCCTACGTCTTCAGTCTCTTTAACTATTGCTCATCCTCTCTCCAAGACACCGAGATCTTTTAAGGCACACAGGCCAGTTTTGTAGACTGTCCCTCAGTTTGAATTCATCTGAATGTTTCCTCATTGCTAGAGTCAGGTGATTCATTTTGGCAGGAGTCCTGCCTAAGTGATGCTGCCATCTCAGCGCCTCACACCAGGAAGTTCCTGATGTCACTTTCTCTTACCCTCATTTCCCTTAACAGTTGCATTATTGTCACATTTCATCCTGTGGGTGTAGCAGAATTACTCCAACCCTGGCCCTATTGATGGCTTTTAGGTTATTCTCAGTGTTTGGCTAATGAAAGCAATGCTGCAATGGATGTGACAAGGAGTGTTGTAAACGTTAGGATAGATAGAATGAATGTGATCAAGAAAATAAGAGAGAAGAAAGAATAATGGAGAACAGCGCTTTAATCAGACTTAGACATGAATCTTGATGGAAGAATGGTTGGCTGACGGGAGCGGGATGTGATGGAAAAAGACACGATCACTTTGGCTGCAATAAGGAGGATGGGTGGGAGAGCAAGACTGGAGGCAGCGAGACCACTTGGAAGCTGTTCAAGGCAACAGTGAGGGAAGAAGGAAGAGAGAAGAGAGAAGGACGAGGGAAGAGGAGATAAAGGCCTGAAGCAGACAGAGGAGGGGTGGTAGAGATAAAACTAAAGGGAGCAATTAAAATAATTTAGATAAGTACTGACACATGGTACAACTTGGGTGAACCTCACAAACATTACGCTAAGTGAAAGAAGTCAGTTGCAAAAGACCGCAGCTTGCATGACTCCTTATATATAAGATATTCCTAATAGGCAAGTCCACGGAGCTAGAAAGCACATTCATGGTTACCAAAGGGTGGGAGAGTGGGGAATGGGAGTGATGACTTTAATGGTACAGGGTATTTCTCGGATGTGATGAAAAGTTTAGCAACTAGAGAGAGGTGGCGGATGCCTAACGCTGGGAAAACACTAAATGCCGCTGAACTGTGCACCTCTAAAGAGTCAATTGCATGTTATCTGAATTTTACCTTAAAAAAAAAAAAAACCTTAAAACATACAAACCATCAGGATGCGGGATTTGACAGATTTTGTGAAATGAGAACTGGTTGTGTTTTAAGCTTTCTGGTTTAGGTGCCTGGGCAGAAGGTGATGTGGTTAACTGAAATAAAACTTTGAGGAAAAGGGGCAGGTCAGAATGGGTCAAGAAAATGATGTGTGCAGATGTTTGGAAGGCGAATCATATGGCAAAATGTCACATGCATGCAAAAGTACCCAGAAAAGGGTGATGAAGCCCCAAGGGGCCATTATCCAATTTCAACAGCAACCAGTCGTGGCCAATATTTATTGCTTCTTCTGTACCCACCTCCCACTTCCATATTATTTTGAAACGAATCCAAGATATCATATTCTGTTATCTATTAATAGTTTAGGATATGTCTATAAAATATGAGGAATTAAAGAAATACTAAAAATGCTGTTATTGCAGCTAAAAAAATTAACAATGATTCCTTAATATGATCTGATATTCAGCCAGTGATCAAATTTTCAATTATCTTATAATTTTTTCTTATGATTTCTTTGAGTCAGGATCCAAGTAAGATCCCTTTGTTGTGATTGAATAATATGCTTCTCAAATCTCTTTCTATCTCTTTTCCCCTACATCTCTCTCTTTCTCTTTGATTATTATTATTTTTAGAGGCAGGTCTTGTTCTGTCACCTAGGCTGGAGTACAGTGGCACGATCATAGCTCACTGCAACCTCAAACTCCTGGGATCAAGTGATCCTTCCCTATCAGTTTCTCAAGTAACTGAGACTACAGTCATGTGCCACCATGCCCGGCTAAGTTTTAAATTTTTTGTTTGAGATGTTGTCTTGCTATGTTGCCTGGGCTGTTCTCAAACTCCTGGTTTCAAGTGATTCTCCTCCTTTGGCCTTCCAAAGTGCTGGGATTACAGGTATGAGCCATTGCACCTGGCTGTCTTTTTCCTTAACATTCATATGTTGGAAAATTAGAGTATTTGTCCCGTAGAGTCTCCTGTGGTTTGGATTTAGCTACTGCTTCTTCATGGTGCCTTTTACATGTCCTTCTGTTCTTTGTATTTATGATTGGTAGCTGGCTCAAGACTTGATCAAATCTGAGCTCAATTTTCTAAGCAACCCCTTCCATCAGGAGGCATACAATGGTCGACTGTCTTTTTTTTGGTGATGTTAATAGTTGCTGCTGATCCATGTCTAGCTAATCCAGAGAACCTCTTCCCAGATTCCTGATTCTCAAAAACTGTGGGAAAATAAATGTTTATTGTTATTTTAAGCCATTAAGTTTTGAGATGACTTGTTATGTAGCAATAGATAACTAATACAGCAAAGTCAAAGCAATATTAGGAAATCCATTAATATAATCCATCATACTAACAGACATAAGGAGAAAAATCATAAAATCATCTCCAAAGATGCACGACCAAACCAAACCAAAGCATTTGATAGAAAACAATACTCTCTCCATCAAACAGGACTTGACAGATAGTTTCTTACTTCGATTATGTCTGTGTGTGTTCATATGTGTGTATGTATATATGTATATGTTTATATATGTGGTACATATATGTGTGTGTGATATATATATATATATATATATATATATATATATATATATATATATATATATATATATCAGCCCCAAAGCTAGCACCTTATTGATTGGAAAACATGAGAGGCTTTCTGATTAAAGTAAGCAATAAGACAAACACACGCCCACTATTTCAACTGCTTATAATGTGTTGAAATGATTAACCCCTGCATTTTGACAAGGGAGAGGAATAAAAGGCATTAGTACTGGAAGGAAAAGCTGAAATGTAGTGAAGTAGTCAGTTATGAAATTAACATATAAATATCAAGCAGAGCAAGACAGAAGACGTAATAGGAGAGAAGACCCAATTTATGATGGCAAGTAAGAGAATAAAATAGCCAGGAATAAACTTAACAAATGCCTACCATCTGCATAAAGAAGGCTCTAAAATCCTTCTGAAAAACACAGTAGTAGAACTTAAATCAATGGAAAGGTGTACATGTGCTTGGATAGAAAACTCAACAACTTAAAGATGAAAATTCTATTGGTTGGTGCAAAAGTACTGCAATTACTTTTGCACCAACCTAATACCTATTAATTTTTACATTAAACATAATCTCAAAAAAATTCTACAGCTTTTTTTTTTTTCTAGAGTTAGATCAATTGGTTATAAAGTTCCTTGGGAAGAACAAACAAACAAGCATAGTCAGGAAAATGCTACCGCTGCTGATTTTAGTCGTAGTGATTTTTTTTTTTTTGGCGGAGCGTTGCTCTGTCGTCAGGCTGGAGTGCAGTGGCGTGATCTTGGCTCACTGCAACCTCCGCCTCCTGGGTTCAAGAGATTCTCCTGCCTCAGCCTCCTGAGTAGCTGGGATTGCAGGCACGCGCCACCACGCCCAGCTAATTTTTGTATTTTTAGTAGAGATGGGGTTTCACCATGTTGCCAGGATGGTCTCGATCTCTTGACCTCGTGATCTGCCCGCCTCGGCCTCCCAAAGTCCTGGGCGTGAGCCACCACGCCCAGCCAGTGATGTTTTTCTTAAGTGCCCATGGAGTTGAGTGGCCAGGTGAAAATGTTCAGCCAGGAATTAGACGTGTAAGGCTGCAGCCCAGGAGTCCTTAAGGACCCAGGTGGGTGGAGTAAAACCAGGAGGGCCTGGGCTTTCCCTGGAGTCGCTGGGCTTTTCCGGAAGGATTGTGAAGTGAGGAAGGCCTTAGGAAAGACCAGCGAAGAAAGAGGGTGTCAGTGAGTGGGCGAGTGGTGACGGAGGGGAGGGAGAAGGGGAGATGGAAGCAAAGGAAGAAAAGTAGCAGAGAGGAAGGAGGAGACCCAGGGAAGAGCAATGCTACAGGAGACAAGCGTGTGGAGGGTTTTCTAAAAGGAGCTGACGAAACCTAGCGGCTGAGATTCTGGAAATAATGACGGAACGTTTCGTCTGGAACTGGCTGTGAGTTCATTCGTGACCCGTGGCACCGTAGGGTTTGAAACGCACGTGCATGAGGTGGAGGTGTGAATGAGATCACCAGAGATAACTACTAAATACAGTGTTTCGGTGACTCTCCTCCTAGACGTCACTCTCTGGCTGCGCACGCTCTATGTGCGTACATTGCAAATGAATGCATCACACTAGAAGAATATTCTATAATCTGCTTTTTCCACTCAGCAATATAATGTGTAACTCATGAAGTCATGCCTTAGTTAGCTTTCTAAGTCTAACTTAACGCAAGAAAAACTCGGTGAATCTGAGGGTTTCAGTCCCTCATTTAAATCTGTAATGCATGCCTCCACGTCCGGCGTTATTCTGCATGTCTGGGATATACCGTGAACAAAACAAAGATCCCCTCCTGACAGAGCTTCCATTCTAGACACCAAATATGTAGAGGGGTGGTGAGTGCTATGCGGGAGAAAGAGTGGTCAGGATAAGCGGGACTGGGGGATAGAGGTGGGTGGGTGACAGCTTGCAGTCTTGCAAACAGTGATGGGGCAGGACTCAGGAGAAGGTGAGATGTGAGCAAACTGGCAGGAGGTGAGATATTGGGAGGTGCTGTCTATCCAGAGAGGTAATGATGGAGGTAGGCGGGGTGGGGGGTGGGCAGGTTGGATAAAATGATGATATGATTTTCACCCAGAGGAGTCGAGGTGGCCGTTAGACATCAGAAAAGGAGATGCCCTTTGGGGAATTTAATTCGTGGGTCTAAAGCCCACAAAAGATGTTTGGCCTGGAGAAAACGGCTTGGAAATTTTGATGAGATTACATGGAGCAATGCTTGGGCTCTAACCCCAGAATTTCCAATTCAGTGGGTTGGGGGCGAGGCTTGAGTATCTGCATTTCTCACACGTTTCCAGTTGATGCTGCTGGTCCAGGGACCACACTTTGAGAACAGCTAGGGTAGAGCAAAGGAAGCTGAGCTTGGAATCTGTAGTCAAAGGGAAATGGACGAAGAGGGCCTTGGACAAGGGGTGGGGAGCTGGGGGGTGGGGGGGGGGATAGAAGGGGCAGGGTGTAAACTAGAAGGAGTAGGTCACAGAAGCCAAAAGAGGGAGAGTGGCAGGGCAGTGGGAGAGGGCAGCAGAGCGAAATACTCTGGCAGATGGATCAGAGATGTGCTTGCTGAATTTAGTCATTGGAAAGCTATTTTGATGGTTTGAGGGTGAGAAGCTGGTTCTCAATTGGCAAGCGAAGGAGCAGCTGCTCTGAAGACCAAGGGGGCATGAGGTTAGGTATTAAACAAGGACTCTCTCTAATTCATTCTCTTGATTGCTTGCTACTTTGAAGTGAATAGTGACTACACTTCTGCAAGATGCAATTACAGAAGGAAAAAATGATTTCTGCTAGACTGATGTGTTTAAGCATATGTTTCTTAATGATAATTGTTGTAGCTATTAGAAAGGACATTTTACTTAAACCCATATGTAAGGTAGGAACAAGATTTTCATATTTGTAGGATAATTGATTCCTTTGAGCAACTAGTGCTTCTTATACAGTGACAAAAATTTTGATGCACTAAACTGAACCATTAAGAATGGATTCAATCAATATTTAATTATAATATATATGGATAGGACATGTAATATGGGACAACGTAGCAGAAGCTATTAAGTGTACAGCAGTTTAAAAATGTAATTTAGCAATGAGGTACTGCTAACCAAAGCAGAAATCATAAAGCAAAATATTGGCAGATTTTACTACATACAAAAAAACCTTAGTATCCCAAACATGTTGTATATAAAAATAAAAATAAACACATAGTATACAAATGTTAAAACATTTAAAAATATGTATTACATGTATGCAATAAAAGGTCAATATCTTTATAAGATTAAGACAAACTCTTTGAAATTAGCAAGAAAAAACACAAACACTGCAATGGGCAAATGACTATCAGACTAGAAAAATCCTCAGAGGAAGAAATAAAAATTGTCAATAAATATTTTTTAAATTGCAATTAATATTCTTGGGGATATAAGTTAAAGTAATATTCAAATTTTCACCTTTCAAATGGACACAGATGAAGAAAACCTCGTAAATTATTCAGGCTTGGTAGTTGTGTATGGAATTTTTTAGAGGGAAATATTTTTAATTCAGAAAGCTTGCGATAGGCTTAGAATAAGGAAAAATCAACCAGAGGCAACCTAAATATGGAATAATAGAAAATTGATTATCAAAATTATGAGCCAGCCTGGCAGTGGCCTCCTTTACAGCCCTGAAAAATGATGGCATAGAAGAAAATGGGTTGGCATGAGGGGGTGGCCCCTCTCTTTGTTTGGTTAGCTTGTTCTTCCAGATGCAGTTTTGGGCAGCCACCTTTGACTTTTGGGCAGCCTCTGCTTTGCTGAGCTCTAATGGAACTTTGGTAATTATGTTAGTGGAGAACTGTTCATTGTGCACAGTAATGATTTATTCATATTTCTTTTTTTTTTCAGATAGAGTTTCACTCTTATTGCCCAGGCTGGAGTACAGTGGCACAATCTTGGCTCACTGCAACTTCTGCCTCCTGGGTTCAAGCAATTCTCCTGCCTTAGCCTCCCGAGTAGCTGGGATTACAGGCACCTGCCACCACCCCTGGCTAATTTTTGTATGATTTATTCTTATTTCTGTTATTTGTACTTGATAATGAGCTTTTTCATTGCAGGGATCATATCTTACTAATTTCTCGTAAGTTCCCTCCCCCGCTTACCCATCTCTCTGTCCCTAGCACTGCGCAGGGCCAAGGAAAGTACCTGGACCATGTGTGTTGAAGAAATGAAGATGGAGGTGGCACTGGAGTTCTTTAGCAATGCTAGAGGCACAGGACCTGGGAGCCAGGATTTACAGGCTGGGTAGCACTCACACCCTTGACTGCAGCTCAGAATCAGCTGGGGTGCTTTTGAGAGAAATGATTCCTAGGCTCCAGCTCATACCACTTATGGGTCTAGAAATCTGTACAGATGCTCCTCGACTTATGGTTGGGGTTTCATTTCAATAAACCTATCATAAGTCAAAAATGGATTTAATATTTTGATAAACCCATTGTAAAGTCAAAAAGTTATAAGTAGAGCCAGCGGGGACTGTCTGTATTTTAAACTTCCTTTGAAGTTGAGAATGACGGAGCCAAACCAGTTCAAATCGGTTCAGGTTCAAGAGCTGCCCGGAGGAAGCTCTGGGCTGAGCAGGTGCTGTGTCAAGCTGGGTAGAAATGGAGGAGCCCACAGGAAGTGCGCTCGGGTATGTGGGCAGGTGCACGGGCAGGTGCATGGACAGGTGTATTGGCAGGTGCGTGGGCAAGTATGTAGACAGGTGTGTGGGTAGGTATGCAGACAGGTGTGTGGGCAGGTATGTAGACAGATGCATGGGCAGGTATGTAGGCAGGTGTGTGGGCAGGTGTGGGGGTAGCTATGTAGACAGGTGCATGGGCAGGTATGTGGGCAGGTGTGTGTGCAGCTGTTCAGAGTCTGCAGGAGTGTGTGGATGAGCAGCTGGTAACTTTTGAGCTGGGGTTCCTTGATTCAGCCCTGATCTTGTGCCCTGGGACTCTAAGGAGAAGGTTTCCTGGCAGGATTTGAGGTGGAGCTGAGAAGTTGATGGGGATCTATCCATCCTAATGGAGAAGCATAAGATGAGAGGAAACTGGTCTACTGGGAAGTCTGGAAGTGAGAGGAGCCAGAGTCTGGGCAACCAGTATGGTGAGCAGGTGGAGAGAATGGGCCAGGTGGGGTTAGATTAGCCCTCATGCCTCCCAGGTGACGCGGGTGCCCATGACGTGGTCTAGGGCAGCTTCTTGCCTTTGGGCTTCATTTAGATGACAACAATAAGGGTTGCAATTGCGATACTTACTGCAACTGCAGCACAGTCTCTGAGCAATTATTTTTACTCTGCCTGATGACTCTGGTCCAGAATCACAGGTTCGTTGAGTAGTTTAACCGTTTGCTGTTGTGGAGATAAATCACTTACTGTTCCCATTCCCAGGGCACTGTCACAGTCTAGTCTTGGGAAATTAGGAGAGGCGTGGGATGCCCACGGGCTGGGGGCCTACAATTTAGTGTGGATGTGAGTGGCTGCAGAGAGGGAGGTCTTATAGCTTTCATTAGAGTCTGACACTTAGACCCCAAAAGCTAAAAGGTTTCGGGAACTCCTGATGCATGATGCATTTATAGTATTTGGTGGAGAAATGTTGATTTCTGCTTAGTTTAGGAGTTGCCAACTTGCCCATGCACCTGCCCACATACCTGAGCATATTTCCTGTGGGATCCTCCATTTCTACCCAGCTTGATACAGCACCTGCTCAGCCCAGAGCTTCCTCCGGGCAGCTCTTGAACCTGAACCGAATTGAACTGGTTTGGCTGCATCATTCTCAACTTCAAAGGAGGTTTCATGAAGAAGCAGCTTCATGAGCTGGGGTCAGGGTAATGGCACTCAGGCCAGAGCAGGAAGGTCCCTGGTCTCTGGGGGTCCTCCCCGGAAGTACAGCTCTGGGATGCCTAGACAGTAGTCTCTAAGAGGTGATGCTTTTTCACTCTGAATTGAGCCCAGCTTCTATAGCATCTACCATGCAAGCCTTCTCTGCCCTGGCCTGGCCCTTCCTCTACTTCTCCTCCTCCTTCCCTCTCCTGCTCAGCTTCTCACACTACCCAGCAGCCAGGCCAGAAAACCACTGTTCACTCAATGTGCTTTTCTACCTGTCGTCTTTGTGAGTGCTGGGGCCTGTCCTTGGGAGCCCCTCCTTACCACTAACATTCACAGTCCCAAGGTTCAGTCCAAGGCCCCTCCTTCAAGCCATCTTCCTGGATCCCCGTAATGGAAGGGACCCTTCCCCTCCTCCAAACTCCTGCCATAGTCTACCTGATCCTCTTTCTTATCTTCCCCCATCCTGCCAGGAGAAGCAGAGGTTGTCCCTGCCTTTACTCCTGGACTGTGGTGAGCTCTCCCACAGTAGAGACATTACTTTCACTCTTCTTTGGGGTTGATGTCCCTGCTATGGTGGCCTGTGCACGCTGCCTGGGACACAATTGAGGCCCGATGGAAAGGAGCTAGTGTGGGTAAGGTGGGCAGCATAGGAAGGTGAGGAGGATGGAGAGGGTGGGTTTGGGTGAGCCTGGCCACCGTGGACTTGGTCTGCATGTCCTCACCCCTGAGCACTGCCTAAGTGTGTAAGGTACGAAATAGATTTTCATTTACCAACTTTTGAGTAGACAGTCAAGTTCATTCTACTCTAGATTACTCACACGTATTTAAGCATTCATCTACTTCCCCTCGGTGATGACTCTTGAAAGAAAATGTGAGAATTCGCTTTGCTTTGAGCTCACATTAGAGCTTGGGAATATGTTTAAACCGTGATTTTGGAGCTCTTCATGATAACACTTTCTTCCTTGTTTGTGAAATGAGCAAGCGCCTAAGTTAGTCACATTCATTTTCTCTTGCTTAAAGTGCAAATTTTTACAGATTTAGTTTGCTGCTCGTTTTCTTTGTGAAAACGAAAGCCTACAATTGAAAAAGGCTTTTTAAATAATGCATGTATTACAGAGTCACCAAAATTGAAACTGTATTTTCTTTTTTTTTTTGAGACAGTTTTGCTTTTGTTGCCCAGGCTGGAGTGCAGTGGCGTGATATTGGCTCACTGCAACATTCGCTTCCCGGGTTAAAGCGATTCTCATGCTTCAGCCTTCCAAGTAGCTGGGACTACAGGCACACACCACCATACCCGGCTAATTTTTGTATTTTTAGTAGAGATGGGGTTTCACCATGTTGGTCAGGCTGGTCGCGAACTCCTGACCTTAGGTGATCCACCCGCCTCGGCCTCCCAAAGTGCTGGGATTATAGACGTGAGCCACCGCGCCCAGCCTAAAACAGTATTTTCTGATTTAGCCATAGAAATGGACAGGTGCTTTTCCCTGTGTATTGCCTAGATTTTCCCAAGGGGTTTTCCATGACAGGTAATAAAGCGCATATTCCGTTTCTTATCCCAAGTCACTTTATCAATCGCAAATGAAGAACAACCCTGGCCCACCATCAACGTGGCGACTCTCTTGGCAGGCCTCGCCGTCTAGTGGCTAGGCAGAAAGAAGAATGGTTTCCCTCATGGGCCAACTTGTCTCCTTTGCTACTGCTTCCTTGCTGAGACATGTCAGTAGCTTTTGTAACAGAAG